>NC_000002.12:55947928-56250958 GCF_000001405.40 Homo sapiens
AAGGGAGCGTAGGAAAACACCACCCTGTTTATTTTAACTTTCTGGTTGATTGCATTCTAGATAAATGACAGTTTATTATAGAGAGAAAAACAGGATCTGATGGAATCTAGGAAAGATGTGGAAAGGGGAGTTTGTCCAGCAGGTCAGGAAATTTGAACCCGTTGTCAAGGGTTCTAAATGTTTTTCCTGTTCAATGTTACACATCATTCATTTTTGTTTGTTTTTATGTGAGCTTAAACTTTGGGTAATTTCTTGATTAGTGCCTTTTAACTTTTTAATTTAACATCAGGTTTGTTTTTTTTTACAACAGCTGCCCAAAATATCCCTGAAAAATGAGGGCTGTGTTCACCTTTAATACTTAAAAATCACTTGGAGGCAGTTCAATTGAGCATGAGTATGTGTTTGCAAGAAAGTAAAACACAACCAGAGTGAGTAACCTCTGTTCTCTGAGGCTTATTGCATATCATTTATGCTTGAAAAAACAGTGAATTTATTTGTTTTAATGCCCCAAACTTTGACTTAAGAGTTAAAAAAAGCTAGCTGACCAATATAGTAAAAATGGCAGCAAACTTACTTTTAACTGGGATGGTATTTAATCTTACATCTCTTTATCACAGAACATGTTGAAAACAGAAATAATTTTCTAATGTTGGAAGCACATTTAGAATGTTTTCTCTGGTAATATAAAATGTAGGCTGGCCAAATTCAGTGAATAACCAAAGTTCCCAAACCCACCCTGGAGATAAAGAAGAGTTATTTTTTTAGCTTAAATTATCCAAATAGCTTATCTTTATAATCCCATGACATTCAGTAATTGCTCAATCTTCATCTGGTCCCTGCTGCACTGTGAACTGAGCTATATTAATGAAATGAAAGGATTTAAGGAAATAGTATGCTAGGAATCAGCAATGAAAGGCTCATTTTACTTTAAAAATGTTGTTTTTAAATTAGAGATGATACATGATAATTTATTTAAACCTGAAGAAATCCTGATTCATCTTCTCAAATATCTATATTTTGTTGATTATTCCATGGAGATTTTACTCTCTTGTTTTATATTTTCTCTAAAGGAGTGGGTGGGTCTTAGCTTGATTTGATGTTTCTTCCCAGGCCACCAATAAAGGCAGGCTTGTTTCCCAAGTGATTTTTATTATCTTTCTAGAAAAATGCTGATGACAATAACTTTTTAAATTACCCTTTGTACTGAACTTCTTCATGCCTTCCTAATCAAATATGTTAACAGCCAATTATTTAAAATTTAAGAAGTAACTTTGAGTTAAACAAGGGCCTCTTCCTTAAAAATGGACCCTAGAAAGCATAACAGAGAATATAAGACATGTTTAGTTATTTTTTTAGATTCAGAGTTTGATTAGAGAGAAAGTGACATTGATAAAATGGCCTTTCAGTAATTAAGAACTTTTGTTTGGTCCTTGGCATTGTGCCATACACACTGTGGGGTATAAAAGCTTATGATGTGGTTACAGTCACCAACTTACAGTCTAGATAACATGAACTTACAGTCTAGATAACATAATCATATTTACACCTGAACTTCCAGCAATTAAACATACAACTAAATGCCAAAATGAGTAGTATAAATAGCAAATACTATAAGAGTTCTTAATGCAGGTTACCTATCAGTATAGGCCAGTTGACTTACACAGTGGAGTCACATCTTACTTAGGGGTTTGGTACTAAAGTCAATATACAATATGAAAATTATGCAAAGTCAATATCCTTGAAAGCCTATTAAACTGCTCATAAATTTTAGTATATCCCATCACAAATATGTGCTACATTAGATACTAACACACTCTCTCTCAGCAAGTGCTGTACAGTTAGTGTTTCCTTTGCTGTAGACACAGATCACTAAAGAAGTGGGCTTGGCTTTATCAGCATCTGGAGCTGCTTAGACTACAAGGGGCACGTGGGGAGTGAATGCTCCTTCAGTGGAATAGACGGCAGAACTGCCTACACTTTACAGTTCTTTTACTCACATCCTTTCCAATAATCATGTAGAGGCAAGTTTACATAAAGTGTGTACATGATGTGTTCCATTTTAGATAAATTACCTGCACTCTTGCCTTCTCTTTCTCTAGCTGTAGATGGTAAATGTTGATTTGTTTTTATTTGGCTGTATTTAAGATTCATGTAGCATACTTAAATCAGCATATTATTTTTCCATGCTTATTTTAAAAATAAGACCAAGGCTGTCCTAATTAGGACCTTTGTATTCTCCTCTATAATTTTCCTATGTTTTTCTTCCCCTCCTTTTAGTTTCATGGGAGAAAATATACTCTACCTATTCTATAGCCAAAACTACCACCTGTCCTGGAACTCACTCTTTCTCATTTTCTTTAGGACTCCACCCCCTCATCCCCAAACTGAATAACCAATTAGCAGATATTTACAGAGCATCTACTATGGTGCAAATTATTGGACTAAGTTTGGAAAAGAAACTTTGAAGTGCATCAAAAGGGAAGACTGGGACATTCAATTGCACAAAGTACCATGTTATAAGCACCAAGCTGGTGATACAGAGAGTCAGTACTGTGGTCATTTCAGAGAAGGGAGACACTCATAGCCTGGAGTGAGTGGCTGAGAAAGTCCAGGGAAGGGGCTCGGGACTGAGCCAGGCCTGGAACCTTGGGTAGGATTAAGACAAAGAGAGCAGGGTGCATTCATAATTCCATTCATTCAGACTGAGATACATGAGTGCTGCCTGGTACTGGTCCTCTGTGAGCTCCTGGTCTAGCGATGGAGACAGACAGTGAAAAAGATAAATTTCAACAATGTGGCAAATGTGATTATACAGGGATTTGAACAAAGTCTTGTAGGGGCACAGAGTGTGGAGGAACCCTGTTGGATTCTGATAAGAGGTAAGAAAGGACAGGTCATTTGGGCGGCACTTTAAAGGTAGGTAGGAGCTTCCCAGGGCACAGAAGGGAGAAAAGCCTCTTTGGATAAAAGAAAACACTGCTCCCAGGAATAAATCTGGAACGAATGAGAAGCCCACCATGGCAGAGATGAAGTGCTGGATGTGAAGGGTGCGGCACAGGGGGAAGCAGACTGTGAAACATCTTCCATGACTACGGGAGGATTTGCATTTCACCTTCTAGGAAAAAGAGAGTGAAAAGAGAATTGGAAGCCACAACATGCCATTATAAGATTTGTTTTCTGACAAGAAAATGCATTTAAGCCTAGTGGCAGGGAGACCAGATAAGAGGTTGAGGGCTACACAAGGGCAAGATTGTGTTGAATTCCTCTTGGTATGCCCAGCACCTAGCACATAGGTGTGCTATATTTTACTGAATTGAGCCTTTGTGTTGCCTATATAGTCTAAGGAAGGGCTGAGAGCAAACTAAGGCCTTAGCAATGGAAGTAGAAAGAAGAGGTCAAATTTGAGTGAGGTTTGTGAGATAGATTCCACAGGGACTATTTTTTTGATCAGATGTGGTGGGAGGGGATTAGGAAGAAGAGAAAGTTGAAGATAATGCTAATGCTTCTTAACTTGGGAGGCCAGATAGATTTGTTATGAAATAAAATAGAAAACACAGGAGCCATGATGGGATTTGGACTCTCTTTTGGAAGTGGCTGTTTTGTTTAAAGGGCCTGTGGATTTGTCCAGCGGGCAGTGGGAAGCATAGCTCTAAAGAGTGGCATTGAGCTTAAGGCCAGGGATACAGATTTCACAGTAACAAGCAGAGAATAGATGGACTGGGAGCAGATGAGACCACAGTGGAATGGCCACTCTCTGGGACTGGATGAGGACTGTACTGAGTTGAAGAGTCCCCTCCCTTCACCGCCCCGGGATTTCATGTCTACCCAGAACCTAAGATTCTTACCTTATTTGGGATTGTTTGGAGGTTCTAGCAGGGGAGTGCAGCTACTTGTATATCCTTGACCAAAGACTGGTCCTCCTCTATCCAGATGGTCACCTTCTTCCCCCGAGTGCGCAGCTTCTGGAGGGATGCACATGGAGCAGTGAGGGAGGAAGAGGACACCTGCCTAGCCAGCCAGATCAGCCGAATCAACCCTGGTGATCAATGGAGTGACAGATGTTGCAGCCATATCGCCCTCATATCCTGTCACCTTATTTGGAATTGGGTCTCTGCAGTTGTAATTAGTTAAGTTAAAATCAGGTCATATTGGATTAGGGTGGGCCCTAATCCAATGCCTAGTGTCCTTGTGAGAAGAGAAAACAGAGACACAGACACACAGTGGAGAAAGCCATGTGAAGACAGAAGCAGAGATTTGAGTAACGCATGTATAAACTAAGGAACACAAAGGATTTCCAGGACCTCCAAAAAGGTAAGAGAAGACAAGGAAGGACCCTCCTTATGGCCTTCCGAGACAGCATGGTTCTGCCAACCCTTGATTTTAGACTTTTAGCCTCCAGAATTGTGAGAGAATATGTCAATATGTCTGTTGTTTTAAGCCACCCGGGCTGTGGTATTTTGTTATGGCAGCCCTAGAAGATTAATACAAGGACCATGGATGAGCCCTGGAACCTGACAGTGAAGGGTAGCAGGAAATGAGAACGTGAGAAAGGGGCAGAGAAGGAACATTCCCAGAGGTAGAGAAGGCCATGTGAGTGCATGAGGGGAGTAGCACAAGAATGGCTTGATTAGGAGAGACGACTTGTGGTGAGGCATGGTTTAGAGATAAAGTCTCAAAGATGTTTAGAGCCAGCTGAGGTGCACTTCCGTGTCAGGAACAGCCATATATGGTACATGGGCAGCCTCTGATGGTCGGGGGCATGCAGGGGACAGGATGGTTCTGGGCTGTTTCCACATCTCCAATCTTCTGTCTCTTCCCTCCTCTTGCTTCCAAACTCATGCCTGTCTCCCCTATTCTGCAAAGGACAAAGCAAATGACCCTGGGTCTAATCTGCACCCACTGCCTCCAATTCCTCACCACTCACCCTCCAGGACTTGATTTCTAGCTTTAGTTTCCCAAGTAGTCTTTAACTTGTTAACTCCTGTGCCTTTTTGTTTCTCCTTGTTTTCCTTGACCTCAGTGCATCTCTGCAGTACTAATATTTCCGATCTTCTCTGCCTTGTCCGAAGTTTCTCTTCATATGACTTCTCTGCTGCTATATTATTTCAATTCTTAAATTACATTTCAGTCCCCCTAGGGTTCATTCTTCCTGCTGCTGCGTAATGTGGACTAGATGATTTTCTTGGGTTAGCAATGACTTCTATGATTCCCTCCCTCTCTCCCTCAGACAATTTATATAACTATTCATTGAATGAATTAATTATGAATTAATTCAGTAAACAGTAATGCCACAAAAATTTCTTCACATTTGCCCTCTCTCAGACCTAATATAATTTTGGTTAGGAATATTAAGCATCAGTTCTAATCCATGTCTGTTTAGAATTCCTCTTGTTTTATTCAAAATGTTTCCTTAAGGAGCTTATTGAAGAAAATTTAGAAAATACAGAAAAAGAAAGAAGAGAAAAAAGCATCCAATATTTCCTTTCATCTTTTTTTTTTACATGAAGGGTTTTCTTTCATTTTTATAAGCAAGCATTTTTATATATGTATGTGTATCTATAATATTGGCTTATTTTCTGTTTTTTAATATTATAAGCATTTTTATGTTATTACCAATGTTCATAGGTATTTCTCATGGCTACATAGTAATCTATTGAGAGATTATATAATTTTTTCCTTAATCATTTTCCTGCTGTTCAACATATATGCTGTTTCTGTTTTTCTATTAAAAATAATGCTGCAGTAAATATCTTTGTGCACAAAATTTTTCCTATTGTAATTGTATTTAAAATAATATCTCCCTCAAAGTGGAATTTTTGGATCTGGGGTATAACCATTTTACATCTTAATATATATTGTCAATTTGCTTATATGGGGTTCTATACCAAATTGCACATCAGCAGTTTGTAAGTACTTGTTTTACCACCGCCCTTAAATGCTTACTTTAATTTTCTGTTCTTTAAATACTTGCCTTTCTTCCTGCAAGAACATTGATGATGTAGGTGTTCTTAGTGACGAGACCTACAATTTGTATATTTTTATAATATATATCTCTCTATATATTACAAAATACATAAAATTATTATATATAGAGAGAGAGAGAGAGAGAAAGAGAGTTTCTGTTAGAAACTAAGTTGACAAGAATCTGGCTTTTACTAACAAAAGCATGTTTACTTGAAAGCAGAATCTTAAAGAAAAAAGAAAAGATCTGAAAAGAAAATTTATTATGGTTTAGAGGCAGTTTCTGAATCTGTGGGATAGCATTTCTCTGTGATTCCTCTGCAGAATAAGAAAACATTCTTAATTGCTTAATTTTAAGCAGAAAAACAATTCCAACAGAGAGAGAATAGTTTTCTTTATGGAGATACGATATTCACGTATCCTTATGGAAAATATCTTCCCAAGGGCATGTACAGATGAACATTTTCTGATATGCTTGTTATCTGCTGGCCACATGAAGTGACTCTTTAGCAAAGCTTACATGAGAGATTTGTGTATTGCCCTAATGTAGGCATGTGTAGCCTGTGGTGTGTAGGATTGGCTCAGAACATTAATTAAATTCTTCCTGCTATTTTATACAGAATGTACTGTCAGTTTATAGTGTCTGTAGAGTTCTTTCAAAGAGTCTAAGATCTACCATTTTATAGCAAACAGTCCATGTCAAGTCTGATTTCTGAATCACTTTCTCATAATTCACTGCGTTTCTGGTTAGTGATACTTGAAGAAAAGTTAGAGAAAAGATAGGTGCTTGATAATACATAACTGGTATGTTCTGTATTCCCAGGTTTTTGAAAAATCAAACCAGTGGTGATATGCTAAAAGCTAAATTTTGTAAAATGTTAAACATTCATGAAAGAAAAGCTAGGTTTCCTGCCAGCCTTGCGGTCAGCAGCAGTACTCTGGCCTGATTACTTAAGCCGATGTTTTTCCTAAATCAGTCATGAATCAGTAATTATCAAGTTTTGCAATACTAGGCAATTCTCTTGAGAACAGCAAATGATTTGTAATGTTAAGTTGATAGCTTTTTTAAAAAAAAAAACGAAATAATTTGGCTGCTCTTGATGGGTTTCCCTGGGCACTGGGCAGACCCCTATTGATTTAATGGGCTTTGTCTGTGGAAGCTTGGTAGATTTATCTTTCTTACACGATCAAATAGCACATATTTGTTTTCTTTCTCCACAAAAATAAGAATGCTGCTGGTGTGTAGTATATTGGTTTCGCTTCTATTCATTTGGCTTAACTACTTAAACCACAGTTTAGTCACAAAATGGAAAAAAATGAGAAGTCATAGAAACAAAATCAAAAATCAAGATTTTTTGCTTTATTTAGTTTCTTCCAGCATGTTTTGGAATGACCTGCTGGTAACTGTTTTCTTCTCCTATAACATGTTCTCTTTTGTGTATGGGGATTATAGATCCTAGAGTTGGATCTATAAGGGACTTATAGGGACTTTGTGAAAAAATTTTAATTCAGTCCCCTGATTTTTGAAGCCCATGGGAGTTTAAAACCTGTATCAGTTACAGAGCCCAGAATTGGTTTAATAGGGATCCAAACATGGGCTGTTTTTCTTACACAGTGGCATCGTTTCAGAGACAGGATACCCGGAGCTCAGCGAATGACATTGTTTGCAATTTGCTTTGAGGTACTGCGTGATGCTGGGATTTTTTTTTTTTTCAGTATACTTTAAGTTTTAGGGTACTTGTGCACAATGTGCAGGTTCGTTACATATGTATACATGTGCCATGTTGGTGTGCTGCACCCATTAACTCGTCATTTAACATTAGGTATGTCTCCTAATGCTATCCCTCCCCCCTCCCCCCATTCCACAACAGGCCCTGGTGTGTGATGTTCCCCTTCCTGTGTCCGTGTGTTCTCATGGTTCAGTTCCCACCTATGAGTGAGACCATTTTTTGTCCTTGCGATAGTTTGCTGAGAATGATGGTTTCCAGCTTCATCCATGTCCCTACAAAGGACGTGAACTCATCATTTTTTATGGCTGCATAGTATTCCATGGTGTATATGTGTCACATTTTCTTAATCCAGTCTATCATTTTTGGACATTTGGGTTGGTTCCAAGTCTTTGCTATTGTGAATAGTGCTGCAATAAACATACGTGTGCATGTGTCTTTATAGCAGCATGTTTTATAATCCTTTGGGTATATACCCAGTAATGGGATGGCTGGGTCAAATGGTATTTCTAGTTCTAGATCCCTGAGGAATCGCCACACTGACTTCCACAATGGTTGAACTAGTTTACAGTCCCACCAACAGTGTAAAAGTGTTCCTATTTCTCCACATCCTCTCCAGCACCTGTGGTTTCCTGATTTTTTAATGATCACCATTCTAACTGGTGTGAGATGGTATCTCATTGTGGTTTTGATTTGCATTTCTCTGATGGCCAGTGATGATGAGCATTTTTTCATGTGTCTTTTGGTTGCATAAATGTCTTCTTTTGAGAAATGTCTGTTCATATCCTTCACCCACTTTTTGATGGGATTGTTTGTTTTTTTCTAGGCAATACCTTTCAGGACATAGGCATGGGTAAGGACTTCATGTCTAAAACACCAAAAGCAATGGCAACAAAAGCCAAAATTGACAAATAGGATCTAATTAAACTAAAGAGCTTCTGCACAGCAAAAGAAACTACCATCAGAGTGAACAGGCAACCTACAGAATGGGAGAAAATTTTTGCCATCTACTCATCTGACAAAGGGCTAATATCCAGAATCAACAATGAACTCAAACAAATTTACAAGATGCCAGGATTTTAAACAACCAGTTTCTTGGTTGTCCGGGTCCCCTCAGGCTGTTACTCCTCTTCTGCATTCACCATCTCAGTCCTGTATACTTTACTCAGGAGACCTGTATAACTGTCTTGTCTATCTCCTGCTTGTTTACTTTTGGAGGCACTCTTCTTGGGCACATCTTTGACAACAGCTTTGCTTGGAGTTTCCCAAGAATCTGGATGTGCTAACATTCATGAGGGACCCTCAGGGGTCAGCATTGGAAGAGCCTTTCAAAATACTCTAGAATCCTACACATCTTGTCTTCAAGGGGCTTTTTTTTTTAGTTCTTTAGTTAGGACTTCATAATGGAGTGCCCTTGTCTAATAACTATGACCTTTTTTGAGCACTAATGAGTTTTGGCATTCTGAAGCTCTCCCCAGATACTGACTAGCACCCTGGGAGTTTGGTCAGGTTCTTGGTAGAAGTTCGACCTTCCCATTCTCTGTTTCCTCACCACCATTCAGAATAGGCTCTGGTACCCTGAATAAGCCTAACCCATGGCTAATCTTCAACATTGAAAACCTTGCAGTGTGGGTTCCCAGGTTTTATTGTGTTATCAAGGGGGAGCTGCAGAAATTCACACAATCACAGGACTGGAAGGGAGCCTACTGGTCATTGAATGCTTGCATCACCCCTACCAAATCACTGCCAAGTAATTATCTAGCTTGACGGGAAACTTATTACCTCCCAAGGCGGTTCATTTTAATTCAGACAGCTTCAACTGGTGGGAAATGCTTTTTCATACCTATTCAGTTTGATGTGTTTCTTGTATTGAGTAAACCAGAATTCCTATTAATTAAACTCCCCATAGTCTTTCCAGAGTTGACTTAACCTGTTACTTTTGGGAGGAAAACTTATTTACATTTATGGAACTTGGTGGATCCTGCCTTGTGAAATTCAGAATGCAGTCTTACATAATCAACAGACTTTTAGTGGGCATTTAATGTAAAACACTTTTTCAACTAAATTGAATTATTCTCTCCAGAAAGCAGTGATGGCTAGGACAGTAGTGCTTATAGAATGTGTCATTATTTTGGCAGCTACTGCCTTGGACTCTCAGTTATTTTATATGCACGGGTCTTGCCTGCATAGCCTGTTGCCTGTTTTGTTTGTTTGTTTGTTTGTTTTAAAAAGAGTCTCACTCTGACACCCAAGCTGGAGTGCAATGGCATGATCTCAGCTCTCTGCAACCTCTGCCTCCTGGGTTCAAGTGGTTCTCCCACCTCAGCCTCCTGAGTAGCTGGGCCTACAGGTGTGTGCCACCACATCTGGCTAATTTTTGGATTTTTAGTAGAGATGGGGTTTCACTATGTTGGCCGAGCTGCTCTCAAACTCCTGACCTCGTGATCCACCCGCCTCGGCCTCCCAAAGTGCTGGGATTACAAGTGTGAGCCACTGCACCTGGCCTAGCATAGCCTGTTGTTAAGCTCCTTGGAGTGTGGACCTGTCTTGTATGTGCAGTCCCCAAAAGGCCTTACTCATGACCTTGCATTCACAAGATCAGTTAGTGAAAGAAAGTGAAAGTGCAAGAATTGTTCCTCCTGACACTGAACTGCTTTTCTTGTTTGCCCAAGGTGATGAGTGGTGGTAGTGGCAGTGGGTACATATGTGTTGGCATAAGCCCAGGGCCAACTCTCTTTTATTGAGGGTTTTAGAGCTAATCTCCCAACAGAAACAAGTATTCCCAGGCTGGCCTACAAAAACCTATCCCATTTCTGTTTCTGACATAAGCCTGCAGCACTGGCGGAGCTACAGTTGGGGTTAAATTGACACTTGGGTGTTGGTCTGGCAACCTGACAACCACATACCAGGAACACCCTTCTCCACTCATCTGCCTGGTGCATGCTTCCTCATTCTTTAGGCCTCAGTGGAATGTCTCTTTGTGGAACCTTCCTGATCCGCCCAGGCAGAGGGCTCACCTCTTCTTTCTTGTTCTCACCGTACTGCGGATAGTCCTCTATTTTTCCAAATGCTGCCTTGCATATGTATCATTTCTATCACTGTCTCCTTTGTTCTTCTGTGAACTTCTGGAGGAACAAGGTTGTGTCTCACTTTCTCTTCTCCTGTGCCAAGAACTGTGCAAAGTAAGAAGATACTCAGTGAATGTGTTTGAAGGAATGACTACTGAAGTGTATGAGTTGTTGGTGTAGAGACATGCATTCCCAAGTGCTAGAGAATCTATTTGCAAGCATATTTTTGAAAGATAACATTTTTTGAAGTTGAATATTACTTGCACTGCTTTGTGTGCTGTCAGGGTTCTGCCATGGTAGCCAAGACTAAACAGCATCTTTCCAGTTAACCCAGTGAGGGTCCTGTGGTATGGCTAAGCCACGAGCTGGAACAGGAACCAAGTGAGGCAGGCCCTGAGGATATAGACCTGTTTTAGACCCTGAGAGAGAACAGTTGGCAAATAGAAGGTGGTATCCACTGGGTATGACAAGCAAGCATGGATCAGAAAAGCAGCTGGCTTTACAGAGTCTAATGGAATAAGTGAGAAGTCCTAAAGGTGGATGAATGTGGCAGTAGGAATCGAGGAAGATATCTTGTACTTCTGATGCTCTCAGGTGTAGGCTACTGATGGTCAGCCAGCATCAGGGAAGGCTGCCAGGAGTGAAGAGGTAGGGGATTAAAGGACGTACTGACAAGGACCTGGCAGAGCTCTAAACCAAGAGGGACACTGGTGTAAAGTCTTTTTGTCATTAATTTAGCAAATATTTATACCTACTGTGAAAATGCTTTCAAGAGGAGGCGAATTCTTGATCTGATTATCAGAAGGAGAAGAAAGAAGATGCCCAGTTACCAGCATTGAGGCATATGATCAGGGCTGGACTAACTAAGTACGGTGACATGATGTGAATTCCTCGTTACGGCGATAGAGCTCCCTTAGTGTCTTTTGTTTCCACTTAGGATTCATCCTAGAGGCAGGATGGGGCAGAGCTTCTGGGGTCAAATAAACCCAACAGCGGCAAGAAGAAGGCCTAGGGGTTAGAGTACCAAGAAGGGCCTGACAAACCATCACTTGACTGATAGAACTGGATCCAGCCTAGAATTGTTCATTAAACCATTAAATTGTTGACTGGCCACACCAAATGGTGGCATTACATAGCACAGTACAGGCAACATTGATTTTAATAACATCTTCTACTTGAAAAATAGTCCATACTTACCAAAATACTTTCACATTTCACTGGATTCCAAAGTTCTTTGATATAAACAGGGTGTTATATCCATTATTTTTTAGAGGACATCAAAGCACTAACAATTTAGATGGATGGTTTAACTCCTAGTTAGCTAGTGGCAGAGGCAGAACTAGAACCATGGGCTCCTTATTGATAGGTCACTACTCTTTCCTTTATCCCACTGCTTTGCTTGTGTGATGCTGTGACAACTTTTGGAGGCCACTTTTGCTGAGAATTCAGTCCAGGTCTGATTGACTTCTGGGAAACAGGACCTGCTGAGTCTAAGCATTCAAGAGTATACACTCAGCCATAATCATGAGCCCACGTATTGTTTCAGATACTTGCTTTAGGAAATATGCTTCAGTTCTGATAGTGGGCTATTATCTCTTTTTAGGAGGTCTCCTTAAATGTACTGAAGTAAATTAGCAATGCTAGAGATTTTAAAATATCAGTTTCTAGTAAAAATGCTTCAATTTTTGTGAATTTACCATGTTGCTGCATTATTGAGCTCCTCTGATGTGTCAGGCACTATTGTAAGATTTGAAGACATGGCAATAAACAAAATAGAAAAAATTCTGTCTTCGTCATAGGGCTTTTATTCTAGTTGGGGAGGGGTTATTTGTGAAGGAGACTAACAAAAACCAAGTAAAATATAAAGTATGTCAAATGTTGATAAGAGAAAAAATACAACAGGGAATGAGGACAGGATATGTGGGGATTGGGGGGACAGGGGTTGCAATTTTAAATAAGATGGTTAAGGGAAAGGCTTCACGGTAAATGTGAAGGAAATACATCGCTATGTACATCTTCAAAATCTACAAACATCAATAGTAAATTTCCAAACTACTTATATATAATTACTAGTGAAAAAACAAAAAAAATTAATGGGTATATACACACAGCCACACCTACACACAGATGCATGCACATATATACATATAAAATCTAGCACTTACTTTTCAAATTAACTCCCCACTCTTTATGCACCTAACAGATGAACTAAGTTTGAATTTATGTTTTTGTGCAACTATAAGAATATGGAATGTAGCTATTACTAATCTCTGCTTTTTTATTTGCAGACCTCCCACCGTTTAGCTCAGTGATAAAATTCCACAATAAATTTTGACTTGAAAGATTTTAGGATATCATGAAAATGGGAATGACGAATGAAGGCTGAGATGAGGCAAATATTTGGCAAATCCCGTGAAGCACTTAGAGCAAGCTTTATTAAGTGTGGTGGAATCAGATAATCATTACTGTTTTTATTTTTATCTGGGGTCAAACTTAATTAAAATAAAACATTTTCTGTGGGTTTTCTAATTAGCCTAACAATTTATTGGTCTCCAAAGATCTTTGTAGATGGTAACTTTGGCACAGAGTTCTAAAGCAGAGGACTCTGTAGATCTGGAAAGAAGTTGGAAAATAATTTCTTTAAAAACAAAACAAAAACCGTCCCAGGAAACACCATGAGAGAATGTTTTGTGACATATTGGGAATTCAGTTGAAAGGTATTATTAGGGAGTCTATGGCAAGCTGAGTCCCCAAATGCCCAGTTGATCGTAGTTCAGAACCCCAAAGACCTAGCAGGAAATGTTGTAGCTGCCCTCTTGTGGTCAAATGGAAAGTTTTGCCTCTTTGTCTTAATACTCATAAGAAACAATGATACATTTTTTCCCTGGAGTTATTCATTTAATAATCTAAGAGTAATGAAACATTTAACATTTTCAGATGGGCTCAAAAAAAAACACCTTCCCCCCAAAGCAAGATTCAGCAGATCAGTCAATACATATGTTTTAGTGGAACAAAACTCCTGGCTATTGGTAAATTATAATAAAATTGTGGTCCCTTCCACCACACCCCAAGTAAAGTCATCTGAGGCTTTTAAAGGAAATACCTAAGTCTACAAATACTTTCTGGTGGAGTTGGTGGGGGCTAACTGCAGAGGAATATGGAGGAAATAATATCGGGAAGTGCTTTGGTGCTTGTCAGCTGGGTGATCAAGGCTCAGTCACTTCACCCAAGAGCTTAGACTTTAGTTTTCTCACATGTAAAATGGGACTGTTCAAAGGCAACTTCTAATACCACTTTTAGCTCTGAAACGCTATAAATATGTGACCAGATGGACAAAACAAACGGCTTTTTGGTCTCTGGGATTTCTTTCCTTTCTGTCCGTGTGGCTTTATGATTAGTGAACCAAAAAGTTGTGAGGGGAATTGCGTGATGAAGCCTTTGAAAATTGCAGGGCTACAGGGAGATTAGTAGAACTGCCCCCAATGGTCTTGTGAGAATTTTTCAGTTTATTCATACAAGTATTGAATTTATTAAGTATCAACTATGTACTATGCATTATTCTTGGTGCTAGTACTACAAAATAAGTATAGAGGAGAATCCTTGTCTTTAAAGTGTTTGTAGTTTGAAAAAATTAAAATTCAATCATTTCTACGTAGCCTTACACAGTTTGCTTATATGTTCATATGGTTCTGGAAATATTAAGGGGAACTTACCTTAACTTTGTCTCCAAAGAGCTTTCAGGTGGGATCATCTTGAAGCTTAGCAAAACTCCCAGTGAACTTTGGCAAGAGCTGGGTCTGGACTCAAAACTCTGAGTTCAGGAGAAGTGTGCCCTTTGGTGAAGCTTCCAATGAAAGAGGTGTCTGACTATGCCCTGGTCATTCTGAAAACTGCTCTTCCATGGGCCATTTTTTAACATAAAAGGAAATCCTACTAAGTCCTATATCTTTTTGGAAAATGCCTTTTCTGTGTTCTGCTTTTACATTCATAACATACTATGAAATAGCTAATTTAACAAGATTGTGTTTTAAATGATTTATGAATTTATTCAAAATTTTTACTTTATCAGGCTAAGATTGTTTTCTTGGATTTGTTTATTCCTCAAGTCCTTGTGCATGTTCTGATGTCTAAAGTAGAGAAATAATCTTAAATTTGGCAACACTAATTGTTTTGGATGTGAGAAAACTTAAGCTATACATTATTAAAATGAAAGTTGATTTATGTTATTAGTTATACATATATACACATGTGTGCTATGATTAGGTTACAGGAGCTTGACAAAATTGATTATTCTAGATTACAAGAAGTTCTGGGAGGACCTCTTGATGACACAGATTTTTTTTCCCTGTTGCCTTGGTATTTTCGGAATATCTTACACATCATCTACTATATGTGGCTTTGTTGTAAGTTAGAGTTTGGTTAGATAGAACATTTGAACTCGATTCAACTTGGCAATGTGAAGAGCCTGGAGTCCAGTGATTCGTCTTAGGGAGGTGTTTGGGGAATAACAAAATATTTCAGAATCATTAAGGGTATTCCAACAGGGAATTTGGGAGTGGTTGAGATGCTTTGTGTGCTTCTAAGAAGGCAGGATGGGAGAGATTAGAAGAGGAAAATGGTTTTAAAATTTCACTCACAGATTTGTAAATATAGTCAGCATTGCTGCAGGTCCATAACACAATAAAATGATTACAAATTGGTAAAAAGATGATGGCTCTTTCTGGTCTCAGTTTAATGAAACTGAGATGTTAAAACAAAAAACAATTTACATGTTACAAAGGTAAGGTTATTAATGTGTGATATTAGAGCTCTTCCCTGGCCAAAACTCTGAAGACTTTTAGATGAAGCCTTTTAAATAAGTTTGTGATACCATTTTGATACAAATGGCGACACCACAGATCACTTCTTTATACAGATTTTCATGTAGAGATGCTCTGAGGAAGGTGCTGTGAAGTTTTGGAAAGAATAAAGACCTGGGTTCAGAATATGCTGGGTCAGTAATTTGCTGGCTGTGTGGTTGTAGGTAAGTTCTTTAGCCCCAGAATCCACACTTAATAAATTGAAGTGATTCTTCTTCTCTCATAGGCTTGTTCAGAAAAGGCTCCATGTTTTCTTCTTGCCACATCTTTCAGGTTTCTAGGAGAGTTTTGCTACATACCTGTTTTCCAAGATCATGTCAATCATTAAGGCCTAAAGAGCTAAAAAAAAAAAAGAGAGAGAAAAAAATATTGTTTGGGTTAAGTAGTACATGAAAATTTAAACTCCCTCTTTTAGCTATGCCAAAGAGGAACACATTTAACATTGAAGGCAAAAGAGTCTTTGCTCCATGGACTGTAAGGAAACTTGCATTTTCAGGTTTTTATTTAGGTGTGGAGATATGGAAAAGAGCAGGAGTTTACAATTTCTGCACATAGGGCTCAAAGGCTTATCCAGGCATTTTCTGCGTGGTTGTGTTTGAACCTGGTTGTTGATTGCTTTTCACGCAGACCTCTTTCCTACGTTCATTTTTTTCCTTCATTTAATTCAAACATTTTAACCATTGGGTGCACGTTATTGAACACGATTCTTGTGTCTTTACGGTTTAGCATCATTACCTAATTCTGGACGACAAGCTCAAATGTATGTGCAGGTCAAAAGTGAAGCCGGCCCTGTAATACGACTGTGAGTACTGGAGACTGGTGAACTGGGGACCTCAGTCCAGACAGCAGCCACCAGTCAAAGGCTTGTTGCCACATCAGTATGTGAGCTGCCTAGTGCCAGATCTTCCAACTTTTTTGAGAGCAGTCAGAAATATAGACTTGATTTTTAAAACACTGTGCAAATCAAACAGAGCTCATTGTCTGAGGACTGCTTGTTTTGTGTACTTGAGTTCCAGATACAGTTAGCACCTCTCTCACTATCTGTTTCCTAATAATGTGATAGTTAAGAGCTAGATAAACTGGGATCAAATCATAGCCGCATCACATACATTCTAACTGTGTGACTTCAGAAAGTTACCTGCTATCTCATTTATGAAGTAGAGATGATAATAGCTCTTATCTTATTGGGTTTTAGGGAAGACTTATATGAGCTGAAATACAGATGTGCTTAGAATAGTGCCTGGGATGTAGTAGGTGCTACTGAAGTGTTTAATATTGTTAGAGTCTCTTTTATATCATCTCACTAAGAGGCCACACTCCTCTTCTTGTGAGGTCTGGGAAGAGAGAAGGAAGAAGAAGGGAAACTACCCTTTATTGAGTATCTCCTGTTTGCCAGGAATTATGCCATGTGCTTTGTATAACATTTCCTCATTTAATCCTCATGTAGAGTCTTGAGTTAGATGTCATTTGCATTTTATAGTAGAGAGAACTGAGGCTCAATGAGATTCAGTGACTTGTCCAAGGCAGAAAAGGGATTTAGACTTAAGTAGATCTGATTCCAAACAGATCATTTTACTAGAAAGCTTACCACTCTTGATCCAGGGAGAGCTGTGAATTTGATGTTTGCTAGGAAATTGCCTTCTAAATGAATCCACTTGGTGTTATGAGAAAAACTTAGGACTGTAATGTTTCCTCCCCACCACCCACCCCCCAAACTGGGAAGGTATCAGGAGACCAAAATGTTTTGGACAAGTCCAGCTTGGTGAGTAGATGGGTTTATTAAGACTTACTTACAGAGCACTCCTGGGCAGCAGCAGGACAGCTCTAGAGATTCATCCCACTTCCCATCTCTCATTTAAGCTAATTATTTGGCTCTTTGCCTACTGTGCCTGTGTGATGGGACTGTTTTCCTTGGTATGTTTGTGTTCTCAGAGACACCTGCTCCTCGGCTGGGCACGACAGCCTTAGCTCACCACCTGGCCTTTAAGGTTCAGGCAGTGGACATATACCCTTAAGTAACCTGGTAGGGGACCCATCACACTACACTTGGAGCCAGATTAACTAGGGAGAGCTTTGCTCCTCATTAACCTACTGTCCCTGCTGGGCAAGCATCAGCTCCCTGAGGGGAGGGATAGGGTCCTTTTCTATCTGAAGCTCCCAACATATTCAGTGAACTCAAATGCTACAAAGATATGAAAGAGGGACTCAAAGTAGGCTCTCACAGTTTTGGAGAGTCTGGACATAGCATGCAATGATAGGTCTGGCCAGGCCAAGTATTAGCCTTTAATTCCTGCACTAAAAGCCCCTCAAATATTACAACACTTGTGCCTCCCTTTATAACAGTGTTCTTTATGGTATCAATTAATACAATCAGAGTAGATGGGAGGTGTGAAGGTGTGTGTGAAGGGAAGGAGGAAGGGAGCCAGAAAAGAAAGAAAGTGGGAAGCGTGTCTGTAGAGATAAGGAGAGCAGGGCTGTGAAAGGCAAAAGTCATTGGACAAACTTCCTGTCAGCTCCACAAAGTAATTTCAGCTTAGATGAACTTCCCAAATCAGGACAGAATCAAGAAGCACACGCAACAGTTTCCTTGGAAAGCCCTTTTCACCTCATTGGGCTCTGCTGAAAACAGCTTTTGTTTTTGGTAGGTGGAATAAAAGAGTATGAGAAGCTTACTCAGAATATCTATCTGCTGTTATAAATCACACAAAGTTTTTCCCAGTTAGGGCTTAAGTCACATCCATCTACAACTCTGAAGCAGAAAAACATGTGAGTCTTTCTGCTGGCCGGTGAAATGTTTTCAAAGGATTTTAATTCTTCTCCCATCTGAGAAGTTTGAACACACAACTTTCTAGTTTTTGCTTCATTGACTCAAATGTGTTGGGAGTCAGTGGAATTACCAGTCATGAACTAAATGATTAATAGGTCTGTTTTTAAGAATCAAGTGGAAAACAAATAGAGAAACGAGAACTACAGTTCCCACTCTGTCACTTTATCACTTTGCTCTCTGTCTCCCAGGAGACTGAGGGACAGTCAAGGCCACTGAGTCACCACCTTGCTGTTCCCTTTCAGTCTCTCCAGATGGAGTGCCAAGGCTGCAAAGGCTGCGCCGCCCCATCCCGGGGGTCAGGCAGGCTCACAGATGGACCTTTGGAAGTAATCCAGATGCAGAGCAACACTGAGCCCATCCATCCAGAGCCAAGTGTCAGTGTCTGAATCAATGTTCAGCAAGAGCTCTTTAATAAGCTTAATATCTAGAGTCCTGTACTTCCTGGCTGAAGGAGCTCTGGCAAGTTACTTACCCTCCCTGATTCTCATTTTCCTCATCTGTGAAATGGGAATAATCCCAAAAGCTACCTCACATGTGTGTGATGATTAAATGAGTTTTACCACGTGTAAAAAGGCTTTGTGCACATGTTCATTAATACTGTAAATATTAGTATAATGTTTTAGAGGTTTATTGATCACAAGAGCAGGTGACTATATTTGCACTGGAAATAACCCTTTTCAAAGTGCTTTTATTTTGCGAATGATTTTAAAAGGCACTTGGTGTGAGATCAGATACCTTCATTTACCACTCCAAAAATTAGAAATAGAAATCTCCATTTTATTATAAGCAGATTTTTATTCCTTTGTGTAAATTATCAAGATTGTATAAAGGGATATAATATGGTCTTGTTCCTTGGAGGGAGAAAATGGTGTAATTATACAGCGAAAACATGTAGATAAAGCAATGATCAATTAGATGGATTAAACATGATTAAAAACAGTCAAAGAGGGATAAAATTATTTTTTTTCTTTTTAAAAGAGGTAACTTTGTTCCATACTTACTGTTTCCGTATACTGGATTGTTTCTCATTTACACTAAATGGAACACAAAATTGTCCGGCCCAAATAAAAGTTTCACAAAGCTTGGTTTCTAGTTTGAACCAAAGGTGTTTCTTGGTTAGTATTAAGCAGCGTTATGAATTCTCAGGGATTATCCTTGGACATTTCCCTGTATCACATTTTTATAGGTAGGAGAACTGATCGGAATTACAGCAGCAAAGCAGAATTCAGAACTGGGCTCTGCAATCACAGATCTTCCCTTTGTAAAGCTGGGATGGAAGAAGTATAGTATAGCAGAAAGCCACAGGCTTTAGAACCAAACAGACCTGTATATGAATTCTGGATATACCACTTATTATCGAGTTTTGAAAGTACTAGTTATTTTAATAAATTTATAGAACAAACGAGTGGTTCTCAAAATTTATCATGGATCAGATTTACCTAGAAGGTATGTTAACACACAGATTGTGGACACCACCATAGAGTTCCTGATTAGGTAGGTCTGCTGTTTGGTCCCAAAATGTGCATTTCTAATTAGCTCCCAGGTAATGATGGGGGCCTCACTTTGATAAGCACTAGGATAAATTTTATGCAGTATGTTACGCTTAGATGGTAGGTTGTGAATAGCTGGTTAAGTATTTGGGGCTAGAGTTTCCATATCTACAACTCGGAAGAATAATGGGAAAAACTTGATTTCCCATAGAGAATAGAGATGTTGTATAGATACACCTGACACTTAGTGGGCAGTCAATAAATAGTAGATATTTTTCTCTTAGAGTCTGATACTCTTGGGTTCAAGTTCAAACTCTGCTGATTGCCAACAGAGTGAGCTGTTGTGAACTCCTTGTTCTCTTGAAACATCATTTATTTGTAAAGTGGATGCTATTAACTTAACTGTTCCTCCCTGACTCTCCCTGACAATTCATGAGTGGAAGCCCTAAAGCCTACTGTATTGGTATTTTGAAATGAGGCCTTTAGGAGATAATTGGGGTTAAATGAAGTCATGAGGATGGGGACCTCATGATGGGATTAGTGCCCTTATCAGAAGAAACACCTGAGAGCTCTGTCACTCTCCCTTTCGCCCTATCTCTCTCCGTACCACCCCCACCCCTCCACCATGTGAGGACACAGCGAGGAGGTGGTCGTTTGCAAGCCGGGAAGAGAACCCTTACCAGGAACCAAATCAGCTGGCACCTTGATCTCATACTTTCTGGCTTCCAAAACCATGAGAAATAAATTTCTGTTGTTTAAGCCACTCAGTCTATGGTATTTTTTTATGGCAATTCTAGCTGACTAATACAGTGGAGATAATTCTACCCTGTAAATTATGGATATAATGAGATGCTGTGCATACAGCACTCAGAACAGAACTGGCTACTTGTAGTGATGGTAGCTAATGAGTGTTAGTGTTGTTATTTAATAAGAACAATCGCCACTCTGTCGTTTCTTCCAATTTCTTTGCAGGATTTCTCCTCATGTAAACTTTGCTAAGTACTTTCCAAATATGATGGTCAACTATTGTGGGGCATGTGGATGAGATAAGAAGCGAGGGCTAATTTAAATCATTGCCTTTCAACTTTGTTGCTACAAATTAATTTCTGTCTCAGCATCTCATCTCAGGACCTCCCCATATTTATATAAGAACAAAATGGTATCAAACATTTTTATGTGTTCAGCCTATTCAATAGAGTAAGCCATCTTGTGTGGCTCATTTTTGTGACATTCCATTTTTCAGAGCACATTGGTCAGTTGTCTCCTGGGTGGTATCTTGCACATGTGTTTCCCATTAAAGTAGCAACTAAAGAGTGGCAACTGTGAATCTTTTCTGGCTGGTGTTCATGTTCCTTTTTCTTCTGTAATTAGCTTGGGGTGGACGTTTTTGGAGGAAGGGAGGGGGAGGCTTATTTATGAATTGAAAATTGGACTTGATACATGTGACACTGGGTTATATTGCTATGATGAAATTTTCTCCTAGTTCTCTCTGACTAAAATCTCTTCATGTATAAGTAGCTTCCTCAAGGCCTTATGCTTCTACGATGTTAAGCACCTAATTTTGTTTTAAAAATCACATTAAAATATGAAAGACTTAATTGAAGCTTTAAAAGTAAAAAGAAAGAAATGAAGTCAAATGCCTCTGATTATTTTAAGAACAATATTTTATCATGGTGAATAACTATCGGAATCCCCTCAACACAAGTAAACAAGCTGTCGGGGGTCATTTAATAGTTTTTATATTTTTACTTATCAAAAAGACATTATGTATAGCCACTCTGTAAAAAGTCTGGCAATTTCTTATAGACATACGTGTAGCATGTGACCCAGCAATCCCACTTCTAGGTATTTACCCAAGAGAATGAAAAGTTATGTTCACAACATAACTCATACATAAATGTTTACAGCAGCTCTATTTGTAATTGTTAAAAACTGAAAATAACTACGTGTCCTCCAAAGGGTGAATGGATAAACAAACTGTGGTATATCCATATAACAGAGTATCACCTAGCAATAAAAAGGAACAGATTATTGAGACATGGAGCAACTTAGATGAATCTCAAAGGCATTTTGCTGAGTGAAAAGTTACATGACAAAAGTTATGTGACATTCTTGACAAGACAAAACTATAGTGACAGAGGACAGACCAGTGGTTTGCTAGTGCTTAAAGTAGGAGAGGGACTGTAAAGTAGTAATAATGTTAGGCAATTTTGGGGGTGCTAGAATTATTACCCTGACTGCAGTGTTGGTTCCATGAATCTATACATGTAGTAAGATTCACAAAACTATACACCAAAATAAGTCAATTTTACTGTGTTAATTTAAAAAATAATTTATGACTTCAGGGTGAATAGAGAAAGACATTATGTCTCTTTCAGTAATTTGATGACATCCCAGTATGGTAGGCAGTGAGGTTTTAAATGTGTGTTGAGTTGAATCTATTATGGAATTTCTGTGCAGGTTGGAAATGTCAGGAAGACATTTATTTTTGCTTGCTGTGCATAATGAAGGAATGAAGGAAGGATGGGTTCAATTTTACCTATGGTTTCACATATAACAACCAGAAATCATAGGATAATATAATGAGTTAACAATACTCATAAATTTCTTTTTGAAATCTCTAAACCTCATCACTTATTAACTTTCTGATCTCCACTGCATTTCAGAAATGAATTGCATCTGAATTCTGAGTCTGAGATGCCCGAGATGGGAAGTGGTTGGGTCAAAAGTGGGAGTTCACCTTCCTTTATACAGCACATCAGCTCTTCATATCCTACCATCTGAAACTAATTTGTTGTACGTAATTTATTCCATAAAGTTGCTGGAATAAACAATGCATGCAAAGCTCCTTAGATATGTATTCAGCAGGGACTTACTTGGCTGTCTGTGATTTTCAGCTCTCTCAGTGCTTTCAGATGTACCATCCAGCACTTAGGATGTCATGTGGGTTCTCAGAGGGCCTATTATTTATAAACTAGGGTACTTGTGTGGGAGGTTTGCTATCTGTAATTGACATGACATGGGCCATGGTCCCCATTCCCAAGTTGTTCCTCCATCCAGTTCAGTGAGGCAGTAATGGGGAACAGACATGCCCATCCTGTGCCTCTGGTCCAGATGAACACAACAGTATTGGGATTCTTCGGTCAAACGTGTGAGAAATTACATTGTGGTTTGTCATTTGCCTCCCAGGAAATGAAATGCACCTCAGATGGTGCATTTTCCACTGTGGAAATTAGTTGCTGGGTGTAGCCCAGCTTTACTTCTGCGATGTGGATGCAAACACATTTTATAAAGTTCCTCAAATGCTTCCACCTCTCATCCTTAATGCTGTGAGCTTTGCTGAGTGATGGCATGATATAGAGAATAAGACACAGTTGTCCTCACAGCCCTCACAAATTTCTTTACAGTCCTTCCAACGCAGCACCCCGAAACTACACATTCCAAATTTCATTTTGCCTCTTTCAAAGAGGGGCTACACTAGAGTCAGTATGGGCCGCTTCTAGTGTTCTTTCTCTCAAAAATCCAAATTTTCATTTTGTGCCTATAATTAAGTCAAAGCAGCATGCTTAAATATTTCCCTTCTGAATCCTATTCCATCATTGTCACTTTAAGATAGAAAATACAGATAATTACAGAATATTTTAGAATAGTTGTCAGTTCTACACCTATCCTCTTGAGTTTCTCCTTGTAGCAAAAGAATTGTCCCCTCTGCAGGAATCATACTTGAAGGGCTCATACTTGAACTTTGGTACATGGTTTTCTCTTGCCTTATATTCTTGGAGGCCAGAAGTCCTTATGTTATTGAGAAATATTTTGTGAGCTTCTTCTATGTACCAGGAACTGTTCTAAGTACTGAAGAAATAAGACAAAGTCACAGGCTTTGTGGAGTGGGGGAAGAAAGGGGATAGACAAGGAAATAAAAAGATAATTTCAGAGCCTGTGAAATACTGGGAAGGAAATAAAATATGCAGCAAGATAATGATTGTAGGGATGGAGACAGTGCATTGTTTTAGATGACAGGTGGTCATGGAAGGCTACTTTGAAGAGATCATATTTGAGCTGAGTCTAGAAACAAACCAATGCAAAGATTGAGGAAAGAACATTATAGAGGAGGAGGCTGTTTATCCATCAGGCAATACAGGCAGTTTTCATGTTTGAGGGGTGGAGGTAGAAATTGCCTCTTTCACTATTATACCTAAGAATCATCATAACAATAAATACCTAATAATAATAATAAACAATTAATTAGCCATTCCCTCTCCTTAAAACCTTGGGATGGGTGGGTTTGGAGATCCTGTTGTCTAAGAGAGGATGACTTCTGCCAGGGAACATACGTCACAATTCTGTTAAATTGGGGGCTGCTGTAGTCCCTGCTTCTGTAGCTGGTCATATGTCCTATGTTGATAATCATTATGTTAATTCTGTGTTCCACCTATTCCATGTTCCCTTGCCCTCTGCCAGAACTTTGGCTGGTCAGAATTTTTTACTTGGTGGGGTTAATCGAACCTTATGCCTATGGGATACAAATTCTTAGTGATCTTATCTTTATTCGGTTACCATAATTTCCCACTGATCAGTATTTTTGGGCATAGGACTACTGAAGTGTGTACCACGAAATCCCTGGCTCCCAGACACAGTCTTCCTTGCCCCTACTATGTGCTGCAGCAACCTGATTTACCCTTGGTAACTGAGGTCAATGGCCTTGCCCAGTACACCTTGCCTGCTAGTGGTATTAGGAGCCCCAAGGAGTCTCAGCTTCCAATTGAACAGAACAATGTTTGGATATTAACTGTTTTCTTTCCTTCCCTTTTTCTGCTACTTCATATGAAAGGCACCGGTGGTGACTAACTTCATTTGCTGTGAAGAGATTTCTTTGATGAGAAGCAGTGCTATGTGGGATACCATGAGGGTGGATAAGGCATTCTGTAAGATGGTAGTTTTGATGGAAGCAATGCAGGCAGAGGAGGAAAATCCAGATCCAGAGTAAGTGATAACTGCAGTAAGGACCAAACACTGCTCATTCCATGAAGAAAGAGGTCCAGTGTAACCAACCTGCTACCAGGTAGCTGGCTGATTACTCGGGGAAAGGTGTCATATCGGGGAATCGGTGTTGGTCTCTGCTGGCAGATTGGGCACTTAGTAGTGACCACGGTTGGCTTGCCCTTGGGAAGTAGAAACCCTTGTTGCTGGGCCCGTGCATACCCCCATACTGCCATCATGGTCACTTTGTTCATGAGCCCACGGGGTGATGACAGGGGTGTTTGGGGAAAGAGGCTGACTGGTATCTGTAGAACAGGTCATCTTATCCACTTGATTATCAAAATCCTCTTCTGCTGAGGTCACCCTTTGATGAGCATTCATATGAGACACAAATATTTTTACACATTTTTGCCCATTGAGAGAGATCTATTCATATACCTCTCCCCAAATTTGTTACCAATTTTCTAATCATGTTCCTCTTAAGCTCTTGAGCATCCAGATAAACCATTAGCTACAGCCATTCACATTGTACATAGTTGTACATCTGGCCATGTTTCTTGCTAAGCAAAGTGCACAACCAGGTATTCTTCTTACTGGGCAGATTTCCCTTCACCACTGTCCTTCAGGGATATCTTACAAAAAGGCACTCAGTAAATAGTGAGAATAACACACCCAAATAAGAAATACATTGCCTCCAAAATCCAAAGAGGCCCAACAGGCATTATGCCTCTTTCTTGGTTGTAGGTGAGGTCAGATGCACCTTGGAAGGGACATCACAACATGCCCCACAACACTGGACCCCTAGAAATTTCACTGAGGTAGAAGGCCCCTGAATTTTTGTCAGATTTATTTTCTACCCTCTTATATGCAAATGTCTTATCAATAAGTGGTAGAGTAGTTGCTACTTCTTGCTCGCTAGGTCCAATCAGCATAATGGTATAATGTAATGAACTACTGTGATATTTACCTTTGAGGTAGAACAGTGAAGGTGTATTGCTATCCTTGCCAGTTGAAAGCAAACTGCTTCTGGGGGTCTTCACTAATAGGCATTGAGAAAAATCTGTTTGACAGATCAATAGCTGCATGAGAAATACCAGGGAATGTGTTACCTTGCTCAAGCAATAAAACCATATCTAGTACAACAGCTGCAGTTAGAGTCATCACTTGCTCAAGTTTATGATTATCCACTGTCATTCTCCAGGATCCATCTGTCTTCTGTACAGGACAAATAGGAAAAATGAATGGGGATGTGGTAGGAGTCATCACCTCCGCATCTTTCAAGTCCTTAATGGTGGTGCTAATCTCTGAAATCTCTCTAGGGATGTGGTATTGCTTTTGGCTTACTACTTTCCTAGGTATGGGTAGTTCTAGTGGCTTCTGTTTGGCCTTTTCCACCATAATAGCCCTTACTCCAGAGTTCAGGGAACTAATGTGGGGATTCTGCCAGTTGCTGAGTATGTCTATTCCAAATACGCATTCCAAAATGGAGAAAAACACCACAGGATGGCTTTGGGCACCCACTGGACACACTGTGAGATAGGCCTGAATTAAACTGATTTCTCCTAAGCCCCTAGCCTGACTAGTGGGCTACAGTGACTTTTGGATCTCCTGGAATTAATGTCAGTTCAGAGCCTATGTCTGGTAATTCCCGAAAGATCTGATTATTTCCTTTTCCCAAATTCACAGTTCCCTTGGTAAAAGGCCATGGATCCCTTTGGGGTAGGCTGAGAGAAATATTATTAATTTTTGGCAGTGTATCAAGGTCTTTCTTCAAGAGTACCTGGCTTCCCCTTCATTCAAGGGGTTCTGGGTCTGTAAACCAGTTAAGTCTGGGAATCAATTGAGTGGCTGTGACTCTTTTTATGGTTCAAGTTTGACTTTTATTCAGTTGACGTAGAACTTTTCTGCTTATACAGATCAAGTAAGAACTTAGTAGGCATCCTAACTATTTCACTTCTATAAACACCATGATCAAATAGCCAATGCCATAGGTCTGTGTGAGCCATGTTATTTTAACTGCTGCTTCGACTCTGCTGTTCATTCTGGTAATCATGCCTACCATGCCTTTGGGGGTTGAATGCTGCCACTTGGCCCCTCCCATCCCAGAATCGAATTATTCCCATTGCATTTAGGTTTCCCAGTTCAGTAACTGCAGTTCCCATTGTGAAATCTGGCCTATGGAAAAGAGCAATCACAGAGCTCTTCAAGGATGCTGGGGCTCCGTTCACAAACTTATTTCTTTTAATTGTGATGAAAGATATGTTTACTGGACCATTCTAGGATGGGTTAGTAGGTCTTAAATGAAAAATCCACTCCAACATTCCAATTTTCCTAAGCCTTTCAACCCCTTCCTCTACATTAAACTGAGGGATATGGGGCATTTCAAATTTGCTAATGGTGGGCTATCTTTTGATCCATGTTTCAGCCAACCAGTCAACCAACCAACCAGTCAAACAATTATAGCCCTTTCTAAGTCCCCAAGCTGAAACATTAAACACAGAATCTCTGGTTAGTGAGCCCATATCAACAAATTTGACCTGATCTTATTTCATGTTCCTTCCACCATTATTCCATACCCTTAATATTCCTTTCCACACATGTTCCATGGATTTCTGTCTGTGTAAGTTAGAAAACCTAAGTACTGTAGTTCTTTTGAAGTACAGCACACCTTGTCATGGGCCACACTTTGTACCTCATCTTTAGATGCCTGCTGGGACTTGAGTTTAATTATAGGTCTAGAAGCAAAGAGGAGTCGGGGTGGGGGGGTGGGGGGGTGGGGGGGGTGGGAAGAGGAGGGTGGGGGGTGAGTGGTGAGAAGACTCAGCATTGTCTTGCATGGCAACTGCCTCAGGGGAGGTCATTATACTTTTCTCAGGCACTGCAGGGTTAATCTCCTCAGATAAGAGTGGAGAGGACAAAAACTCACCAAAACTTAGAGGCTTAATGTCCCCAGCTTTATCACTGTCTTCTTACTTATGGCTATTGTAACATTCAGGATCCCCTTCCTTCTCAATCAGTCCAATCCAAGAACTGCATATATTGGTCTGGAGCACAAGGAATAGTCAGGCTAGAGATATAAATTTGTGATTCATTAACATATGGATAGTATTTAAAGATATGAAACTAAATACCCAATCCCTACTTTCCCTCAGAAGAGACTGTAGATGGAGAAAAGGCCTGAAGACCTAACTAGAAGGGTTTCTAAACTTTCATATTCAGATATATACTATTTCTCTGGAAAGGAGAATTAAAATGATGATTTTCAATACAAACCGCTTGTTTCTCACTAATCCACTTACTATCCAAATAATTTCTAGAGCCCACTATGTGCCAGGAAATGGTCTAGGTACTAGGGATAACATAGTGAACACTACATAGTTCCAGCTCTTAGGTACCTCTATTCTGGTAGAAATGACAGACAATAAAAAACTCCAAACAAACAAATATGTAACCAAATGTCAAGTAGTGATAGATACTATGAAGAAAAAGCCAGATAAGGGGATAGAAAGTGATGGATTGGAGGGGATATTTTAAATAGGGCAGTTGGAGAAGGTGTTTCTTAAAAAGTGTGGAGACAAAGTAAGAGCTAGCTACGTAAATGTCTAGAGAATGAAACAGAGTTGGGTATGGCAGGCAAGGAAGAATGGAAGGAACCGATAGAATGAAAAGCTAAGGGTCTGATCTGTAAGGGTGGGTAGGGAGAGAAAAAAGAGAGTGACGGAGAGAGGAAACTGGAGAGGTGGGAGGAAAGGAGGAAGAAAAGAGGTATAGATAAGCCAAACGGGCTGGGGCTTTTAAGGGTTAGAAAATAGACATTGAGCAGCTATGGGGGCATTAAGAACCAGAAGAGATTCCTAGAAGTAGTGCTGAAGGTTATAAATTGTTTTTTGCTTCTGCTCTTTTTCAGATATAAATAGAAGTGGAAACAATTTTTTGAATGACTTATGGCCATTGGCCTGTATTTCTTTTTAATGCAACACTCCACTGAAAGTGGGCCATATGGTTTATATTTGAGTTATATTTAAGAAACATTAAATTTATGTTTCACATTACCTGCAGGAAAGTGAATACAGATATCTTGCATAGTAGCCTTTTCTCCCTTCAGGGAACATATTCAGCTAAGTCCATAAAATAGATATACATAACATCTGTACAGTATATAGTGTGATAGTTGTCAGAATCAAAATGGAGTTGCTGTGCCAAAAAAAAAAACCCTCTGCCAAACTGAGCTGGGGAAGGACATGAAGAGAGGATTCTCATTCATAAATGCCAGAAAACAAAAACTATCGCAAAAGACTGCAAAAACTGCAACCTTGCACAAGCTTCTGCTAGGACCTCTGCTCAGCAGCTGCCTGTCCAACCTTGGACTGGTGTCACTCTTGTTATTAATCCTTGTAGCCAAAGATATTATCTCAAAACAATTAGGTAATCCTCATTTTTTCTTTAAAAATCTTTGTTTTCCTTTACCTTCTGAATATGCAATAGTTTACTATGGCACATGTATTCCCATTGGAATGCAATTACTTATTCCCAAATTCATATCATATTTTTAAGAAAGCTTCTCTCTGATTGCCATTTAAGTTGATATAAATGGCATCCAGAAGTGGGACCTGAGAAAGGATCACTATCAGAAGGAACAGGTGATTTCTGGGGCTGGTATGCCGTTCTCATTTGAGACCTTTGAGCTTTCTGCTTCCGTGGCTCACTTCTGCCCTGGTAAGTCTTTTCTCAGGCTGAGCTTCCCTCTTTTTGGTAGAAACTCTTGATTTTATTCAGGATTTGGTTTGGTTACAAGACCACCTTACATAAAAGATCTTACATGCCTCCTACAATAATAAGATATATATATATGTATTTCTGACAAGTCATTTTTGGTATAAAAGGCAAGTGTCCTTTTGTTTTGAGTAATCTTGTTTCTGTGGAGTTTACATTCTGTCTTTGAGGCACATCTTACCCAGTGAATTTACTTTTGGTTTTTCTGTATGCCTAATTGAATATTTTGTTTCATCTGCACACCTGGGTTAACATTTTTGTGAATACTTTTATCTTAATTTCATTTTAGCTTGGTTATGTGCATCTGTAAATTATTTCACTCCTTTCCCTTGCTTGCTTCTAAAAATCTTCGAAGAGCAAAAATAAACATCTTAAATGGTGTGTGCTGGATGGCTAATTAAAAGCCCCTAGTGAGTTGCCACCATCTAAAACATCAGTCCAATCCTATAACAGGATTTATAGGATGTTCTTTACTCATCAGAGATTGATAAGAAACAGAATGGGATCCTCAAACATTAAGGTATACGAGGTGTTCTGGGACCCCAGCCAGCTATATTATGGCCCATACTTAACGCACGTTTCTAAATGGCCTATACTTGTGCACATTTCTAAACTGATGAGCAAATTACATCAGGGAAGATTCAGAGCCCAAATGGTCATTGTTCAAACTGTCTAAAAACCTCTAGAACTATATGGTTAACACATAGAGCTTTCCAAGTTATCTTTCTCTATTTTTTTTCTGCCTATTTTGAATATGCTGACTTTTCTACAAGTGCTGAAATAAAACTTAGTGATTGTGGCATTCTAGACAACATTAAAAAAAAAAACCTTAGAGGGCTTTCAAATTAATGACTTTAAAAATTACAACAGCTTCATGGTAACCAACAGTCTAAACCTAAGAGCAATCCCTTTTAATGTACATTTAGGTGTGTCTGACTAACAATTGCTTAGGGCAGTGGAGCAGTTAATTGAAGGATTGATAGTCCGTAACTACATAAATGTATATAAAACGTAGGCTCTCAGATCAAACAGGTCAAAATCTCGAGCTCAGAGCAATAAAATAAGGTGTCTCCGTCTGGCATAAATATTTCATTGCCTGACATGCAGGGGCCAAAAAGAAAAAGCCAAAAAAAAAAAAAAACCTTGCTAAAATGCTTCTCCACCCACATTAACTAGTCAAGCAAACAAGAAGAGCAAATGAAAAGAGCGATTTGTTACTAAAAATTCAAGGCCACTTGGAGATCCGTTTTTCTCGTACAATTCAGCCAGTTCCAGCTAAAATGCAAACATTGAAAATTTAACCCTAAACTTATTTGAAACTAAAAAAGGGATAAAATTTTTTTTTTTTTAATAAATCAAACTACTACAGAAACTGCTTTACCCAAAATTTTGGTCCATAAACTTCATTAGATTACTTATCAGGAGAAATAATAGTTTTAGTTACATAAATGGGTTACATTTTGTCAGGAATGTAATATAGATCCAATTGTCTTTTATAAACCAGTGACTTTGTATGTTTCACTGTCTTGTGACTAAAATTCTAAAATGAAAGCTATAAGATCTTTGTGTATATATGTGTTTAGGTATGTTTATGCATATGTGTATATATCATGTTATATGTTGTGTCTATGTTTTAAAATCTAGTATGGTCAGACAGAAATCCCTTAGGAAATTCTATTCAGATTGGCTTAGATAAATGGAGCACTCATATAAAATATATGGTAATTAACCCAAATGCCTTTTAGTTCTTGTGACTTAAGCAAATCTTTAAATAAGCTAGTTTTAAAATCATTGGTAAAATAAAAATAAAAATGTCTTCAAAATTGTCTGTATACATTTTTCCCAGGGTCTACTGGTCAGACAGTTTCATATTTGTCTCTGCTAGATGTTTTAAGGTGTCAAGGTTTGACACAAAGGTTATAAGACTAAACCCAGCCTAAAACAGAATGATCTTTGTTTGTGTAATTGCTTGATAAGACTAATTTAATATTGTTGGCTTACTAAAAACAGCTGTATTTATCAGTAAAATATCCATATATTTAACTTTAAGATTCTTATTTAGGTGAGCACCTGATATTCACAGGCTAAACAATGGTTAACAGGAAAATAACTTGAAATGATGACTAGAGCTTTTCCTAATATCTCAGTTTTCATAAGTAATTTTCATAAAATTGTTAAAAATAAATAAATTAGGTAATTTGAAAGAGGTAAATGTTTATAAATAAATTTTCATATAATTTGAGATTTTAAAGTTATTTTATGTGGAATTAATAGACATAAATTACATGTCTGGATGAAAATTTCCAAATAAATTAAACCAATAAAAATCTGTTTTCTCTTTATAGCTGGCAACGTTAGTTATATTACCAAGGCTTTGACTGGAATATCATATTTGAAAATGCACATAGAATGCCTGGCTTCAAGGGTTTTCAGCATTAAAGTGAATAGATTAAAAATTTCACTTCCTGACAGGTCCAGGAACCTTAAGACTATAGATGAAATCTAAAGTCTGCTTTGGCTTGGCTTCCTAGCCTCAAGAGGTTTTTAAATCTGAGATTCCTAAGTGACCAATTTAGAAAGAAAACGTTATGTTTCCAAAGGAGAGTTATAATACACCTGTTATTAGATTGTAGCTCTGTGTATTATTTCAAGTCCTTGTTATCAACCTATAAACTAGACTAGATCATGAATTCTTCCAGATCCCTCCAATTCAACTTTTTTTCCCTTGAAATTATTAAAAACTGAACCTCTGTTCCTGAAGCTTCATAAGCTGAAACTAGATGAATTTCAAGAAACAAGTCTCATGCCTGATGTAAGGGTCCCAGAAAAAGTTCACCAAACTCTCCAATTCCTTAAACGGACATATTTAAACTGAAAACCAGGACAAGAGGTTGAAGTTTTTACACCATAGAGAACTTTTCCGAAGATGTCAGAACAAGATTCCATATTATGATGAGTCTCTTACCCCTCTTAATGTCTACCTTTTTCTTTCGGCAGGATAATGGTCATTTGATTTACTCGATTGGTTGCCTGTAAGCATAGGTTTCATGGCTTTAAACTACATGCAAACTGGGATTGTCATATTACTATTAATCTTACTTTGAATTTCCCTTTCTCGAATTTTGTATCTGTTACTCATTACATTTTTTCAGAAATACAACTTCTAACAGAATAATGCTGTCCCAGCACTTTGAAGTGACAGCCAAAGGCTACAAAACAGACAAAATTGAACTTAATAATGGACTCCTGGTAGACTTAGCCTGAGAGGCTCTCCCTTCAAACCTTCTTTGTTGCTCAAATGTGGCTTTAAAAGGGCTTTAACGCTGATTCCCAGCTGCCATTCACACCCTCCTATACGAGATCAGACCAGCAACCTGCACCAGATCCAGCCAGGCCAGGCACTGAGGGATGTCAAAATCTAAATATAGGATAATTGATCAGTGATGTTTTTGGAGAAAGATATTGATCAAAAAGGGGGAAATGTAAAAGTTGTCAGAATAAAAATAGAGTAACTCATGTTAAAAAAACAACCCTGACAAATAGAGCTGGGAAAAAAATAATGAAGAGAAGATTCTCATTCATAAATGCCTAATAACAAAAACTATCATGAAAGACTTTGCAAAAACCAGAACCTTGCACAAAAAAATAATTCTTTAAAGACATTTGCCGAATAAGTGCCTACCCAACCTTGGACTAGTGCCACCATTGTTATTGATCCTTGTAGCCAAGGATAATTATCTTAAAACAATTATCTAATCCTCCTCAATTTTCCTTTACAAACCTTTGTCTTCCTTTACCTCCCTGAATATGCACATAGTTTACAATGGCACATGTATTTCCATTGCAATGCTCTATTTCTGAATAAATATCATTTTCTTTCAGAGAGCCCTCCTGTTATGTAGGTAAACAATACTATATGGTAAGTATCCACACAATTTATATAATTACTTGTATCCAATAATGTTCAATCCATGTCAAAGCATATTTATTTCAAGACTGTTGCTCCTCTGAAAACTCTTGATTTTATGAAGAATAATATAAATTAAGTTTTTAGTTGTTTACTTCCTTTATTAGTGTGTAAAGTTCCTTAGGAAGTGACTTTGGTTTGTTTTCTTTTTGAGACAGAGTCTCACTCTGTTGCCCAGGTTGGAGTGTAGTGGCATGATCTCAGCTCACTGCAAACTCTACTTCCTGGGTTCAAGCAATTCTTGTGCCTCAGCCTTCCAAGTAGCTGAGATTACAGGCGTGCACCACCATGCCTGGCTAATTTTTATATTTTTAATAGAGACGGGGTTTCACCATGTTGGCCAGGGTGGTCTCAAAATCCCAACCTCAGGTGATCTGCCCGCCTCGGCCTCCCAAACGTGCTGGGATTACAGATGTGAGCCACTGTGCCTGTTTTGTTTTGCTCACTGCCTTATCGCAAGTGCTTAGAATAGTACCTAGCACATAATAGGTGTTCAATAAATTTTCAATAAATGAATTAGTGAGTGAAGTATAATGAACCTACTAGTCAAGCCACCTTGACCTTCCAACCAGAAAACTCTGGAAATATATGTGAATTTAGACTCATTGAAAGTAGAATTTAACATGTTATTATTACTATTTTTTAGAAACAGGGTCTCACTCTGTTGCCGAGGCTGGAGTGCAGTGGCATGATCATAGCTCACTGACACCTCTAACTCCTGGGCTTAAGCAATCCTCCCACCTCAGCCTCCCAAGTAGCTGGGACTATAGGCATGCACCACCATTCCTGGTTATTATTATGTTTTTAGAGATGAGTCTTGCTATGTTTCCCAGGCTGGTCTGGTCTCAAACTTCTGGGCTCAAGCAATCCTCCTGCCTTGGCCTTCTAAAGTCCTAGGATTACAGGAGTAAGCCACCATGCCCAGCTACTATGGTATTTTTTAATAGTAATTACTTTGTAGCACTTTTTCTTATAGTAACATTTATTTTAGTGCTACAAGTGGGAAATAATCCTTATTCCAATAGCAATACCTATTTAATCTCCATAAACACTTAGGTTAAAAAAATAGCAAAGATAAACCGACAAAAAAAGTATTCATTTTCCTCCCAAAACAGAAAAATGATCAGTAACTTTAGGTTGTTTTACTTAGTAATGTATTTAGCTAGGAAGGTACGAATGTATCATAGGCATAAACACGCAACTAGATTTGTACTTCTGGTTTCAGTGATAAATCCACAAGAACGGTGGTAAATGATAGGTGTTTTAGCATCTTGGGCTCACCTCTCTTGAAGAAACATTTCTCTTCAGGGTTAAATTAAGACTGTGTATTTTATTGGATGACCATGAACACATCACAGCAAATCTAACTTGAGGTATTTACTGGTGCTTGTTTAGATGCTGAAGGCAATGCATTAGGAACTGATGGTGACTGATTCTTATCCAATCAGTTCCTGATGCAGTATCTGCGACATCAAAAACTATGTAATAATTATACTAAATATCATTTATTTCCAAATGCAACAACTTTATTCTCTTTTGTTCCTTCATATGAAATTTGCAATTTAAAAAACTCTTTTTAATGTCACTTAATAAAGCAATCTAAAGTCATACTAACAAATAATTTTCCCAATTTACCAAGAGAGATATATTACAATATAACGTGTATGACTAACTTAGCACAGACATTTATTTCATGGCAAACTATTGTGCTAGTGTGAATAAGCATTTATAAAGGGTTTTTTAAAAATAGCTTTTTAAAATTCTATATCTAACCTACTAATCAAGCCACCTTAGCTTTTTTTTTTTTTTGAGATGGAGTCTTGCTGTGTTGCCCAGGCTGGAGTGCAATGGCACGATCTCCGCTCACTGCAACCTCTGCCTCCCGGGTTCAAGTAATTCTCCTGCCTCAGCCTTCCACATAGCTGGGATTACAGGTGCCTGCCACCATGCCCAGCTAATTTTTGTATTTTTAGTAGAGATGGGGTTTCACCATGTTGGCCAGGCTGGTCTTGAACTCCTGACCTCAAGTGATCCACCCACCTTGGCCTCCCAAAGTGTGGGAATTACAGGAGTGAGCCACTGTGCCGAGCCTAAAAATAGCTTTTCTTAAGCCACTCAGTCTTGTTTTTAAATGATAATTTAAAAAATATTAAAGCCCTCAAGTGGATTTGAATGAGAAAATTCTGATGAATTGTTTAATTTTAGATTCATTGATTAGGATAAACTGTATTTCATTTTCAAGATAAGTTTATTATGTTTTCCTCCCTGCCAGCTTTATTGAGGTATAATTGGTATACAGAATCTTCATGTATATAATCTGGTAAGTTTGGACATATATATATATATATATATATACACACTGATATTAGCATTATCACAATCAAGGTAATAAACATATTCATCACTTCCAAAAGTTTTCTTGTTTATTATATTACTTTAACCACACTAGAATTCTAGCTCACTGAAATGATAAAGTTAGATTTAGAATTAGTACATATGGGAGGCATGTAACAACTTGAAGAATGTGGTGGCCAAACCTATAATTCTGAGAGTGTTACAGGTTTTCTACCTTATTAATAATTTTGCTAGTCATCTTTTGGAGAATCTCTCATTAGAAAATTCTAGTTGATCCTCTAGAATGCCTCCAAATATAGAATGAATGAAGGACTCTAATATTACTTAGCAAATTCATCATTCTGTCCAGTGGGACTCCAGTTTACATGGGCTATTTTGGACATAAGGGGTAGGAAATAATTGGGTAGGGGATTCAGAAGTAGAATAGAGGTGGAGCTGAGAGGTGAAGATCATAGAAATGGAGACTGAAGAATCCACTTTTGGCTTTCTGTCTCATTTATCTGGATTCCAAATAGGCTTGAGAGTTAAGGTTAATCATATTTTCATTTTACAGATAGTGAAAATTTGGAGTACATTAAAGTATCTTAGGGACATAATTTCTAGCTTATTGTTTCTCTCTCTAGAGGTCTTATATGTGATCAAATACAGTATCTCAATTGTTTACCAGACATTTCCCTAAAATCTGTATATCTTTTCTAAAGGGTATTCAAATGAAGCCAAAGACTTGTAAGCAGAGTGGTCTTAGAAAACCTAAAGACTCCTTACTGGAGAAGGAACCCCAGGAGGAGCACCTGAGAAGCCAGTTCATCATGATGTTCCCCTCTAGTTAGTATTGTCTCTCTGTAGTTATAGTTTCTGAGTTTTGCAGCAAGATTTGACAGATTAGGGACTTGGGTTAACAACTCTTGTGGTGATTGGGAAACCAGTTTGTATTGTGTCATTTGTGTGCTGGGATGAATTGTGATAAGATAGTGAAAGTAGGTGAAGAATAGGCTTTCTTAAGATTTGATTGTTGCAAATATGCTCTATGTGATCTTCCTCAGGTAGTGTCATTAATTAAAAATAACAGGGCAGGAGTCTTGTCATAATTTTAGGCTTCTTTTGGCTATTATCTGGAGTGTCCAGCATAAGACTGCAAGTTTTAAAGTCCCAAGGACTGGGATACAGTTGGCTGGGATGACTGGATATTAAAATGTCATCTTTCCTTACAAACTACTGCAGGGAATCAGATGGGGAAGGAGAGATTCATCAAGGTGGGTGAAAAGGTCCTCTAGGCCAGTGGCTCTCAAAGTTGAGCAATAATCCACAGGCTTGTTAAAATATAGATTGCTGAGACCCACACCTAGAGTCTCTGATTTAGTAAATCTGGGATGGGGCCCAAGAATTGGCATTTTTAACAACTTCTCTAGTGATATGGTCCAGGGGCCATAATTTTAGAACCAGTGCCCTACCCTAGGCAGAGACTATTTGAGTTATTGGAAACAGGTGATCTCAAACAGGACCTTGGTAAGTGAATGTGATGATCTAGAAGGAAAAAGGCCAGAATTGAGCACCTATAGAAGTTCAAGTCCTAGTAATTATTGTAGTTCAAGAATGTTGCTTGTTGAATGTCACTATATTATTATAGGTCTTTAAGGAGTACATTTGTAACTTCCTGTTTTCATTTCCTTTCACCGCAGAGAAATCACAGAACAGAAACTCTGCTTTTCTCTGGCCAACTAATCACTACTTGAGTTTGGAAATATAACTAACATGCCTGTAGACAATGCAAAATGATAGTAAGCAATACAACTGAGATTGGCCACTATAAAACAGAATCCTAAAATTCAGGTCACAGTTTTGAGCAATCTTTAGAGCATTGTATATGCTGAAGAGTATTTCCCAGTAATTGAGGTGTGTATAATATAACTAAAAAGCAGAGGATCACCCTTTCCAGGGTATTTCAAGAGTTTTTCCAGAGAGATCCTCCTGGTATGTCCATGCCAGGTGACGAGCCCAAATTGGGTACCTTGCAGGGTTACGGATCCTGAGGGGACTTATCTGATACAGAATTAAGTCTGTAACCAGAAAAGCTCTTTCTGTCCTGCTCTACCTTAATGATAGACAGCTCTGGCTTGGATAAGACGGTTATAGAGACTCATCTATAGGAGTTTCATGGTGAATCTTGCAGTGATCATTAAAAACAGAAGCCATTTTTGTTTATTTTGTTTTGCTATTGTTTTGGTTGGGCTGAGGGCAGGCTGCCAAAGGAGGGAAAAGTGGGACTTTCTGGGCATTCAATAAGTGTTCATCATTTAGTGGTACAGCATGGGGGAGGGCCACAGAAAACTCTAATCTGGATTTCCACAGAAGACAAACATTTGGAGCCTGGGGCCATCTTTACCAGGCAGAAATATAATTCAGGTTTTCAACAAAAGCTCAGGATCACAGATTCAGCAGACATCTAAGGTCTAGTCCTGCGGACTGGCAGTAGGTTCTGCTTGTTTGCTCTGATTAAGAGGCCGGCTGCTTGCACCTTGACTTTCATAGTCTTCATGGTACAGGTGGAAAAGGGATAATAAGTGCCACGCTCTAGGTGCTGGTGAATGAGATGATGAGCTAGGAATGCTGAGGACTTAGTTCCCAGGAGCCCTAACAAGGTCTTCGGTCATCAGCAAGACAGAGCCTCTTTACTAAAAGGGTGGGAATCCTGTTGTACTCTATTTTTACTGAAGACTGGCATAAACCCAGTCTAACAAATGATATTTTGAATGTCTCATTGACAGAGATGCCAAATCCTTCACTTATTTTGATGCTAATTACTACCAGGATGTAATTCTAAAATTATTAAGCTTTAAAAGAAAAGTCAGAATCTATGTGTTGAAAGGATAAGTGATTTTCTTTTTTTCTTGAAACAGTGACTCAAGCTGTTGCCTAAAGGAGTTGGGGCTCCTGATTTCTGAGCTAATTTCCTTTTTGTTCTTTCATACTAGCTTTCCTCTTGGTTGGAATCTGCCTATCCTGTGGTCTTACATTCCTAAAGTTAAATGACAAGGAAGTTATTTGCAGTCCACAATAACTATTTTTCTTTAAAGTTTATACATGGTTAGATTCTAAGAAAAGTCTATTAAACTGTGTTACTGGTAAATAAGTCATGCCACTTCTTTAATTAAAACTCTCCAATTGCTTGTGGAGTCCCTCACACTAAAACCCCAAATTCTTACCATAGTCTACCTAGCTATACCCTCTAATCCTCTCCTTCCAGTTTTTCTCACTGCACTCCAACCACAGCTTCCCTGTTGAGCTCAAATACAGTGATTCTCACCTTTGGCTGCACATTACAATCCCCTGGGTGCCTCTTAAACAGAGATGCCCAGATCCCATCCCAGGCATTCTGATTTATCAGTGGCACAGCCCTTGATATTGACATTTTCAAAAGCTCCCTGTGCCTCTATGTGCAGAGAGCACTGGGAACATCTGGAGACTGCAAGAGTGCACTGAGTGTACACACAAGCAAGGCAACAAGCATGGTTCCTGATGCATCATATGTACTCAGCTCTTCAAAAAATATTTCCTGCTCTGTTTAATTACATTTATCTTCTTCCCTTTTTGAAAAATGGTCACCAAAAATTGGAATTGGGAATTTTTTCATGTTTGAAAAAATGATTATTTCAACTAGCAGGAGGATACAGACAACATTTAGAAAGTTTCAGCAGCAGCTTAAAAGAGCCCTTAATGAGTCCTGAAAATTAATACGAAGCCCTCTCCTTACCAGAGGTAAGTTATTTCCTGGCTTATGGTTCAGTATTTGTGCTATTAGTATGTGAATAACTAGTTCTCAAACTTACCTCCTACTGCTCAACATCAATTTCTGGCAAGGAAATCTAATAGGTCATACTAATGTGCCTTGATACAGAAATGTAATTTTTTTTTTTTTTTTTTTTGAGACAGAGTCTCGCTCTGTCGCCCAGGTTGGAGTGCAGTGGCGCAATCTTGGCTCACTGCAACCTCCGCCTCCTGAGTTCACTCCATTCTCCTGCCTTAGCCTCCTGAGTAGCTGGGACTACAGGTGCCCGCCACCATGCCCAGCTAATTTTTTGTATTTTTAGTAGAGACAGGGTTTCACCGTGTTAGCCACGATGGTCTCGATCCCCTGACCTCATGATCCGCCTGCCTCAGCCTCCCAAAGTGCTGGGATTACAGGCGTAAGCCACTGCGCCCGGCCCAGAAATGTAATTTAATCAAACTGAGATATACAGACTTCTCTTTCTGAGGATACCTGAGGGGATATGTGCCAGTCAAGACCTTGGAAATAGCATTTTAATAATTTTTGTTGTTAAAGTTATCCCACATTTAATTATAAATTTGGTTCATCTGATTTGTTTTGTGTTACTGGGTGAATGAGGAAGATAACTGGCCTTGATTTTTCACCCTGAAGAATTACATTTGTTCTTATTCTTTTTATGGAAAAGGATTATCTGTTTCCAGGGATCACCGAGAATTAGAGTTGGGTACAGCTCAAAAGTTTCATGGCAACCTCAGCCTAAGCCATAGTTGATTCTAAATTTCAATATTATTTAGGGCAGATGAATGTGAAACACTTACAGAAGGAATGAGGAAGGGCGATTAAATGTGATAATCTGGGGAGTTGAAGTTTGAGGAGGGCCTGGCAGGAGATCGTCCTCTTTTAGACTGTTTGGAATTTGATGGAGTAGCACCCACAAAGAGAGTGGGAGGAGCTTTCAGAGGGAAAATATTTTGGGTTCAGCTTCTAACACCCAAACTCCCTTGGCTGCAATTTTTTAAAAAACCAAGTAGCACTGAAGGAGCGCAGTAAGTAGCAAGCGAATCCAATAAAGGCAAATTAATTCCCAAGGCTGGTTTCCTTTCCAGCACAACAGCACTTTAGAAAAAGACTTTACTAAGATTAAAAGAGGTTGAGCATGAAACAGTAACCATCGAAACTTTTCCCCCCGTCTTGGTCATGAAATAGAAATTTGGTGTTTAATTTTGGTTGCCATGCAAGTCTTTTGATTCGTGAGGGCTAGGAAATTGCTCTGTTTAGCATAATCCCAGAGACCACTGTGAGGGATTGTATGAACATCTCACAGTTGCCAGCTGAGATTAAGCCAACTCACAGCCATCCGTGTTAGACCTGCAAGAGAAAGTGTATGAGCAGAGGCACGTGGCTGCCTCAGGTGGAAGCACATCTTCATACATCGAGTGCACCAGCAGAAGCCCTGATGTACCCCTCTGCATTTTTCTTGAGGCGACATTATCAAGCTACTCCTCTTGCTGAATTCACAGATTTCTGGCATATGCTATATTGCATGTAATGTCATAAAAGTATAATCTTTGCATTTAGAAAGGATTTACTCTAATCCATATATAGTAAGAAACAGCCAAGTAGGAGTACAGGTGAATGTAAAACCAATCACTAAAAATGATTTTTTAAACAAGCTTTATAGAGAACTTGGAAACATCAAAGCCAAACACTCTAAAATTTGTCCTCAGACAAGAAAACCAGCAATTACGTTGAAAAAGTAATGACCGTATACTCACCAAATGGCCAGATGTGTCAATAGCGGTGGCTATTACCTTTCATAGATGGTGGTATGTCCTCCCCTCTTGCCCACATCACTGTCATGGCTAAGTGAGACTGAGCCATGATCTAAGCCCCTCAGTCCACTGGGTGGGGCTAATCAATGGTAAGAATAATGATTAAGAACGGAAGGAAGAGGAAACGCCCTCAGAGTTTCCCCACCATCTGCCGTGGATGGCATCTCAACTTGAGTGAGTGTAAGAAGCACATAGGAAACTTGTTACAAATGTAGATCCCCAGGACCTACCTCTATATTTTGATTCAGTAGGTCTGGTTTTGGTGGCTGCGATTTGCACTTCGGTGGAGATTTTCCACTGCCTTTCTCCAGCTTCACTTCATACTAGACCATTTCTTCCTCTACATTGTAGACTCCAGCTCTAACAAGTTCTGAGAATCCAATGAGCTGTGTTTGCCCATACTTGGAATTATTTCTTCTTTCTCTCTCCCTCCTCTCTCTCTCTTTCACACACACACACACACACACACACACACACACCCCCTTGTGTGACAGTCACACATTGAAAACTATCACACACTGCCTTCTCTCCCCAGTCTCCCTTTTTTGGCACCTGTAATACACAATGGTGTTTTCTCACTCACATGCTTTCTCCTTCATTGACTGCAAACTTCCAAGTGTTGGCACTGTGCTTATTCATCTCTATATCCTCAACTATACTATTCTCAGTTTAGCATCTGATGTTTAATAAGTGCTCAAAAAAATTTTGTCAAACTAAATCAAATGTTTGTTGAAGCAAAGAATTATGGATTTCAGCTCATAACTTGTCCTTTAATAATTGAGACTTGACACAATTAAGAGAGTGGTAATTTACAGAGTTAGAAAAGTGGCTTTTCGTTTTAAAAGTCAGGTAAATATAAAGTTACAAAACAATTGAGAAAGAACAATTGAATATAATCTTGTGCCTCATATGGACTCCTAAGTACAAAGCTACTTTTGTAAAATAAGAATGTCTCATCATTAGGATTTAACTTTTTAAATATTGTTCTAAGTTTATTTTCTGGAGTCAAATTGCTCAGGATTAAAAATAAGCAGATTTTATCTTAATCAAAAAACAAGGGCTTCTCAGAGCAACATGAATGACGTTCAGTTTTTTCTTTTCTCTTAATCTTATATTTGATTTTCCTTTCTCTCTAGAAAGTTTAATAGTGAAAAGTTACCATAGAGAAGTGACAGGAGTATGTAGTTCTTCTTCCCTCTGCTAGAAAACATTAAGAAAAGATCATAAATGGGAACATCATATGCTGATGTGGAAGATGAGACAGCTTTTTATTAATCTTAAGTTGTCATGTCCACAACTGCACAGGGAGGTGGGCTCTCAATGGAAGCAAAGACATATACGTTTCTGCCTTGCCTACCTTAGTGGGTTGCTGTGATGGGCATTTAAAAAAGAAAAAGGAAGAAACTGATACAAAGTTGTTTTGGCAACAAAGCTATATTAATGTGGATAGATAGTCCACAGGCCAGATAAACTGAAATACAGTAGCAAAGTATCAAGGAGTAAGCTGTTTCTAACACTATCTATACATTCTGTTCAAGTATTCTGAGGATATTATCTAAGATGTCTCTATATGCATATTTTGGGTGCACCGCAATGTATGCATTTGTGATCTTAGTTCTGTTAGAGACTCTCTATAGATTTGTATTTGAGAGTAATAAATTTCAGTTTGGTCATTGGGTCTGTTCAGATGGTGGCAATTTTCCTATTTCCCTGAAGACTAGTGTTATTTATTCAAAGCTGTAATTATTTGGATATCTTCTGAAAACCTGGAGGACTACCCCTTCCTGCAGCTATCTTGGCTGTGGAATGGTGTGTGGGGTGTCGGGAAGCACATGAGCTTTGGAGTGAAGTGGACCTTGGTGTGACTCCTGGTTCTAATACTTAACTACCTGTGGGCTTTAAGGCAAATTGTTTTATTTCTTGGAGCCTCAGTTTCTGTGTTGGTAATACTTGTGCATGAGATTAAGAACTAAATGTGGTGTTTGTGAAAATGTCTAACTAGTACAGAATCTGATACACAGATTCTCCATAAATGCTAATTTTATTTTGTTTTAATTTTACTCCTATGTCCTTTGGTTAACTCAATTACTTTTTCTGTTAGTTTTACAAATCTTCCACCTCTAGAGTTTACAAATGTTATCCAAATCCCACTCATTTTTTATGCTTGTGTCTTTTTTGTTATTTTCCTCCTTCCTAGAATTTTTTCATATCCATTTCTGTATCTTGCTTGAATTACTGGTTTATTACCAATGTACTAGGGTAGTTAGTATATAGGTCAAGAGATGTCTCAATCTCTAAGTTGAAGGGCTTCTGAGTTTACATGATGTTATTGATTCCTCTGAACCTTATGGTATCTAGAGTTGATACAAGCTGTATTTGCAATTCAGTTTTCTCTTCTTTCTCTCCATCATCTGAGACATGTCCTCCCTCAAACTTCAGCCTTGAATTCTGAAACATCTCAGGTCTTTGGATACTCAAACTCAAGCTAGTGCTGAAGTAGTATTAATTTTGTTATATTTGAGTATCTTTTGCATCCTACTTTTTGGAAATTAACTCAAAACAAAGGTAGAAAATCTATATAAATCAACTGAAAAAGTGCTGGTAGATGAGAGGACCCATGAGAATCCACTCAATGTTACTCTCTTCTGTATCCTAATTTCCTAGCAGTTATGATAACTACCTGAAGTTTCCCTAAATGAACTTCTGCTCTTTGATTTCTGGTTGAGAGTCACTATCCAAGCAATAACTCTTTTCAAGTCTGCTTCCTTTCACCTTGTCTTTTTGTTATTTCTGGGACTGGGACTCTGTATCCTCCAAGGTTTGAAAAATAGCCAAACATTATTTATTATTTTTGCAGCCTTGTAGGCATTTGGAAAATGTTTGGCTTCAAATTGATTTCAATAAAATAGTTGGCTGGAGTTACAAATGAGCATTTTGGCTGGAATTGTGTTAAATACCAGTTTGAATTTTGGTAAAGCTGCCCTGAATACATCTATCTTTGTCAATGGATTTGTTTGTTTATTAAGTGCATACTTTCTGGATTTTTGTGGGAAAAGAAGGTCAGACAGAGGAACATGAGGATTAGAAGTGATTACGAACAGGGAAAGGGATTCATGGAGAGTGGTGTCTAGAGATAAGGCATTACGAGAAGGGAATTTGAGTCATAGTGTGCATAAGTGGGTGTCGAGTCCAAAGCCAAAGCCGGAACTGCCATTGAGCTGAGCTTCCCACTGGCATGTTTTCCACATTCTGAATGGTGGAGACATTCTTGAATAGGTAGTCACAATTAACAACAGAACATAAGTATTACTGATACAAAGGATGGTTCCCATAAAAAGGCTTTATCCTTCTCTAGTTCAAGCTTCTGCAAAGCCTTAAAAAGAAGCCAGCTCCACTTCAAGAGATATGGTGCATTCTACATCCCTGTGACCCAAGCGGATAAGTAATGTCCTCAGAGAAAGCCATTATTAGTAGGTTGGATAATGATAATAGTATGAGTAATTGGAGAGAAATAAAGTAGTTTCTGTTAGAATAGTCATTGGGGGCTGCCTATATGTAATTGGGTTGCAATCCTTAAGACTAAACTTATGCCAACTTCTCTTTCATAAAAAAAGAAAATTTTGGAGGTGCTCTTTCTGCAGACCAGAGACATAATAATAATTAACTTCAGTGACATGAGCCACTGATCTGCTCCATGGAATTGAAGTTGTAATGGCTGAATCAGCTTGGACCTACCTTCTCTGGTAGAGTACATCCACAGTAAAAGAAGGAGAAAAGTTTTTCCTGGAAATATTTAGGAGACAGTGTTTAGAATCCAGATCTCTGAAGATTCTTGCAACAGAGAAGAAATGTCAGTCTAAGTTCGTCAGAGTTTTCTTTTTTCTTTTTTTCTGGAGATGGAGTCTCGCTCTGTCACCCAGTCTGGAGTGCAGTGGCACGATCTCGGCTCACTGCAACCTCTGCCTCCCGGGTTCAAGCAATTCTCCTGCCTCAGCCTCCTGAGTAGCTGGGACTACAGGCACCCGCCACCATGCCTGGCTTATTTTTTTGTATTTTTAGTAGAGACAGGGTTTCACCGTGTTGCCCAGACTGGTTTCGAACTCCTGAGCTCAGGCAATCCACCTGCCTCAGCCTCCCAAAGTGCTAGGATTACAGGCGTGAGCCACCACGCCTGGCTGTTTGTCAGAGTTTTCTAAGAGGATACTTGGTTTGGGAAGATGGAAGTGATGCTAAAGGCAACAAACATGAAAGCATGGAAGATGATTAGATACTTGCAGCCTGTAAGCCTGTAAGTCTCCACGACAGAATGTTGGGCAAGAGTGCAAAAGGGTAGACTTACCCATTGTCAGCTTCTTGGAGGCAGGGGCCAAGTTTGAGATTTCTTCTGCAATTCTCGCAGTGCCTGACTGGAACTCAATGGCTTCTTTGAGGAGTTGAGTGCCATGCCACAATCTGGCAGGATTCACATCCTATAAGAAGGTGTTTATTCTAGAAGCAAATGCATCCCCATTGTCAATTTAACTGTCTAGTGACCCAGGAAAAAGGCATAACCCCTACAAAATCTCAGTTTTCTCACTAAAAAATAGGATCCCAGTATCTATCTCACAGGCTTGCTGGGAGTTTAAATAAAAATATTTACATAAAATGCCTAACAATGTCTGACATGGAACCATACAGTACTAATAACAGTGTCAAAAGCTGCTATTTAATTAGGGATGACCATGTTCTTAGCCTTCTACTAAGCATTTTATGTAGATTATCTCATTTAATCTTGACAATAACCCTTTCAGGAAGGCTGTTACAGAAATCAAACTGAAAATGGGAGAATAACCAATAGCAATACCTTTCCATGGAGTTACAAAGCAACATGGAACTCATTTTTCAGAAATATGAGTTCCAGCAATATAGTGAGAAAAGGAGACTGAAAGAGACAGATACCAGGAGGCAGCATCATTCTCTGATTTTAAGAGCTCCTTTTGAAGAGGACCCTAAGAAAGCCACCTAGGAAGCACCTGTAAAAGGACACCTGGATCTTTATAGGGCAACAGCAAGGGTGGCTAGACATAGTACTGTGAGGAAAAAGATGAATGAAACATTTTCTCAACTGCTTTGGAGATAGTAAGGGAAATTCAGGACCAATTAGAGAAGACAGGGGCTCAGTTTAGGGAAGAAAGCCCATAGGGGAAAAAGGCCAAGGGGATAATACCTGATGCCTAAGGCCTGAGGTCCTAAAAACAATCTTTTAGGATGGAGATTGAAGAATGCACGTCCCTCAGGCAGGGACAATACATACTCAACTATTCTGATTGGCTTGCATATGTTTGGGGAGCGAATGCCAGGAGTCTTCATAAATACTTACTTTTAAGTTACTATATTGAGGTAAATACACTTAGAGAAAAATGCTCAAATCATAAGTGTGCAATTTGATGAATTATCACAAGGTAAACACACCCACGTAACTACCACCCAGGTCAAGAAAGGGAACATTACCATCTTTATAAATATTTACTACTTAGAGTTTTCACATGCTTAGTTTCTTACATAAATTTGTGTCTTTCTAACATAGACATTTAAAGTAAAATGTGGCCAGTTAGGATGTTTTATGCATAAAGTGAGAAAAGTGGCTTGTTTGAAAAATGAGTTGGAGAAAACACTTGAAATCCATCCAATTCTATAAAAGCAATCTATTGAAATCTGCATAAATTATAACTAAAACCTGAAATAAGGGACAATTTTATACACCTTCCAAATCCAACAGGGTACTGAAAAATTGAGGTTCAAGGAGGAATCCCTGTTTTATCATTTTTTGTTTTAAAAGCACTATGCTGCTTAAAGCCTTCAAGAAATTACAGCTTTTGGCACTGTCCCAAGCACATTGTGTGCTTAGTAAATATTTCTTTATAATGACAATGGTGATGTTACCTTTTTTATATAGTACATGGTGATCTTTGGCCCCCTAAAGCAAAAATCTGTGCAAAGATATATGACTTTTAGTTCTCTGCAGTTGTTGCTTGGAGCCTCAGGAGAGACAATATTCTTTGTGTATTAGTGGTGTGTTTTATACACGGATTGAAATTATTTGCCCTTTACCTCTATCCTTCTCCACAACCAAACACAGGCTCTGGGTTTTGCAGATATCAATAAGGAAAGAAAATAAGCAGCAAAGCTGGGTGTAAGTCGCTCACATCTGTAATCCTTGCACTTTGGGAGGCTAAGATGGGAGGATAACTTGAGGCCTAGAGTTGTAGACAAGCTTGGGCAACATAGCAAGACCTCATCTCTACAAAAAATTTAACAAGTTAGCTGGGTGTGGTGGCACACGCTTGTAGTCCCAGCTACTTAGGAGGCAGGAGGATTGCTTGAGCTCAGGATTTTGAGGCTGCAGTGAGCTACGATCAATCACTGCACTCTAGCTTGGTCAACAGCAAGACCCTGTCTCAAAAGAGGAAAGAAGATGAACAGAAGTATCACAGAGGAAAACAAATTGTGAGTTAAAACCACGCCCTTTGCTTCAAGGAGTCAATATTACAACTTAGTATAGCAATTAACCACACCTTATATTAGATCAGATTCCATTATGTGCATACTTGTACTTTAGTGGATAGTCATTTGTGAACTGAAGAAGGTTCTCCATGGCAGCCACCATGGTGGGTGATGATAAGAAGAAAATAAAAAGACATTTGCTAAATAGGACAGTTATCTGACTTTTATAGACTATAATATCCTTAATGGATTCTTTAGTTGAAACTTTACAGGATACAGAGTTGACATGATATGTACATTTGATGATGAATAATGAATATGGTAACATTTACCTGTTTGTGAATGCAAACTCAAGCTCGGTCTTAGGAACTCCCCAAATGATCCCTGTTATGCTAATAATATATTAATTACTTGTTCTGCCTTGATTTTTAGGTTGGCAGTAACAATTAGGAAGAGATGAAGCATCTATTTCATAGGACTATGTGCATTTTATGTTGTTTTTGTGTTCTCAGCAACAGCATTTAGCATTTACCCACTGAGGTTAAAGTATAAATAGATGTCAAATTTATATAAATCTTTCTTCCTTGGCGTCTACTTTAGCCAATGGGTTATAATTTAGTAGCTTTGATTTTGAGTCAACCATTTGGCTTACATGAAAAATTGAGTAACTCTTTCAGGAACTTTTATTAGAATGTAGACTGTTCAAGTTAATTATTTAGGGATAAGTGTCATGTGGTAGAAAGTAAACTGGACTGTAGTTTCAGGTTTACCACTAACCAGCTATATGTCCTGGAGCCACTTAATTTTTGGGCCTCAAAATCAGCTAGTGGTTAAAATTGTGGGCTTTGGAGTCAAGCAGACCTGGTTCAAGGCCCTTATTAAGCCTCTAGGAGTTTCAGCTTTTTTTCATCTGCAAATTGAGACCAGTAATAGTCTCACTTCATATAACATTGTTATGGGGACTAAATGGGACTGTGTATGTCAAATGCCCAGTATACAGTCAGTGCTCAATATATAAGAGTGCTGGAATAAGTGGCCACTATTTTCCTTTCCAAATCCAAAGATTTGATTTCTGTGAATGGTGGAGCTTCTGAAATGTCTGTCAAGATTGTATCCAGAAAGGAATTTCAGGTCCTTGAGAGATGGCACATTGTAGCCAAGCTTTACTTCTGCATAGGCCATTGGGCATTGGTGTATTTTTGTTACACATTTATTGAAAACCCTGACATCCTTTGAAAGAAAAGAGAGGGAACCCTGTTACCCCATCAGAGGAAGAAAGACCATGTGGAGTCATCTAGCACAGTCCTTCAAGAGAAGCTGTTTGCTTGCCTTAATTAAGGGTTGTGTCTTTAGTATCACTAAGGCTAGGGCAAAGAGGCATGGCTGCGCCCAGGAAGGAAAATGATCAAAGATACATGGCCAGTGTCCTTAGGAGGGGCCGATTAGGAGGCAAAATAGTCCTCCCACCAGCATCCTCTCTCTTGCAGTTTCCACAGCAATGGGAGAAGACTGTGGTGGTGAGAAACAGCAGCAGGAGTCTAGGCTATCCTCAAAGCTTGCCCATTCACTCTAAGCATAATGACTACGTCCTACATCTTTCCAGTTCTTTATTATTAACAAATATTTTACCAGCCATGAGAAGTAAGCAGGAAAGTGAATAATTTGCCTGTTGTAAAGATCAGGAAAATCAGAGAGGCTTAATTTAAGTAGGGGAATCAGATACTGAAAACCTACATTTCCTCAGTAGACACTGGGGACCCCAAAAGGAGTGGGGAGGCAAGAGTTGAAAAACTACCTATTGGGTACTATGTTCACTATTTGGGTGATAGGGTCAACAGAAGCCCCAAACCTCAGCATTACACAATATATCCATGTAACAAACCTGGACATGTACCGCTGAATCTAAAATAATTTTTTAAAAAAGTAATAACAATCAAAAAGTAAACATGCATTTATCATATGACCCAACAATCACATCTCTTGACATTTATCCCAGAAAAATGAAAATTTATGCTCACACAATAATCTTAGACTATATTGTTTGTAGTAGTTTTGTTTGTAATACCAAGACACAGACACAAACTAAGTGTCCTTCAATGGGTGAATCATTAAACAAACTATGCTGCATCCATATCATGAAATACTACTCAACAGTAAAAAGGAACAAACTATTGATACATGCAACAGCTTGGATGGATGTCAAAAGAATTAAGCTGAGTAAAAAAATTCAATCTCAAAAGGTTACCTACTATATGATTAAATTTATAAACATTCTAAAAATGACAAAATTATAGAGATAGTAAACAGATTAGTGGTTGCCAGGAGTTAGGGATGGGGCATCAAGAGGGTAAAGAGATAGGTGTAACTAGAGAGGGGTAACACCGGGATATTTGTGGTGATGAAATAATTGTGTATCTTGACTATGGCAGTTGTTACACAAATCTACATGTGGCAAGTTGCACAGAACTATACACATGTACACACATGAGTGCTTGTACACTGGTGAAATCTGAATAAGATCTATGGGTTGTATAAATGTCAATTTCCTGGTTTAGATATTTTACTATAGTTATGTAAGATGTTCCGTTGGGGGAAATTGAGTGAAGGTACATAGAACCCCTGTATTATTATTTTTTAACTGCTTGTAAGTCTATACATTTTTCAAAATAAAAATTTGAAAAAACAAAAACAAACAACATAAAACCTAAGTTTCCTGACTTGTAGTTCCATGCTTGTTCCTCTGTGCTATTTTGTCTGAGATGTAGAATTATGCACATTTAGGTAATTTATTTCCTTCCAATTTATGTCTTTTTGAACTTCAATTTCTTTGTTAGGAGAAAAAAAGGACTATAAAATAGGAGTGCCAATAATACCTTCTTCACTGGGTTTGTGAGAAAACTAAGTTAAATAATATGTGTAGAGTGCTTCATGCAATAGTGACTATTGGTCGTTGTTATCAAATACTTAAAACACTCCTACTGCCTGGGAGGATGCTAAATTCCTAGCAATGTTTTTATTGTTTCCTTTAATGAAACCTCATGTTTTGAAATATTTTGTGTAACAAATTGCATATATGGTTAATAATTTTTTTCTTTTGTTACTATCAAAGGCATTTTAGACTGTTAGTTGGAGCTTCTGATTAGCAATTGCATCAATATTGAGTTGAATTAAATCCAATGAAAGCAAAGAAACCTGATATTTGGAGAGCCTTCTTATCCTCATCTAAGGAAATGTATTTCTTTCAGGTCACCTGAAGTGGTGAAGTGTCTAAAACATCTTGTTGATCTCCAGCACTGAGTTTACAGACTCTAGACATAGTTGGGCTCCACTTTTCAATGAACAAGCCAAACCTTATTATTATAATCTGAGTGAGTTGACATTTTGTGTGTGATCTAATTCAATTTTTGAATGTTACAATTTTTTCCATCACATCATGGGAAATTGGTGTGGTCCAGAAATAATCCAAATGAATTCACTAAGAATGAAACTGAAGATGAATTTTTAACATGCTACCAGAAGTTATTGATTAACAGGCATACCAATGTTTCAGATACTAACAGATACATAACATTATTATAAATATATAAAAATCAAATTATGGCTTTTATTCATTGTCATTGAAGACCAATTTCAATAATAATTTTTAATACTTTTTATTTTTTGTTTTACCTTTTAGTCATGACATTTTTATTATATTAGAGGAGAAGGGAAAATAATTTTTTTAGTATATAGAAATTGGATTGCTTACAGACAAATTAAACTTAGGAGGGAAAATTATAAAGGATGTTGAAAACTATAAATTTAAACAAACATCTCTTATTTTGACAGGATATGTTTCAGAGAGAACAAATCTTGAGTCTTTCAAATATTACTGGGCCAGACTAAAATAATTTCATTGTGAGAGCATTTTCCTTCTCTGTGTGCAGTCTAAGTGCATATTTTGTGCTCTTAGGAATAACTTTCCAAAGCTGTGCGAAGAATGTAGCAATAAAATCTAATAAGAATTATGGCTCATGACTTGAATGATGTCAGTACCCTTTTAATCCTCCCAAACATGAAAACGTTTTCTCCTCTTAAATAAGATTTCTTAACTCCTTATTTCTAAGGAAATAAGTACATCTGAGCAATTCTATTGGCAAAGTAAGAGTTAAATGAAAATGTTTCTTTCCATTATTATTAATGCTTATACTTATTAAGACCACTACTTTAGAAATGTATTCTAGACAATATTTTTATGAATACATATTATTTTGTCTGATTATTTTAGTGTTCCAGTTATAATCTTTTGCTCTCTCTAAGCCAGTGGTTCTCAAACTTGAGCATGAATCGGAATTACCTGGAAAGCTTGTTGAAACACAGATTGCAGGGCCCATTCTGAGTTTCTGATTCAGGAGGCCTCTAGTGGGGTGCAAGAATTTGCATTTCTAACAGGTTCCTAGGTGACGCTGCTGATGCTAGTCTGGGAATCAAACTTTGACAACAACTGCTTTAAGCCATGTTACAAACAACCTTCTTATTTTAAAATTTAATTTAGTGGGATTCAACCATCACGAGGCATGTAGTCACCTTGGTTTAGAAGAAGTTAAAGTTCAGTAAGTGGGCTATAGCTTGGCTTTTTGGCCATGCTAGATTTATTCCAGGCCAAAGAACTGCTTATAACAAAAGCATAGTTGATGAAATGGTTCGATGCTTGAAGATGTCAGACTGTAGAATCTCTACGGGTAAGTGTGTGATTTCCTCAGTGACATCACATTTGCCTGCAGAGATTTTCCAGTCTGCCACTTTGAAGTTGTACTTAAGATAGAAAAAAGTTGTCGTCATTCTACAGTGATCTTTCTGGTCTTGCTAAATTTTAAAACTATATTTATTCAAGATTAAAATTGATGGGAAGTAGGAGTTATAGCTGGGATTCAGATAGGTGCATAAATGAGAATGGATACTCTCTAATTTTGCCACACATCTCCATAGAGAATGAAGGAAAAGATGAAAAGTGAAGTTTCCCAAGCCACAACCAGTGGATGAGACTAGTATACCTTGGTCATGGAAGAAAGACGAGGCTTCTTATGCCATCATTCATTTTTTTTTCTCAAATTATGCTGTTTGTTTCATATGTGCTTATTTTACCAGTGTGTTAGTCACACCAAAAGCCTTATGGTCAATCCAGGTAAATATCCTTGCATTTCAAGCAATTTTATCTAACGTTAGACTTTGCAGTTGAGTTTCTTAGTCTTTTGTAATTTAGTTATGCCTAAGTAATAACAAGATTAGATGAGTAGAATGAGGAGATGTGCTTTTTACTTTTATTCTCTCCATCTTTCTTCTGCCTAATAATGGTCTTATGATAATACCATCACCTGCTGCTAATCTTTAAAGTGCTGGAATAATGCATGATATGCAATATTTACTTTAGAGCTCAAAAATCTAACTTGTGAATATTGTGATATTATTAACACTACAATGTCGGGTTTTGGGTCAATGTCAACTATAAATTTATTCCAACATTTTCCTAGAACAGGGACTTCATATATTTTGTTCTCTTCTATATCCCAGCACATGGAATAATTCCTGGCCTATAGGAGGTGCTCAGTAAACATTTATTAATGATTGGCTATTACTTAGGATGTTTTTTGCAAATACTTGTTTACCATTAGAAAGGAAATATATATATATATATTCACATATTTTATTGATATTACAGTGACATTTAATTTCAGACAAGATAAAATGAGAGAATATTTAAATATGTAAATCTTGGTAATAAAGAATCCTCCTACAATAAAATGCATTATAATACAATTTTTTGTAATACTTGGTTTAGGAGTAGATTAATAACTTCCTTAAAGTATAACAATGTTATATTATGTTTTTCAGGCATGTAGTTGAATTTCAGATGATGAGTTTTTTAGTCCGGGTTACGTCCAAATTTATGTAATAATGAATCACAAAATTAGGGTTGATTATGTTTACACTACACAACACAGTGTCTTGATTATCTGTTAATCTGCTATACACACATCCTTGGACCTCAAGATGACTTTAAAAGCGTCCTCTCAATTGCATTCTGACTTTCCTAAATAAACCATAAATAGAAACTTAACAGTAAATCTCTCATAAGTGTGCAGAGGATATAACAGGTGGCTCTGATCTGATGTAAGTGTAGCTAAAATAATGTGTTGAAATAATTGCAGCTTAGAAAGATAGAAAACATCTGGGCTTCAAGGGAGAACACTTCCATCCTTTTTGCTGCTTTTAAAAATAGAGAACTACATCATTCTGGGTTGCATAGAAAGAAGGGGCTGTGTTAGAAACTCTATGATCCTCAGTCTGTTCATCTAAAGCTCCAAAGGATGAGACTACTATACCTTGGTTGTGGAAGAAACACTAGACTTCTTAGGCCATCATTCATTTTCTTTTCTCAAATTATTATTTTTGTTTATTTGTGCTTGCAGGGCCTGATTAACAGTGTCACTTGTTCTCTTGAAGGAAAACTGAAGTTGTGAATGATGGAATTATAGTTGCCATTTCTCCAATTGTTGATATCTTGTTTGTTCCTTTGCTCCATGGGAAGGCATGGATGGAACAGAGCTTTGAGACAGAATCCTCATTTTAGTTGCCTCTATGAGTAGGCTGTTTAGAGGCTGCCAGCCTATAATATGGGGCTCTTGTTAGTTTAAGTACTTAGGTAGAAAAAGACCCTTCTATAAATGCAAATTTTTAATATCTAAGCATTATCTGCCACCAACATTAGTACAGATGAATTTATAAGATTATTTCTAGCAGACAGTAAAGACCTGAAAAAAAAATTGAACAGTACAGTTACATCTTAAAAGATCAGAGGTCAAGATCTACCCAGTGATTCTCAACGCTGGCTGTATATCAGAAACATTTTGGATTTATGGAGAAGACAGATTTCCAAGCCCCAACCAAGACCTACCTCCTGAACCTGAACTTACAAGATGTGGACTGGAGAAGTCTCTTTTTTAAGAAAAAAATTAGTAAACTTTATTTTTTAGGGCAGTTTTAGATTCACGCAAAATTGAGTGGAAAGTATAGAGAGTTCCTATATACCCTATCCCCATCCATGTACAATCTCCCCTGCTAACGACATCCCCCACCATAGTGATAACGTTTGTTATGATAGATGAACCTACATTGACACATCATTACCACCCTCAAATCCAGTTTACATTAGAGTTCATTCCTGGTGTTCTCTGTGTTTTGACAAATGTATAATGATATGTATCTACCACTGCAGTATCATGCAGAATAGCTTCAGTGCCCTAAAAATCCTCTGCCTATTCATCTCTTCCTCCCCTCTAACTCATGCCACCCACTGAGGTTTTTACTGTTTCCATAGTTTTTGCCTTCTCCTGAATATCATATTGTTGGAATCATACAGCATTTAGCCTTTCCAGATTGACTTCTTAACTTGGTAATATACATTTACATTTCCTCCATGTCTTTTCATGGCTTGCTGGCTCATTTCTTTTTAGTGCTGAATAATATTCCTTTGTCTGGATGTATCACAGTTTATTTATCCATTCACCTACTGAAAGACATTTTGGTTTCTTCCAAGTGTTGGCAATTATGAATTAAGCTGCTGTAAACATCCATGTGCAGGTTTTTGTGAGGACGTAAGTTTTCAGCTCCTTTGGGTAAATACCTAGGAGCGTGATTGCTGGATTGTAAGGTAAAAGTATGTTTAGTTTTTAAAGAAACTGATGAACGGTCTTCCAAAGTGGCTGTACCATTTTACATTCCCTTCAGCAATGACTGAGAGTTCCTGTTGTTCCACATCCTCATCAGCATTTGGTGCTGTCAGTGTTCTGGATTTTAGCCACTCTCTTAGGTGTTTAGTGGTACCTCATTTTAATTTTCAGTTCCCTAATGACATACAATATCAAAAATCTTTCATATGCTACTTATTATATCTTCTTTGGTGATATGTCTATTCAGGTATATTGCCCATTTTTAGATTGGGTTCATTTTATTATTGTTCAGTTTTAAGTGTTCTTTGTGTATTTTAGATAACAATTCTTTATCAGATTTTTTTTTGCAAATATTTTCTCCCAGTCTGTGGCTTATCTACTCACTATCTCTTAACATAATCTTTTGCAGAGCAGAAGTTTTACATTTTAATGAAGCCCACCTTATCAATTATTTCTTTCATAGGTCGTGCCTTTGGGGTTATATCTAAAAAGTCAATGTCATGCCGAAGGTCATCTAAGTTTTCTCTTGTGTTATCTTCCAGGAGTTTTATAGTTTTGCATTTTGTATTTAGGCCTATGAACCACTATGAGTAACTTTTGTGAAGGATATAAGATTTGTGTCGAGATTATTATTATTATTTTTTGCATGTGGATGTCCAGTTGCTCCAGCACTATTTCTTGAAAAGACTCTTTGCTCCATTGTATTGCCTTTGCTCCTTTGTCAAAGATCAGCTAACCATGCTTGTGTGGGTCTATATCTAGGCCTTCTATTATGTTCCATTAATCTATTCACCTATTCTTTCATCAGTACTACACTGGCTTGACTGCCGTAGTGATACAGTAAGTCTTGAAGTCAGGTTGTGTCAGTCCTCCAATTTTATTCTCCTTGAATAATGAGTTGGTATTCTGGATCTTTTACCTCTACACATAAACATTAGAATTGGTTTGTCAATATACACAAAATCACTTTCTGGGATTTTGATTGGGACTTCTTTGAATCTATAGTTCAAATTAAGAAGAACTGACATCTTGACAATATAGTTTTCTTACTCAGGAACATGGGCTATCTCTCTATTTATTTAGTTCTTCCTCCATATCTTTCATCAGGGTTTTGTAGTTTTTCATATAGATCTTGTACATCTTTTGTTAGATTTATAGTTAAGTATTTCATTTTTGGGGTGTTAATATAAATGGCAATGTGTTGTTAATTTCAAATTTCATTGTTCATTGCTGGTATATAGGAAAGTGATTGACTTTTATATATTAACCTTATATCTTGCAACCGTGCTATAATTGCTTATTTCCCGGAGTTTTTTTGTTGATTATTTTGGGCTTTCTATATATATGGTCATGTCATTTGCAAACAAAGACAGTTTTATTTCTTCTTTCCCAATCTGTATATTTTCTATTTTCTTTTCTTGTTCTATTGCATTAGCTGTAACTGCCAGTATGGTGTGAAAAATCAGTGGAGAGAAGAGACATTCTTGTCTTATTCTTGATCTTAGTGGGAAAGCTTTGAGTTTCTCACCATTAAGTATGATGTTTGCTGTAGTTTTTTTGGTAGATATTCTTTATAAGTTGAGGAAGTTCCTTTCTATTCCTAGTTTGCTGAGATTCTTTTTTTTTTTTTTACCATAAATAGGCATTGCTTTTGTCAAATACTTTTTCTGCATCCATTGATATGATAATGTGATTTTTCTTCTTTAGTTTTCTGATACGCTAGATTACATTAATTAATTTTCAAATGTTGAACCATCCTCGCATACCTGGGATAAATCACATTTAGTCATGGTGTATAATTCTTTTTATACATTGTTGAATTTGACTTGCTAATATTTTGTAGAGGATTTCTGCATCCTTTTTCATGAGAGGCATTGGTCTGAAGTCTTTTTTTGTAAAGCCTTTGTCTGACTTTGGTATTAGGGTAATGCTGGCCTCATGGAATGAGTGAGGAAGTATTCCCTCTGTTTTTATTTTCTAAAAGAGACTGTAGAAAACTAATATAATTTGTTCTTTAAATGTTTGGTAGAATTCATGGGCAAGCTTATCTGGGGCTTGTGCTTTCTGTGTTGGAAGGTTATTAATTATTGATCTAATTTAACTAATAGATATAGGCCATTCACATTGTCCATTTCTGTTTGTGTGACTTTTGGCAAGCTGTGTCTAGGAATTGGTCCATTTAATCCAGATTATCAAATCTGTGGGCATAGAGTTGTCCGTAATATTCCTTTATTATCCTTTTAATGCCCGTGGTATATGTATGATGTCCTCTACTTCATTTCTGATATTAGTGCTTATCATTGAGATATTAGTCTTATCTTTTTTTCTTATTTAACCTGGCTAGAGATTTATCACTTTTATTATCTTTTCAGAGAACCAGCATTTGGTTTTGTTGGATGTTTCTATTGATTTCCTGTTTTCAATTTCATTAATTTCTGCTTTAATTTTTATTTTTTTCTGCTTTCCTTGGATTTAATTTTTTTTCCTAGTTCCCTAAAGTGGAAGCTTAGGTTATTTATTTCAGATCTTTCTTCTTTCATAATATATGCATTCAATGCTATAAGCTTCCCTCTAAATGTTGCTTTCATTGCATTCCACAAATTTTGATAAACTGTATATTTTCAATTTCTCTTGAGATTTATTCTTCGACCCATATGTTATTTAAAAGTTTGTTAGTCTCTAAGTTTTTTGAGCTTTTCCAGTTGTCATTCTGTTATTGATATTTACTTTAATTCCATTACGTTCTAACAGCATACATTGTATGATTTCTATCCTTTTAAATATTTTAAGATGTGTTTTATGGCCCAGAAAGTATTCTATCCTGGCAAATGCTCCATGTGAGGTTGAGATGGATGTGTAATAAGTTGTTGGATGAAATAATCTATGGATGTCAATTATATCCCAATGATTGATGGTGTTGTTGAGTTCAACTATGTCTTTACTGATTTTCTGCCTAGTGGATCTGTCCATTTCTGATAGTGGTAAAGTCTCCAATTATAATAGTGGATTTATCTGTTCCTCCTTGCCTTTCTATCAGTTTTTGCTTCACATAGTTTGGTGCTCTGTTGGGTGCATACACGTTAAAAATTGTTATGTTGTTTTAGAGGACTGACCCCTCCATCATTATGGAATAGCTCTCTTTATCCCTCCTAACTTTCCTTGTTCTGAAGTTGGCTCTCTCTGAAATTAATATAGCTACTCCTGCTTTTTTAAAAACAGATTTTCTGCTTTCTTTCGATTAATATTACATGGTATTTTTTTCTTCATACCCTTACTTTTAAACTTTTTTTTTTTTGAGATGGAGTTTTGCTCTTGTTGCCCAGGCTGGAGTGCAATGGCGTGATCTCGGCTCACTGCAACCTCCACTTCCCTCGTTCAAGCAATTCTCCTGCCTTAGCCTCCCGAGTAGCTGGGATTACAGGTGCCCACCACCATGCCCAGCTAATTTTTTTGTATTTTTAGTAGAGATGGGGTTTCACCACGTTGGCCAGGCTGGTCTCAAACTCCTGACCTCAGGCGATCCACCCACCTCAGCCTCCCAAAGTGCTGGGATTACAGGTGTGAGCCACCGCGCCTGGCTTACTTTTAATCTTTATGTGTCTTTATATTTAAAGTGGGCTTCTTGTATACAACATGTAGTTGGGTCTTGTTTTTTAATCCAGTCTGACAATCTCTGTCAGTTAATAGGCATATATAGACCATTGAAGGTTAAAGTGATTATTATTATAGCTGGATTAATATGTAACATATTTGTTATTGTTTTCTATTTGTTCTTCTTGCTCTTCATTCCTATTTTGTCTTCTACACCTGTTCTGCTTTTGTAGTTTTAATTGACCATTTTATATGATTTCATTTTCTCTTCTTTCTTAGGACATAAGTCACATTAAAAAAAATTTAGTAGTTTTCCCCCAAAGTTTGCAATAGACATTTATAATGAATTCAAGTCCAATTAACAATATACTGCTTTATGAGCAGTGCAAGTACATTATAATAACAAAATATTCCTAACTCTTCTGTTCTCCCTTTTGTATCATTGCCATTATTCATTCACTTACATATAAGCATACATTAGCATACATATGTATGTTTATGTGTGTGCACATATATCTAAAACATATAAGTATACATAATTGAATATATCATTGCTGTTATTTTGAACAGTTTTGTGTTAAATCATTTAAGAATAAGAAAAATAAAAGTTTTATTTCACTTTCACTGATTGATTCTCCATTGCTCATTTCGTTACGTAGATCTGAGTTTCTAACCTATATAATTTTCTTTTGCTCTGAAGAACTTCTTTGAAGAATTTCTTGCAAGGCAGGACTACTGGCCAACAAATACTTTCAATTTTTGCCTGAGAAAGTCTTTATTTCTTCTTTACTTTTGAAGGATAATTTCACAGTGTATAGAGTTCTAGGCTGGTAGTTTCTATCTCAATAGTTTAAATATTTTACACCACTCTCTTCTTGCTTGCATGTTCTGAGGACCAGTCAGGTGTAATTCTTATTTTTGCTTCTCTATTGGTAACGTGTGTTAGACCACATGTCTGGGTCCTCCTGAGTTTTAATTCTTAAACTTGTCCACACTGATCTTCTAGCAATTGCAGTTCTGGTTTTCTAACCCTGGCACTGACTCCTGAGAAAGAGACTGCTCATAGACTTCTGCTCTAGTAAGTTGTGATTCTATTTGTCTGTCTGTCTCTCCAATTTGGGGGACAGTGATTTGTCCTGTGACCTCACTTCTCTGACAGATCTAAGAAGAGTTGCTGATTTTTCAGTTTGTTTGGCTTTTTTACTTGTTGTTAGAGTGGTGACTTCTTAACAGCCTAACATGCTGGACCTGAAACTAAAACTCTTGATGACTTTACTTTTTAAGATGAGTCTGATGATTGGATAGGTTGAGAGCTGGTTTTTAAACTTTAAAAAGTAACGCCATCTTTTTTCAAAAAATATATGAATTTATAAATTTATAAAAATAATAAAATTGATAAAGTGGGGCTATTCTGGTTGAATTGTGTGTGTTAGCGAGGGAGGGAACCAGGGTTTTGTCCTCTCAGCCCCTTTCCTCATGACAGGCCAGCCTCTTCAGAACTCCCCGTTTGCAAATCACACTGGTCTTTCCAGCATGGGAACTGCCAAATGATCTCTGACAGGTCTTGGAGGGTATGGTGTGAAAGCTCTTGGTACCTGGAGTGCCAGTTAGGTGAAGGAGGAACAGCACTCAAAGGAGCACAGACTTTAGATATCAGTCTTAAAATTGCCACTGGAAAGTGAAGGGGACAGGAGGGTGATGCATTTGGAATCAAAGTTAGAAATCTGTTTGCTGGCAAAAAGACCATTTTGCAACTTGCCTTTTTTAAATGACCTTACCCGTGTAGGGTGTTATTTAGTTAACCCAGCCTAAGAGGATGTTTTAAAGGTGGAGAATTGCCCTGGTGATGAACAAATATGAGAAATAAACTTCCAGTGGGGCTGGGTTGCCTGCTGACTGTGATTTCCTGATGATCTATAACAATGGTTATTCACTAACAGCTGGCGCATGTCTCCCCCGGACAAAGCCACTGGGAAGCACAGGCGCTCTGATTGGTGAACCAGAACCGTTTCCCTGGTAACAGTTAACTAGCACGTGTTTTATTGTTTCCAACTGCTTTTCCTGGGGTATTTGCAGGTGGTGGGAGATGCTTTCTTAAAGAGGGGTCATAACCTCGTGAACTTTCAGATGTTGCAACAAATTGGGGAACAAAACATTTTTCCTTTTTCAAATATATTAAGTAAATCTTATTACATAGCATTTTCAAGACAGATGCAGCCCAACAGTTTTTCCTTTTTGCCATTATTTCCAGATGTTATCAATTTTAAAGTCAGCATTCCATTTTAAGAACAGGATCTATAGGAAGGTGATATTAGTAATACGTATAGCAGCAGAGTATTATTTTGCCCTTTTTGGAGGTGTGTTCTGGTTTTACATTTTGCTATAAAATGTGAGATCAAACCGTAAAATGTGAGTGTATTTTTAATTGGCCTTTTAATCGTTTGTATATTTTGCCTTTTCATTAATTAACTCAATGTTTTTGCCTTTACTGGTCGTTTTCTTTGTCATTTTTAATGCACCAGAAAAATTATAGTATTTTTATAAAATACAAGACTAAATAAGACTTGATTATATTAGAATTTTCTTCTATATTTATTTGACATGTTTTTGAAAGGATTGGTTAATTTCCAGATGGATAGCTCCCTCTTCTGTCTGGTTTGCAGAATTCACATCTTTTGAAAGCAGTGATGGAAGATGAAGTATGTATCACATAATTCTTTATCTTGGCTGGAGGCTGAATGTAGTTACTATATGAAGAATAACAAATTCATGTATTGGAATATGGAAAGCGCTTCCATTGTAATAATTTGGTTTAAAATAAAATTGTCTATCTTGCCATAAATGCTGGCTAAAAGAAAATGAAAACATTCCCTTAAGTTAATATTGAACTTTATCTGCAGACATCCCTGAAAAAATGCAGACCTGATCAAATCACTTGACTGTACTCTACTTGAAACACTTGGACTTTGGTCAAATAAGCATTTGCCACTTGATTTGTACAGCATTACAACAAAAGTGCAACTCAAGTCTTCTCTTGAGCCTGATTTGCAAGGTTCTTTCTGGTAAGCGTTCTTCATGGGTTTGCAAACATGCACCTACTTATAAATTAGATCAGTGGCATTCAAATACTCTTCTCCAGGAACTCAGAATTTAAAAAAAAAAAATTTTAAACATTTATTTAAAAAATATTTTTCCTTTGTTTCCTTGGATCCAATTCAATCACTACACCCAGAATTAGGGTTATGCTCTGAAAGCGAACACAAAAAAATCATAACCTAAACTCATAACCATAGAACCAAAAGAGCTAGTAAAATTATTTATAATAAGGCTACTTATGTACAGTCCGTGCTTCTAGAGATACAATGAAGTGATGCATTTTTACTGTGAAGAGGAAAACATTAATTCAGGCTCACCCTTCTTGTTTCTCTTAGTGGCAGGGTGAAAGGGGAGGGGGTCACATAACCCTAATTATTTGAATATATATTAAAGAGCACTGTTTGCAACTCTCTACTTCGCTTTTGTTGAGGTAGGCATAGCTCAGGGACCTCTGAAGGAGAAACATTTTACCTCACACACTCCTGTTGGTACCATGTCATTGTATTCTTTCTTTTTAGATTCATTAGAGGAGTAAAAACGATATTTTTTATATCAAGGAATAATTTGAATACAATGAAATGAGAATCAGAAAATTAGTCATTATCAAAATTTGTAGACTTAAGCATATATTTGAAAATTTTAAATTATTTTCTTGTCTTGAAGTAGGTAAAATAACCAAGTCATAAAGTATTAGATAACAATTCACGTGGAATGAGGGATGCTGAACATAACAGGCCATAGAACACTCAATTCAGTCTCTCCTTTCACAGACGAAACATTAAGCCCAGAAGGGCAGTTGTCTTGTTCAAGGTCCTGCAGCTAGCAGGTGACAGAGCTGTTTTCTCTGGCTCTTATTCAAAAGTGCCCTTTTGCTCAGGTCATGCTCTGTGCAGTGGTCAAGGAGATCTTCCCTAAGGGTACTTGGCTGTGGCTCCATGAATACGGATTCTGTAATTTCTTTCCTCCTCCAAATGAATAAACTCTGGCCCCATTTCCCAGATTTGCATTCCAGTGACTTACTTGGTGAGTGACTTTGGACTAGTTAACCAACCTCTCTGTGCTTGTTTTCACTTCTACAAAATGAGGGTAATAATAGTGCATATCTCAGAAAGTTAAGATCAGTGCTGTGTGTGGCACAGTGCCCGGAACATAGAAAGCTCTCAATAAGTGTTATCTATTATTTTTATTATTGTAATTTTCTGCCTACTTTTCTGAAGTATTTTCTCCGGTATGTCTTAATTTACTCTGCAGCATGTAGTAATCACATTCTGAAACGACTGAAGGTTGTACACCCATGTGCATAGCAGCCTTATTGACAGCAGCCAAAAGGTAGACGCAATCCAAGTGTCAAATGACAGATGAATGGATAAGCAGAATGTGGTGCATATACATACAATGGAATATTACTCAGCCTTAAAAAGGAAGGAAATTCTGACACATGCTACATTAATGCACTTTGAAAACATTATGCTAAGTGAAATAAGCCAGCACAAAAAGACAGATACTGTAATGATTCCATTTATATGTAAGGTACCTAGACTACTCAAATTCATAAAGACAGAAAGTAGAATGGTGTTTCCCAAGGGCCTGGAAGAGACGGGAATGGGGGAGTGTTGTTTATGAGTACAGAGTTTTCATTTTGTAAGATCAAAACAGTTCTGGAGATTAGCTGCACAATAATGTGAATGTACTTAACACTACTGAACTGTACATTTAAAAATGATTAAGATGATAAATTTTATGTTATGTGTATTTTACTACAGTTAAAAACAACGACAAAATGATTGAAGGGCTTAGTGCACTTAGAACATATTAGTTATATTAGTTAGTCGTGGATATTTTGACTTCTGGGTCCCAGAGCTCTGGGCCAGTGCTGTGGATTAGAACCAGAAAGGATTTGGTTGGAGACTAAGTATGGTATGTGATCATAGTGCTCAAACATTGTATCTGTTTTAGTTCTGTTTCCTTCCTTCAGGATTGCTGATTTCCTGCCAGAGATGGACTTAATTTCCAGAGCCTTATAGTTTATGAACTTGGATGAAAATACAGAAGCACATTTTCCCTATAGACACATGAAGAAACCCCTCAGAGACTCTTCAAAAAATGCAAACACATAAAAAGCAAATTTGATTCAGCAAGTTTACCATTAACAAAACCTCCTTTGGGGGCAGGGATGGTGTAGTGATAGTATAGGCTGTTAGAAAGAAGCTTAGAAACTGCCCTATTGAACAAAGCAAGCTAAAGGCAGAGAGATAAAATGGGAGAAGAAAACTGCTTTTTAGTTTAGAATTTTTTTTGAAATTTCTGTTTAATTATCATTATTATCTACAGAGATGATTAAAAGCATCAAACATTTCCAGGATAAAACCCAAGCACAAATGGAAAAGGATTTATGCTAAATTGGCATTTGATAATTTCTTACAATAATCTGACGTAAAAGTTGTCTCCCTTTTATTTCAATTCAAGAATTCCTTTCATCTTTTACTCAATAGTCATTATCCTTTTTATTTCAATTCAATAACATTTACTGAATATCTAATATGTAGTATAGGCCCTGTGTCTCAGAAAAAACACTGGGTTAGGGTTTTTAAAATAAGTTTTAAAAGAAAGTAAATATTTTAAAGCCTAAATTTTTTTTAAGTTTAATGTTCAAAATACTGAACTGTACTAAAAATCACAATAAATCGCCATTCTTCCAAATAACGTTCCCTTTATGATTATGGGATTTATATAAACTAAATATTTGCAGAAGAAATTTCTTCAACTATATTGTAGGGAGAATGTCATCTTTTCAGATATGCTGGTTGGGAATAATCACTACACTAGTGGAAATGTTTGCACAAGCCAGCATTGAAAAGAGACGAGATTTCCCTTTATCAGCTTCTCAAAAATGACAACTAAAATTCTTAGTTTTGGGACAGGACAAAGGTCTAAGTCTGTCATTTTTTAAATGCCACATTTTTGAAATAACAATCAGGTGTTTCACTTTAAGTGTATTAAATTTAAGTGTATTAATATTTAATATAAATATTGAAATATAATTAGTTTATTCAGAAGCAAAACCCCAATCCTAATTTCAGCATATCTTAATAGAAAGCCTGGGTTTATGAATCCACAAGCTTTTTATTAAAATCCCAAGAGGTCAATAACAATCTTGTAATCACAAAATATGCATACAGGAGAACATCAGACTTACCAAGAAATATAGCTGTAACAGTGCATGACAAAAGGCACATTTTGGAGACATGATTCAATTTCCTGTTTTTCAGCATCAGGTACTTTATCTGACCATCTGAAGGCTTTAGAAATAGGTAAAAAAAAATGGGAGAGTTTTTAATATTAAGAGCTATGAAAGGTGAAAAACAGGCCCTGACAAACACATCTAAACAGATCCATGTATTTCATAACAGAAACAGTTCCATTTTCATTCTCAATATTTCTAGTTGAATAATTATCCACTATCCCAAGGATTCTTAATAAAAAAAATTTTACCCTTTTGAGAGGAAGACAGCAATGAGTTCATTTTGAAAGGTTCACATTTAGCTTTTAGCCAAAAGTGAACCTTTGGTGTCTTTTGAATCCTTTTTAAGTCTTGAAGCCTTAGAGAGAAACCAAAGAGAAAGAGATCAGATCGCGGCCTACCTCTTTCAGCCCTTGAGAATTCCCTTTCCAAGTAGTTTCTTAAATAGTGAGGCTGCATCAGAACCCCTAGTTCTTCTCCTTAGAAGTTATTAAATCAGCAGAAAGGCCGACAATAATGGCAAATGAAATCTAAGTTTTGTATAGGAAACAGACAGGCAGTCTACACTTTGTTATTCACTTGATAGACAGAGCCATTTTGACAGCCCTAACCTTGGAAACCACAGGTCCTGCTGAGCTCAGCAGGAGTCAAACGCTGAGTACCATCTGTCAAAGCTTTATTTTCCCCCCTCCTCATCCACGCCTTTACTATAAGATGCTAACAAGAGCCCTGAATGAAAGTAGCTAACTACAGTTAAACTCGTGTGCATTGTAACACTAATGTTGGGGTAAGAAACTCACTCCCAGAATCTACCAAATTTGAGTGAACAGAATTGCGTATTCTATGTCTTTTCTTAATGGTTATCAACGTTGAAAAAGTGTGGGTTGAGAAACTCCGTAACCACACTCCAAACAACTAATCCTCCAAAATAAGGAAATTGCACATCATCTTGTATGTTTTTGCCAATTCTGTAGCTAAAATAAATGGTTTGGAAAGTTCTCAACTCTAAGGCCTTTTTTTTTCTTAATGTAGTTTAATTAAACATGTGCAAGAACAACAAATTAATTTCTTTCTAAAAAATAGAGATTTTGATGAGTTGAACTTGTGCTTTATAAAATAAATCTCATTCAGAACAAACACTCTTTCCCTTTCTCCCTGGCATAAGCAATTCTAAAACATTAACAGGCCTGATAATAATAAAATCAATTAAATCAAGTGTGGTATAGCTCATGCGGCACTTGTGTAGAAGACAGTATATCAATTGAAACATGAAGGAGCTCACAAAGGCATTCCTTTCCACTACCAAAATGCTACATATTTTTTAAAGTACAAATTCATTTTGTTTGCATTTAAAAGTTATATATATTTAATGAAAAAATTTAGATACAATTTAAAAATCATTAATTTGGAATACCATTTTTAGCACACAGTTCCTTAAAAAATGTAGAGAACATTTCCATAAACACAAATTAAAAAAAGTAGCTTAGAATTAAAATGCTGAAAAAAGCTGAGATCTTTTTAGCAGAATTATTCCTAATTTTAATGTTTAGTTATTCTACTTGAAATAGTAATGTTTCTTTTTCCCAATTCTCCAAAATGCTGAAAATAGTTATAAAATATTGCTTCATGAGAATAATACTATATGTATGTACTAGATATACTGTATTATAGCAAGTAATGGTTTATCGTTTAGTAGTTAATTACATTGTCAAGAAGACACTGTGAAGAAGTATTATTAAATTAATTATTCATACGAGTGTGTACTTTTTTTTTACATTTTGCTGAATGTTCCATGTGTGCAGATTTTGCAGGGATTTGAGAGACCTTGTGTATAAACACCTGAAATGCTTTATGTGAAATAGTTTTTATAAATCGCACGTCCAGAAGGTGATTTTGCTATTTAAAGTGACCAGGTGCTGATTTATTTGCAATGTGAAAACTAGCTAACTCGTAAGTTACAGTTTCTAATATCACAAGGTTGAATTTTGTCCATCAGTTTTGCAAGACAACTTCAGCTGTATATATGCATGAATGCATCTGAAAGAGGTCTCAATAGGTACTATTTGAGTTGGGGCTTTGCTCCTTCTCCTAGTTTTCCTCATCTGCCCTTCAGCCCAGAAGCGGCTGAGGAAGGAAGCTGCCTTTGCTGGCAGACAGGGTCCCTGATTGGTAAACACTTCTTCCACCAGTGTGCTTATGCCCGAAATCCTTTCTTAAGGGGGCAGGACACAACTTTCACTGCATTGAGAGAAGATTCAAAGAAAGGCAAATGCCCCAGGGAGAGGGAACACGTGGATCTAAATTAATCTTGCTGACAGTTATTCTGAAAGCAAAGAGAAGCAAAGGAGAGCAGGAGGGGAGGCACCTCCAGATGGAGAAGGGGCGAAGACAGGGAGGCAAAGTTGGTCTTCCTTAAGGTTTTACCTAAGGAGGGCTGCTTGAAGTGTCCATGCATAGCCTTGCTTTGCATAATGCCTGTGTAGACTTTCTTGATTGTCATTGTTATGCTTTTGATTTTCACAATCTCAGAATCTCAGAGTTGGGGTAATGTTAAGGGTCAGTTAGTCCAACCCTTCCTTACAGAGATGAAGAAACAGACCCAGATAAGCCTACTCTGTGGTTTATCTAAATCCTGATTTTTTTTTAAGCCCCGTCTTTTTGTCTGTAAAATACAGGTGATGATATTACAGACAGCAGAGGATTTAATGAGCAATGTTGAAGCCTTTAGTACAAGTCCTGAGCATAGAGCAAGTGGTCAATAATTGTTCATTTTTGTTAACATCATCCATGGAGTTCAGAGCCAGATTTAGTGACAATTTATAGTAACTGTATTAGGTCTCATGGTTACTAATTTGTTTTCATTTCCTGTTCATAAATTTTTTCTTGTAAGGAGCTAATAGAAACAATTAACAACTACTGAAAATTTATAAAACAATTACCTATATTCTACTTATCTTGATAAAATATGATGCATTTTGCAAATATTTTTCTTTTTTTCTAGATACGTACCTTTGTTTACATAGTTGGAATCATAATGTACTACAATTTTATACCCTGCTTTTCCTTTTGACATCATACCAGAATTTTTCATGTGGCTACCAATTCTTGGTAAATATCATTTTAAATGATTAAATGTTCCATAATTTAATTAGCCATATCCTGATGACAGAGTTTGTTGGTTGCTTTCAGTTTTTCTGTTATAAATAATATTCTGGTGGCCATTTTAGTACATATAACATTTTCTTCTTTGGGCGTGTTTTTTTAGGTTACATTTTCAGAAATTAGATTACAAATTAGATTAGAACTTATATATTTTTGTAGTATTTGCTACTTACTGCTAAATCATGGCCCCACTTTTCTATTTTTATTTAATTAACCTTATTTTATAAATGTCCTTTAAAAAATTATTATTATTTTGTAGTTACAGGATCTGGCTATATAGACCAGGGTGGTCTCAAACTCTTCGCTTCAGGCAATTCTCCCGCCTCAGCCTCCCAAAGTGTTGGGATTATAGGCATGAGTTACAGTGTCTGGCCTAATGTCTTTGGGCTTCTAATCTGTTTTTTTATAGATGCGATTGTTTTCAAAGTCATAGGGATGAGTAATGGCAGACCCAAGACTTGAAGCCCTCTTTTTACTACACCATAATAATAATGCGAACGGGAAAAACTTCCCAACGTTAAGATGTGGAGGAATCATCCATTCCTCTGCATTCCTTTGCTGAGGTAGCAGAAACTGCAGAAGTCTAGGGTTGGGAGTTCTGAGTTCGAGTCCTGCTACCACTAATAATGAACTATAACATAGATTCATTGATTCTTGCCCATATTTCCTGGAGAGTCTGAGGTTTAAAGAAGGCACCAAAGTGCTCTTGAAACAGTGTAAATCTGCACTGGAGAAGGGCATTGTCTCACTCTCTGAATCCTGAGCACTGAGTTGCTCTAAGAAGCTGTAGCACAGAGCTTCTTAGACATGATCTTGTTACATTCTGGATCTCTTTAAATTCTGTTTCAATAGGTTTGGGGTGGGCCTGAGATGTTGCATTTTTAAAAAGCTCCCAAGTAATCCTGATGATGATGCTGGTACAGGGACCATGCTTTTAGAAGTAGCCACCCTGAGTATCAGTGGTTGTTGAGTTGCATGGATGACTGTCCCCATGGTACAGAGCACCCTTAATCACAGAGCAATTTTAATCAGTGGATAAAGGATGGGGATTAATAGTAGTCAGCCAGATGCTCCCAAAGTGGTGTCTATTATGCAGGAGTATACAAATATTGTGACCTGTTTGTGGAGGAAGTATTATGTGATCTGTTTCCTCTTTGATGCTAGAGATCCTCTGAACCTAGGAATGTCCCTTTTCCTGAGATGTGGGAGGAAGTGGAAAGCAGCCACCTGGAATAATAGAGTAATATGGAAAAGTACTGGCCTTTTATTATCATTTCCCTTATCTGAACACAAACCCAGGAGTGACTTTTTCCATTCTTATTTTATATTATCAGAGATTCCAACCAAGGTCCCTTAAAAGCTGACCAAGAAAATTTGGCAGAAGCACCTTAGAAGCCATAATGCTTTGTGGCAAATCTTTCCAAACATCTGCTGCATGAAAAGGAGCAAAAATCCTGCAATGGCGAAGGGCAAGAGGGCAACTTGGAAGTGGGCTATCTTGGCACAGCTCTGTGGAGGCCCTTTCTCTGAGCACAGGCGTACCCAGGAGGCCCCAGCACCTGTTCTTACATATTCCTGCTGGCTTCTGTTGTTTGCAATTGCCGTCAAAAGCGTCCCAGGAGACGGTCGGGACAAGCCTTGTCAGGGAACAAGAAAAGCTGGGAGTGTGGCGGTTGGTCTCACAAATGTGAGGATGTACACCATCCCAGTAGGGACTCTCATTTCCCCTTTCACATCACCACACACCTGATGGCAAAAGGAAATCTTTTGAGTTTAGGAACTGTGGCAGAGAACAGTCTTTTGAAACTCCGGTGACATCAATAGCCTAGTTTCATTATTCTAAAACTGAAATGCCACGAGTGGGATTTGGAACACAATCATTAGGTCCTCTGGAGTTATTGTCTAGAGAGGTGGATGGTACATTTTAAGAAAGAAAGAATCCTAGGTTAGTAGTAGAAGAAAAGTAGTTTATGTGTTAGGACTTAGCTTTGAAAGCCTAGCTTTCAAGGAAATAGTCAAAGAGAGAATGTGATAAATGTCCTTTAATTTTTGCTCTGAAGATATCCTTGATAGAGCTGCTGCATATAGTTACTTCAGCTTGATAGGACAAGTGGTTCTGTCCTTAATTGTCACCATAAGCTTGGATTTTAGGATGCTTGAACAGTTTTTAATATAACAAAGACATGGCTTTTAACATTTTTTTGTATTGTCTTATTATAAGCAGAAGAGAAGAAGGATTCTTTTGTCTCTTGTTTATTGGTCATCAAAGCCTCAGTTTAAAATTTAAAAGTCAGAAAATAGCTTCTGAAATACAGAGAACTACTTTTCAGGGAATGTTTAGCCTGCAGATCTTATGTGACTAAAACTTAATACAATAAAAGGTGCATTTGTAATATGCCAAAAAGATAGCGTTTGCAATTAAAAATCTCTGTCTTTCTTTAGCATGAACACTCCTTCTTCCTAACAGCTTTAGCACAAAATGAAATTACAGTCTGGGTTTCGGAATAAACTTATTTATCAAAGACATAATCACTATTCTGGTCCTGAGTTATCTTCACTCAAAAAATATTAATATTATTGACCAAATTGAGTTTTGATTGTGATAAAAAATGTCTGAGCCACTTTTTGAAGCTCTTAAAAATTTAAATTGCAGAAAAACAATAATCCAAGCTGTCTGTCTTTGAAATGGTCTTCCTCTTTTGACCAAGTATAATAATTAGGTTTTGTCTAAAATGATATTTATTATTTTAGTCCATTTAAGGTTCTTTGTATAGTATAACGTAGAATAATCTCTTCCGTAGATTTTTTTTTTTTTTTTAGAAAATGATAAAATGATGTTTTTAACATTAACTTCAGGTCATTTGGCTACCAAATAAATCATTATTTTCCTTTGTGGTTTTTAATTCTGTTGGATTCCTTATTACAATTATGGTCTTTTAATGTAAATTGCGAGTATATGATTTTACAATGGCTACTAATTGTTAAACTAAAGGAACAAGAGTTTAAAAAGTGTTTTTCAAAACATTATGCTTCACAAGTAAAGAAATCTGATTTTCAAAATGGCTAGTTTAAGCTGTTGTAGAATGTTGGAAAAGATCTATAATGCAAAATTCAGAAAAAGGATATCTGGTCACCTTCTCTCAACCAAGACAGCTGAAAATGCTTAGGATTAAAGCTGTCAACCTAAGGGCAGATGTATTTTCATTCACTTACACATAGAGGAATGCCTTCTGCCAGAGGAAATTCTACTAAGCGTTTTGTAAGCCCTCTTAATGAAGGACATTGCCTGCTTTGGCTATTTAGTGGGTAGACATCTTTGCAAGCTTGGTTCTTACTCTGATATTCTTACTCAGTAGTGAATGGGGGAACTCTCCAAGCTTAGGATGGTTAGAGGCATTGTCAGAGGAAAGGTAAAATTGCTGTTCTCATAAAGGGGACATAAATTGCAAGCTTTTCTTTCAACCCTTCAGTGTCCTACTCACCCTTTTCAAACTCAGTAGTGGGATACTGACTCCAAAGAGGAACACTATCACTTCAGGGAAGGAACTGGGGCTGTGGGATTGTGAACTATCCCCTTTTATCCAGTTTGTCCATATGTAGGAGCATCAGAGAGACTGCTAGATAGAAGCCCACCTCTAGGGGAGAGGTGCCTTTGGTGCTGAATGTTAGCAAAGAAACATCTCTACATGGATATCCAGACAACTTTCAAATGAGCTTTTAAATTCCATTTTGGAGGGGCTCTGAAAAGAAAGAAATCTTTCTCTGGAGAAAAAAATTGCCCAAAGATAAACTCCAGTGCAAACTGAACAAACCAAATTTAGTTTTTTTTAGGTAAAAGTAAAAATAACTGACCGGGCATGGTGGCTCACGCCTGTAATCCCAGCACTTTGGGAGGCCAAGGAGGGCGGATCACGAGGTCAGGAGATGGAAACCATCCTGGCTAACACGGTGAAACCCCGTGTCTACTAAAAATACAAGAAATTAGCCGGGCGTGGTGGCAGGCGTCTGTAGTCCCAGCTACTCGGAAGGCTGAGGCAGGAGAATGGCATGAACCCAGGAGGCGGAGCTTGCAGTGAGCCGAGATCGTGCCACTGCACTCCAGCCTGGGTGACAGAGCGAGACTCTGTCTCAAAAACAAAAAAAAAACACAAAAAAACAAAAGTAAAAATAACTGTAACATTGCATTTCATAAACTTGTAGTTTTTAACATTCTGAAAGCATACATATTCATTTGTAAGCTCATGTAGTAATTGACTTTACAGAAATCTTGAAACGTGTTCTGTCAGAGTAAAATGCTGTTTCATTGTATTTATTTAGCTTATAGAATGGACTTCTCTTACACTATATCCTTTCTGCATATTGTTTATTTGTATATGCTTTATGGGGTTAAGCACTTCTGGTACATTTTTCACGTCAGACAACCTACGGAAGCTAGTAGAAGTATGGCACGATTAAGTTTATAGGTCATGAGATAAATTTACACGGAGAGGCAAGTTTCCAGCTTCAAGCAAATGACTTATCTGTAATTTGATGCAAGTAAAATGACTGACCTTTCAAATGTTTGTTGGGCTTCAAGTGTCCAGAGCAATCGATATGTACATTATTGTTTATATTTTATGCTCCTGATCCCATTAATGTATGCCTATGGAATGCTGGGACACCATTAGTTTCTGATACTTCTGAAGTATTGGGTGGCATTTATCAAACAGAAAGGCAGCACATATTGACTCGTGACAGTTTTTGCATTTCTTGAGCTCAATGTTTCATGAGCTGCTTATTCAGTTTTGGTGAGCAAGGCTTTTATTGCTCCAAAGCCGCCTCAATTAAATAATAATGAACCAATTTGTTTAAAATGAATCTTTAACTTGCAGACTGATTAATTTCTCCATTGTGAGCATGAGAAGTTGTGTTCTTAGGCAGGAGAGATCAGAGAAGTGCGGTGGAGTGGAATAATTGCTGGGTGTGTGTAAATTGTAAGAATGACTGGCGCTGTCTGTAACTGTGTGACTACAGACAGGTCTCTAAGTATTCCTGAACCTCTGGTTCCTGGTTCCCCAGCTGTAAAAGGGGGTCAGGTGGACCAGATAGTCATCAAGATCCCTTTCAGCTTGGACAGTCAATGGATAATGGAATATCGATAGACAGACACACGAGCAACATGCAGCCCTACCAGTAAGTGCAAGACTGAGAAGTGGGGAAATCCTTTGGCCACTTTACCCCCCACTTCAGAGAAAGATTTAAGGGAAATTTGTATTCTTTCCTATTTGCCTAGAGTATATTGGACTTATTCTGGGTCTCTGGGAGAAAGATATTTGGGAAGTAGGCATGCGCACGCGCGCGCACACACACACACACACACACACACACACACACTACACATAGGCCACTCTCTTTCTCTACTTTACTCCTTCCCATTCCACACACCTAATCCTCATCCCACACAAAGGTGCTTAAATTAAAAAGTGCCACTTGTTATAGGGGTGGAACAGGAACTCAGTTCTTCACTGAAGAGACAGGAAACAGTTACTCACTTCTGTATTAATTAACTCTCCCTTTCTAGGGTTTTATTATTGGAGAGTCTAATGACTTAAAATTAATCATCCACGGTCCAATTAAAAATCATGAATTGATGAATTGCTTTCTAAATTCTCTGTTTTATTGACAAATTGCTGCATCATTGAAGCTATAAGACATGTCATCCATTATTAACTTTGATGGCATTAAAACAGATAAATTAAATCTTTTAAGCAGAAATGAGTTCTCACAAAGACTGCTCTTCCCAAGTGCACACGGTCTCAATTTTCTCTGAATTTCAGCCCACTTATTTGAGTCTATTCTTGTTTCACTTAGATTGTATTGATTGTTTAGTAAACATTAACTGATGATAGAGGCTTCTTAATATGAGCAGATAATAGATAATCAATGTGTAATGCAACTTAAGTGATAAAATACTTTTGCCAGGAATATACAATCTGCCATAAGGGCTGGAAATGCCTGCATTAAAAAAAATTAAAACATACAATGAAAATTTTAGAAAGGAAACCTGTCTCTTCAATGTATGAAAAGTTAAATTTACTCTCAAGACAATGACAATAGATAGCAAATATATAAAAAATGCTATTTCCAAGGCACATTAAAGATATAAACATATGTATTTAGAAATAAGTGTTCTTTAAACACTTATGGTTTGCATTAGGATAAGGGTAAAAGGCAATAATAAAAATATTATTAAAATACATTCAAAATTTGAACTCAATAATTGACTTATTACAGAGGCAAAACATTCTTACCTTGGCTTTTGCAAAATTCCTTATTCTTACTATTATTTACTTCTTCAACTGAAAACAACCTTTTGTTTCATAATCAGAATCTTATTTTTCTAACATCGTAAGTATGAATTTACTGTTTACAGCTTCAGTATCTGCTGTGTAACACATGGTATGCTGGGGGTAAAAAGGACTTACACAAGTTTTTAATAGTTCAAATTAGACCCGCCTTTTATCCCACAATCCCTTTTGTGTGTCTCATTATTGATCAGAGTTGTGCTGTTCTTTGAACCCTGGGAATTACCAGGATAGGGTTTTATTTGACTGTTTGTCTCTTTAGCAAAATTGTTGCCAACTTTGACCTTTCAAAAATGTTTGTGACAAGGTGTTTGCTGTTAATTGCACACAGGAAGGAGTGAAAAGCCTCCCAGTTGAATCTCATATTTACCAGAAGAGGAGATTTCTTTTTTGGTAAAATCTGAGTCTTAAGAGGAGACAGGTTTTGGTTGTTGTTTGTACTTTAACATAGCAATGTAGCTTGAGAAGGTTACTATTTTCTAATTAGCAGACCCATTAACAGGATAAAGAAAGAAAGGATATGGCTTTATATAAAGTATGTTGTAGCTCCACTGGCCTAGATCCATTTTTCACCTCTAGTGGAAATTCAGTTCAATAGAGATACAAAATTGCAGGATTGGAAAGGGCCTTAAAGATCATATAATCATATCAACAGATGCAGAAGAAGCTCTTAATTAATGCCAGACTCTGTTCTATACACGTATAGAAAGCACTTATTAATTCATTTAACCCTTAGAGCAACCTTATGAGGCATGTACATTTTATTATTATTTCAATTTCCCTTTCTTTCACAGACAAGGGAATTGAGGCACAAGGAGGTGATGCAATCACCTACAGCTAATTACTGTCAGAGTAAGGAAATGAACCCAGGTGGTCTGTCCCCAGTAGACAGTCTCCTTTTTCCTTCATAGTCTGCTTCCTGGTTACTGTGCCTATTTGATTTTCTTTGTAGCATTTTTTTGCTAGTTGAAATGATCCAACTCATTTTCTTCCCCTCACTTATTATCTGCCTATCTCCCCTCTGCCACATTAGACTCTAAGGTCCAGGAGAGCAGGGACTTTTGCTCACTGCCATTTCCACTCAGGTCTGGAGTAATGGTGCATGCAGTGGTTTCTTAATAAAAATTCAGTGAATGAATGAATGAATTTGAGAAAACGCAGTAGGGACAGTGAGAATGGAAGAGGCTGTTGGGTTGGAGGATGGCTCCCTAGTGAATGTGGTGGGAGAATCTTCTTACCAGCCTGACTGATGAGAGTGGGAATAAGGGAATGGGGGCATCAAGAGTGGGCTCAGTTTTCAAGAAGGTTGACAGTAAGGAAAGCAGGGGCAGGAGAAATAGCAATTAAGGTTTTATGCTTTCGTCAGAAAACCTAACAGGAACCTTCCTCTTTTGCAATGGAAGAATGCCCCCTTGCTCCTCTTTAACGATTATTATTATGTGAAGACCCATCTCTGGCTCATTTTCTCATCGATTTGATCTGCTTAAACACCGAAGTAATGGTTTGACCACAGAATTATCATCTGCCGTTATGCATTTCACCCGGGGTGCACTCCTGGGTAGTAATTTCCCAGGATCATCCTTGGGGGAGCAGGCCTTCCCTTGTCAATATCTGTGGAGTCAGAAAGCCTATAAAGTACCAGCAAATTGGCTTTGGATCCCAGGAAACACGTCCTCTGTCCTTTTCTACACAGTCTTTGAAGTTGCCTATAGCATTATAATTTCTTTTCCTGGACATTACACCAGGATAGAGAACATAGAAAGAAAGAGTGAGTGTGTCGACATGGGTGGCGCTGAACCACCCCATTGTGGTCTGTGTCCTGCGAGGCCAACCAGAAACATTTCCATGACATAGTTCTGGTTCTTGATGTGTGCAGTAAGCAGCCCCTCACATCCCAATAGCATTTCCTACCATCCAAAGGAAGGTAATACAGAAATTTCACATTTAAAAGTTAAACCCCTTTAAGGTGGTTTTGGTTAGCTCTCCCTACGGTTTCTCTAATTAGGTGCTTGTATGAAATCGCAGTGGAAGGAACATCTTGTTTTTACAGAGACTCTCTATTTTGAAGCCAGATACTGCTACTATTTCAAGGAAGAAAATACCGCCCTCTTTTAAAATATAGCAAAACATGTTGTCTCTTTCTCAGCATCAATTACAAATCAAGATTCTCTTCTGAATTCTTTTTGTAATCTGTGTTCTCTTGTTCATAATTTAGAAATGTTAATAATTCAAGTAGGACTCTACTTGAATTGATAATACTGACTAGTATTATCAACCAGACAATAAATATTAAGATTTAAAGTGCACGTTTTGTACCATGACATTACTTGGCCCAGTGTTTCTCAAAGGAGGTGCTTTAAGTATTTGGGGGACAGGCAAATCTTCCCTGTGAGGAGCTTTCCCAGACATTGCAGGATGTTGAGCTTCCTTGGTTCTGGGTCACAACTTCCAGTAGTACCTGCCAGTTATTGAATGACTCAAAGCATCCTCATGTGTTTGCAATAGACCTGTAAGGGAAGGTAGTATTTCCCTTGGCCGTGACCTGGCTCAGGGATCATAAACACAAATGCTTATGATGCCAGAGGCCAGCCAGATAACATAAATTTGTTAACCTGCCTCAGTGTAAGGGAATTCAGAATAGTATGCCCTATGCTTGCTGGAAAAATGTGCATGACTTGTTTGGAGGCATTGAAGATCAAAGTTGTAATAAACACTATGCTGGTCAGCAAAATTCTCCTTTCTGCCAAATTTGGCTCCCCAGCCATCAGGCTTCCACCCCAGACTAGCTCCTGTCTATCAGTCCAGCCCATCTATCCACTCTCCACTTTGTACACAAAGATTTAGCTACACTGACTCAGCACATAGGAGGCTTGACTTAAATACTAGTTGAATAAATGAATAAATGAAAATTATTCTAGGCCTTTAACCAACTTATGAGAAGTTTATAAGAGGAGCATTGATGATTAAAATTTCCCCCTAGGCCACACCTGCTGTGGGTTTTTAGGTGGCATCCTGGATTTCTTCTAAGTCCTCTCCTGGCATATGAATCGAGGCTTATCTTTTGTTTCCTGCATCTGTTCCATTTGTCCAATAGTGCACTGGTTTTGATGCATAATAGGTGTAATTTAAACCTCAGATTGTAAAAACTTACCTCACAAACTCTCCTCACTGTGCTTTGCCCAGTAGTGTGCTGCTTTCTCAGAAATGTCATGGAGCAGTGGCCTGAGATTCCTTTATACTAGCAATGTGCTCTACTTCTTCTAGTTCTTGGCAGGGGACAAGGAATTGCTCCCACCCCAGGCTGATCTGGCCTTATTGGTACTAGAAAGTGATTTTAGTGGAACTAAGAACTCCTCCCATTTCAAAGTAAAGACTTCTCCGAATATCCCCTAAATTCTTTCTCCCTTTCTTCCTTCTCTCTCTCAAGTATTTTAACCTATTCCCCTGGGTTGGAACTCTCCATGAAAAATACATTTTGCTGATTTTTCACCCTCTTCTTGTGATCTTATTTGGCCATATAACCCCCAAGCAGAGCAGGAAACATGGCATTCAAAGGTAACAGAGTAAACTTCTCCTCCGTACTCAGGGGCTTAAGCAACTCGGTTTCCAGAAGTTTATGTAGAAAATCTTTTTACTAATGGGTCAAAGATTCCCAGATGCTCACAACATACCATTTTTTCCCTTGATATTATTATTTCATGAGACTGTTTTAAACATAAAGAAATGTTGTTAATTCACACATCATTTTTTCTCCTTTCCCTTGCACAGTCTGCGTGTATTGGTTTGGTTGGTTTTGAAGCAGAACACACACTTGACCAGCCATTTGGTTTCCCACAGCCAATATGCACATGTCCAGGGTGTTCCCCTGTGATTTTCAAGGCCTGGTTTTCTTCTGATAAGGTCAGAAGCACACACAGCTTATCCACATCTGCTGTGTTCCTTGAGGTCAATCAGAATATTTTTCCTTCTGGGACTAATGGGAATCTCCCAGAGAGAAACAATTATTGCACGTGAAAAATCTATTGATTTACATTGCATGGTTCACCTATTATTTAGGGTTCAGGGACACTTTTTGAAACTGGGAGAGCAATTCAGGGGATTCAGAATGAGAAGATACTAGTGAATACATTCATGCCATACATTTCTGAGTATTTGCTGCTACTGCTATTAGAAGTGCAGAATGCTGAATTCAGTTGCCACAAGTTGTCAAGAATGTAAGTCATCCAGCATTACTGACTTCATTGGTTGAATTATAAATCCACGATAATAGTGTTGGGCACAATCACAGATTAAAAAACGGTGAACGGAATTGTGAGTGTTCCCATTTGTGTGATTTCCCACTTCTCTTTTTCTTTGCTTTAAATGTGAGGCCCATTTTCTATGGCTCCTGATGCTGATTTGGATGGAAACAAGGAGCAGATGACTCCATGTTGCAGAAGGCAAGAGCACTGGGTTTCCAGTTATAGGGATTTACTTCTCATGTGGTCCATGTTGAAATTTTCAAAAGAAATGTGGGACCATGACAATATACTATGTGTTGTCATCTGGATCCAGGAATCAAACAAATAGTTAAAAGCCTTCAATAAACTATCTACCCTTTGGCTCTTTGTTTCAATGTATTTTTGTCACAGAATATTTTTTCCACAGTTGCAAGCCAATTAACTGGACTCCTAGTCGCTTACCCTCCTTTAGGAATTAGACGACCTGCGTCTAAATCCCAGTCTCAACCCTTATCAGCTGTCTGTCTCTTTGTTCTGGGTTTATACCCATGGAATATGAAAGATACTAAGCATCTCATGATTATCTTGTGAAAAATAAATTAAACTCACAAAATATCTAGTATAATTGACACTCCACATTAAACAAACAGTCAAATTTGTATTTTTACATTCTGGAGAGTCTAATACGTAATGAAGTAACTTAAACACTGAATAAGATGCTGAATTATAATTTTCTTAGGAAAGTATTTGGATGCAATTTTTTTTTTTTTTTTTTAAGACGGAGTTTCGCTCTGTCGCCCAGGCTGGAGTGCAGTGGCACGATCTTGGCTCACTGCAAGCTCCACCTCCCGTGTTCATGCCATTCTCCTGCCTCAGCCTCCCGAGTACCTGGGACCACAGACGCCCGCCGCCATGCCCAGCTAATTTTTTTTTGTATTTTTTGGTAGAGATGGGGTTTCACTGTGTTAGCCAGAATGGTCTTGATCTCCTGACCTCGTGATCTGCCCGCCTCGGCCTCCCAAAGTGATGGGATTACAGGTGTGAGCCACCGTGCCCGGCCAGCTTTTTTAAAAATAGAGAGATTTTCTGCAGGCTTAAGAGATGGAAACTTGTAAGTTGTTATTCCTTTTGGGTATAGGACTAAGGCAATTCTCTAAAGATTTTGTACTGGGGTCTTTATTTCAGTGCCCTTATACTTTTACATCCACTGAGGCAGTCAATAGAAAATGCATTAATTGGTAGCCTTAGTCTTATCATCCGTGAAACTGGGTTAGTAATTGTGACGATATCATAGGATTTGGTGATGACTGGATGAGATAAAATATATAAGGAGCTTTGCATGGTGCCTGCCACAAACTAAGCATTCAATAAATAGTCAATTAATAATATTATCATTATTTATAAAGATCCTATCACAGAAGTTGCTACATTTCCATAGGGAGATTGTAAAGGATGGAACATATTATATCCAAGCTCATTCTAGCTATACTATATACACTTCTGTAATTTTGATAAATCTAAGATAGTAGAACAGTATTGAAGACTCCATTTTTGACTTGGATAATTCTGAATGGCATTTCTCATATAGGAAAATTCACATTTTAAAATCTCAAAATGGTAAAAAGCCCCAAGACAAACACTAAGTAGCATCCAGCTATTTCTCCTTTCAAATGGGTATAATTTTATGACAACATCTTTTTCAGCTGCAGAGACCTTCAAATCTGTTTTAGAGTTATTCTGTTTTTTCCCTAGAAAAATAATAAACACAAACGGTTATAAATGAATCAGTATGATTTTTTTCCTCCCGATTAGAGAGCATGATGGCCTCAGTTGCTTGCAAGGCAAAAGTGCTGATGCAGGAAGGCCTAATTGATTGGAACAATATACGGTCTGGCTTAATGCTTTAGGTCAAATCCTTGGAAAATTATACATTCTTTACGCAAAATTAATTGTGTTGCAAGCATCTTTCCCATCAAATGCCATTTTTTTTTCTTTTGCCCATTTGGCACCAACTTTGACTTGTAGGGATGAGTCATGGGTAGCATTGTCACATAGATTCAGATGCTGTTTGTGGGCAGGAATTAAGTTATGAGTATTATTCTCCTTGTTATTTTTACATTTTGTCAATGTCTCCTTTTGCCATTAGAACAGCTCACCATTTCTCTTTCTTCTGTTTTGGGAGTCTGCAGGTTGTGGTTTGGTCCTATTGTGGGATAGGTTTTTTCCTCTCTGGCTGACAGACATTCTCATCATGTGCTTGGGCTCCCTGGTGGATGGGTATTAGGCTTATGCTCAGCCTGGTCTTACAGTGCCATGGCCCTCAGAGAGGCTAGAGATACCTTCACTCGAAGTGGCATACTTCCCGTTATATGCTCTCCCCTGTAGTTTCTTGTCCTTGCACCTTACTGCCCTCGGTTGGGCTGTTTAGATGTGGCTGAGTGAGGAGCAGGCCCTTTGCGCCTCCCTTTTTCCTCTGAAGCGCTCAGAGTCTAGGCCAGTTCATTGTTGATGCGCTGGCAGGTGGGGGCTTTCTGGCCTAGAATTGACAAGTAGGTGGATGTGAGGATTGAGGGAGATGGGGGACTTTGAACATGACTCACAGGTTTATAGATTGGGCCAGTGGTTGGCTAGGGCTGGTGATAACTAAGATAAAGAATGGGAAGTAGTTTTGGTTGGATAAATGGTAAGTCTAGTTTTGGAGGTGAGTTGGCTCTGCCTTCAGAGCATCCTTCAGGTGGAGATGCACGTGTGGGCTTTTGTGAATGAGCATCTGCAGCTCAGCATCTGTCAGGCTTAGGAGAATGGAGGCTCAAAGGGAGGCTCTGCTCCTTAAAGCCACTTTTAAAATTGCAGTGCTGAATACATCTGGCTCCCCAAAACTGCTGATGTTGTTGAATATACCAGATGTCTCAGAATTTTGAAGAGCAGGAATCAGGGTAATGCATTCCTAAACTCAGCAGCACGTCTGCGTATTACAACCATATGTAGAAGAAAGGTGCCTGCAGGATGGAAGTCTCCGAAATGCAAAGCAGGGTAGGTGAGCCTGAGTCATTTCACGTATGGGGCTGGCATGAGGCACTCAGAGTGGTTTGTGCAATTCCCTTCAACCCCTTTCACTCAACTCAAGCTTAAATACAACACAATATATTAATATTAATTAAACTATAGAGTTAGTTATCCTAATTGCCATCAACATACATTTATCAGAATTCTCCTATTTTGGGGTTTACTCAGGTTTGTCACTATTCTCGGTTACCACCGAAGTCTAGTTGTGAAGGTTTAAGAGTGATTTTCTCTGAAAATCTCATTCCCTTACATCAAACATTGTGTGGCAAAGTGAATATTTTGCTGTTGGTTAGTGTGATAGCAAAAAATTTTGAAAGGAACTTTTAAAAACCAATTTTCCATATGTGTCTTTATTTTTAGCCTTCATCTTTAGGGCATGGACCTTGGGATTTTATTTTCTCTGTAAAACTTTCTACCATCCCTCTGGCTAAAAGAGGGAAAAGCTAAAACCCACATATTTAGAGGTGTGTACAGACTGGGTTAGGGGCTCTTGATCATGAGCCTGAGAATTGGGAACACTGCGGTGAACTCTCTGGGACATTCAAGAATAAGAGAAAAATGCTGAAGGAATCTAGCAATGCTGGCATTGCATAGAAAACATTTTTTGAAAACAAATGTGCTAGGAGGGGCTTTGAGAAATCCTCTTGGGGCTTCCTTTCTTTGGCAGCTGAAGCAGTATTGTCCTCATTGTACAGCCGAGGAACTGAATCCTGGAGAGCTTCAGAGAGAGCTTTGGTGACTTGGCTAACATGCAGCACGGAAAATGAAGTGGAGGCTAATGGAACACGAATGTTGGTCCACCGTTCTCACCACCACCTTACTCTGCCACCAATAGAAGGCCATTGTCAGCAAAAGGAGAACATGAGCTTCCTTAGCTCTCTCTAGAGTTTGAAACTCCTGGAGGTTGAGCACCCATGACATTTCAGAAGGACTTCATTTTTCGGACTTGTGGCCCCATATCAAGCCCAGCAGAGACACAGCAGTGGACACTGGTTAAGAACTCAGCACTGAGTCAGATAGTCCAGCGTTAAATGCCTCCTCTGCTACCTACCGGTTTTATGACCTTGGGCAAGATACTTAATGTCTCTAACACTCAGTTTATTTATCTGAAAAGTGGGGACAGTATGACTATTTGATTTTGTTGTCAAGATTAAATGTGTGATCATCCCTGTAAACCACACAGCCCATGACGTCTAGAAGCATCGACCACTGTGGTTGTTGTCAGCTCACCACCCAAGGGTGGTGAAAGTGAGTGCTTACTCACACTCATTTGACTTGTGTCTCACAATATTGAACACGCTCACGCACATCTCAGGCCTTTTTGCTCTGTGTTTTCCTTTACACATCCCAAGCCGTTGCTAACACTTTACACAATGTGAAGAAAGCAAAGCCCCTTTCCTTTGTCTCTTCACCTTCTATTTCTTTCACCTTCTCTGCCCCTCTTTGGAGACACTGAGTGAGGAGATCCTCGCATTCGCACTTGTGTCTCTGGCACTGCCCACTCTGCCTATTCAGGCTCCCACTCCCTGGACCCTTTACTTTCTTTTCAGCCAATCAAAATTTACCCTTTGCTGCCTTGTACCCAGAGCGTATAGATTCCTGGTCTGCAGGTTGCATCCAACCTCAGAAGTATTTTCTTTGACTGGCACAATGTTTAATTTTTTTAAAAAAATTATTAGTTACTTAGTTTTAAACATCAGGAAATTTCATACACACACACACTGAGAAATGGTGTGTGTCTTTGCGCCCTACCTTTCCTAATGGCAGCCACTAGCTGAATAGCAGCTGTCCTCTCCAGACGGGCATGTGCTGCTCCAGTTCACCATAATCCTCACCCATCACGCCTTGTACCAGGCTGCCATATTATTTGCATTCCTGTCTGGACCCTATAATCATTTACTTTTGTGACCTAACAAATTTAAATCCCAAAAGGTAGTAATTGGTGGAGTGGCTTAATGTAGCCTGTGACTTTCTCACATTCCCCATATATTAAGCATTAGCGTACATTAACTGCCTTTTTCATGCTGGGTTAAGGCGACGAACAGACATTTCAAGCCAACTCACAGTAGTACTGTTTGCCAGTGTAGACATGGGAGTATTACTATCTTTTCGTATGTCAGTATTTGGGTAATGTTTGAATCTGTATCTGACTTTTGCTTTTTCTACTTCAAATGTTATAAAAATGAATGGAGGTGAGAAAGGTGCTAATACCAGTGTTATAAAGTTTGATGTCACTCAATGCAATATTTGCTAGTCTCGTTCAGTCATTCACTGGGATTTAAGCTGGAAACTTAAAGAGTATGTGTCAAATGCAGGAAACAAATCATCAAAGGCCAGGTCCATAAGAGGAAGTGTATTTTCTAACATTTTAGCTTTCTCAGAATGGAACTGCTCTTAGAATGTATCAGCCTATCGTTCCATTTTTCCATCTTCAAATCTGATAAAGTTTTCAGGAATATTATATGCATATAAAATGTTCTGCCTGTATTTTTGTTGGCTTGTTTATTTTTCAGAGTACTCTTAGAGACACGAAGCCTTACCCAAAGAGAAGAGATTTCACTGGTAGATTTCATTAGGTCTGATGCAGGCCATTGGGGTAGATTATTGGGGAATATATCCTAAGCACCTAGCAGGTGTCAGGTTCTCTTGAGCTGTCACAGCGGTCCTGTGAAGTAGGTTTTGTCCCTGTTCAGTGAGGCAGCGTGGTGTCTCAGTCTGCCTAGGTCTGTTTTTTTGGCGTCTCTGCTGACTTGCTCTGGGGCCTTGGGCAGGTAACTTAACTTTTTTTTTTTTTGAGCCAGGGTCTCACTCTGTCGCCCAGGCTGGAGTGCAGTGACATGATCTTGGCTCACTACAACCTCCGCCTCCCAGGTTCAGGTGAATCTCATGCCTCAGCCTCCTAAGTAGCTGAGATTAAAAACGTGCACCACCATGTCTTGCTGATTTTTGTATTTTTAGTAGAGACAGGGTTTCCCCATGTTGGCCAGGCTGATCTCAAACTCCTGGCCTCATGTGATCTGCCCGCCTCGGCCTCCCAAAGTGCTGGGATTATGGGCGTGAGCCATCGCACCCCGCCGTAACTAAACTTTTATAAGCATTAGTTTTGTCATCTGTAAGATGGTTTATGGTAATACATAAAATAATAAGTGTTAGCAATTCCTGGCACAAAATAAGTACTCAGTATATGTTGGCTGTTGTTATTTAGAGTAAGGTCCTGAAATCCTTCCATTTCAGATAGCTGACTACTCTTCTTCCAGGCTTAGCCTACCAAAGGCAGAGGTGGTTACTCTCTGTTGTGGGTGGGGGGTGGGGGGACCTCCTCACTTCATAGATTAACTGTAGAAATTACTTGGAACTGGAGATCAGCTTTTTGCCACTCTGGTTCTGTCCTTGGTCCCTCCCTTTCTCACCTGACCTTTTGCACAGCTTGGCTTCCTGTCTACTGCTTCTTCCTTGCTTAAATGAAGTTAATATCCCCCTCTGATACCCTTCTCCACAGTAGCCTACATGTTATTTCCCCATAAAGCTCAAATGATTTCATTGAACTTTATGATGCCTGTGAAAGATGTGGATGATTATCCTCAGTCTGGCCAGCAGTTTTAATTAGAGGGACTGTGAAGTGTGCTGTTAATTAAACGAGTTATTTTTAGACATACGTGTTCATTAGTCCTCTGGAACACCTCTTCCTTCAGATTTTTAAAAATACAGGTTAATTTATGGTGTGGATAGGAGTCATTAACTCTTTAACTTCATCTTGTCTAGCAAAATCCCTCCTTTGGTTTCTCTGTTGCTAGAGAACCAGAGTGAAGGCAAGGTGGACGTGGCAGCTGGAGAGCAAAGCTGCCTTTCTTCCCGTTGTGCATGCTCTACAGTGACACCTCCCAAAGACAGTTTGAAGCTGCAGAGATTTGCTCCAAAATACTCTAATATTAACTACTTTTGAGCTTCAAGATGGAATTCAGCCCTAAGAGCTATTGAGTCCTTTTAAACACACAGAGCTATGCTGTCATCATGAAATGATTCACCCTTCAGTTTGCATTCTGGCAAACTTACCCCCGGGGCTGTCTCTAATGTCTTATAGATTGGATCAAATTGAACTTCAAACATTTTTATAAAATTTGAGGCAAGAATATACCAATTAAACATATGTATGTTATTGTATGTATATGAGCCATATGTATTCAAAAAATACATGAATCTTCAAAAGATACATGCTGTATGATTCCATTTTACATACTTCTTGATTCCATTTATAGAACATTCTCAAAATGACAAAATTATAGAAATGGAGACAAGATCAGTGGTTGTCAGGTGTTAGGGACATGGCGTGACTATAAAGGGGTAAACGGGTAATTATTTGTAGTGATGGGTCAGTTCTGTATCTTGATTGTGATAGCTACATGATAGGTACATGAATCTTTACATGTGACCAAATTTCACAGAACTAAACACAAACACACACAAAGAAAGACAGAAAGGAAAAGCAATCACAGCAAGATATTTATGTATTATGACATGTATTAGGTCAACTATGCATAAATACAGCAAACAAAATAGAAAGTAAATAATTGCATGTGGCTTTCCCTATGATCAAGACATAAAAATCTCAAGTTAACAAAGGGTTATTTTTGCATTAGAATGTAACGGGGCTTTAACACATGAATTTATAAATGCTCATTCTTATTGTGAACATTAGCCTCTGTGTGGTCAGTCATCAATAACGCAGAATTTATGGGAAGTATCTATCTCTTTTTCCTCTTTCCCTTTATCACCATCATCTTACTTCGATGTGACTATTGACTGTGATTGATTTTTAGGAGTGTGGCTGTAACTGAGAAGACCACCTTCTCTCTGTTGTTGACTCTCGATTTTCTTGGAAACATTAACTCCTTACACATGCCCAGTCTTGATAGATTGTGAGGGGTTTAAGCTTATCTTGTGGGATTTCAACCTTCTTTGTTTAATGGTCCCCAATCAGTGATCCTTCACACCAAATTCCTCATGCTTCATGGGGAAGGGGTACTATTTCCCATGGTGGAAAGTGATCTAACAGATAAATGATATGACAACATGTTAAATCATCTTGGGGTAATTCTTTTTTTTTGTTTGTTTTTGAGATGGAGTTTCGCTCTTGTTGCCCAGGCTGGAGTGCAATGACGTGATCTTGGCTTACCGCACCCTCTGTCTCCCCGGTTCAAGCGATCCTCCTGCCTCACCCTCCTGACTATCTGGGATTACAGGCATGCGCCACAATGCCCAGATAATTTTATACTTTTAGTAAAGACATTTCTTCATGTTGGGCAGCCTGGTCTAAAATTACTAGAAAAATAAAAGTAATCTATTATAGTAATTTATTTAAGTGATTCTTATATTTAAAATACCAGCAGTTAAATATGCCTAGGAAAATCTAAATAATGACCCATTGGTATTGGAAGGAAATTGGGGAAATGTTTAACCTAAAGGGATGACTTCCTAAAATTCAGTAGAATTTCAGTCACTGCGATACCTGGGAAGGGAAGGTAATTTTTTTGGGAGGTGCATGCAGTCGGCTTTTTTCATGCTGTTTGAGTTATAATAATCAAATAATTGTCTAAATCGAGCATGAAGGTTTTCTTACTTCTATATGTTCAATAATGTATTGAAATTTAAAAATTTATGTAAAGCAGAATTTAAGGAGTCTGTTTGCAAATCTTAGTATACCTAATAGATTTTAAGTTCTCTGACAGCAGGGGCTATGCGTTTTACAGCTTTATTTCTCAGTACTGTATAGTAGAAATTTTATATACTTACTTATATTTAATATCATTATTATATTTGATAGTAGATATTTAATAAATATTAGTAGATTGGATATGTTGATGCGTTTTTAAAATTTAGTTTGTTTTGAGGCAGAGTCTCACTCTGTTGCCCAGGCCAGAGTACATGGCATGATCATGGCTCACTGCAATCCCTGCCTCCTGGATTCAAGCGATTCTCGTGCCTCAGCCTCCCGAGTAGTTGGGATTACCGGCACGTGCCACCTTGGCATGGCTAATTTTTGTGTTTTTAGTAGAGACAGGGTTTTGCCATGTTGGCCAGGCTGGTCTCAAACTCCTGGCCTCAAGCAATCCACCCGCCTTGGCCTCCCAAAGTGCTGGGATTATGGGCGTGAGCCACAGCGCCTGGCCAGATATATTTTAAAAATTTATATATAAACATACTATCATATGGGTGAGAGCAATCACTAATTGCCATATTCATGTTCTCTGATTTCTGGTTCTCCTTAACTAATATCACATTCAGGCACCATATAGCACTAATTACATTTTTTGCCTTACTATTCTTTAAGAGGTCATTTGAGATATTAGTGTTTAATTTATATTCATGTATGAAAATTCTATTTTACATCCATTTCTTTCTTTTCTTTCCTTTTCTTTTTTTTGACAGAGTCTCGCTCTTGTCGCCCAGGCTGGAGTGCAGTGGCGCGATCTCGGCTCACTGCAAGCTCTGCCTCCCGGGTTCACGCCATTCTCCTGCCTCAGCCTCCCGAGTAGCTGGGACTACAGGCGCCTGCCACCATGCCCGGCTAATTTTTTTTGTATTTTTATTAGAGATGGGGTTTCACCGTGTTAGCCAGGATGGTCTCGATCTCCTGACCTCGTGATCCACCCACCTCAGCCTCCCAAATTGCTGGGATTACAGGTGTAAGCCACCGCGCCCGGCCTACGTCCATTTCTTGAATATGCTTCCTTACTTAAGAAAACTGTGCTTTGGAGAAATGCCAGCCTCTTCTATAATGAACATCCATAGTTATTGTTTGAAGAGAAAATTTAATATTACTTTTTAATAAAAATAGCAGATGGCCAATATAAAATCCATGTCATTATCAATAATGCTTTTACTACGTTTCTGAGTTTATATTTCCAAATTTCATTCCTAGGAGTAGAAAAACAAGTATATATTATTTTGCTCTAAAAATAATATTAAACTCTCAATTCTATCTAAGAAAACTCTGAAAACTGTAGAAGAAAAGGATTTTTTTGTTTTTTCTTTTTATTTATTTATTTTTTAAATCCATGTTACCAAAGTCAGAAAACTTTTTCTGTAAAGAGCCAGACAGTAATTATTTTTCATTTTGGCAATTCAAAAAGCCAGTTTTTGTTGCAACTACTCAGCACTACCCTTGTAGGGAAAACAGCCGGAGACAAATGGGCATGATTGGATCTAGCCTGCAGTTCTTAGATTCTTTCTCCAGTTACAGACACTATTAAGCTAGTGTTATGGAGGCACTATTGAAGTTTCAAAATGTTGGCAGTAATGAATGTGTGGGAGGAGATTGATGATAAATCTGTGGAATCTGCAGTGACTGAAACACAGCATTGGCACTAGCTTTAAGCAGAAAAACCAGGTCCTCTGGTGCCCAAGTGAAAGGAGAATACTTTGTTCTTCACTCTGTTTTAATGGTATCAGTTGGTAGATGTCCATTGGCCCTGTCACAAGGTGATATGTGTATAGCAGATGGTACCAGCACAAAAGCAAGTAGAAGTTTGTTTTTGATTGGTTACTCATTGCTTCCTCTTTGATACCAAACTGATAGCATGGGCGCTCAGTTTCTATACTAAATAAAGGAAAAAAAATTAGCAATCCATTATTCTTCCATTTAGACCAATCCAAATTGATTGTCCTCCTCATTTCCAATTTATGTTGCCACATGACTCTCTTAAACCATAACTTCAGGAGCAAAAGTATTTATATATTTTTGCTGAGTTCAAGGATTTAATGTGCTGAGCAACATATCATTCAAGGAGCTGACCTACCATTTTCTGATTGATAATGGAAATGTTAATGTATTGTTAGTCCTCTTATTTTTAGCCTAAAGTGAGCTAATAACTAGAATCATTATGTTGTGCCTATAAAGTGTTCAGGCAAAAGGGAAGGTGTAGAAGTTGAGGTCTATTTGTCAAGTTAATTATAATATTGGAAAAGCGAATTATATTGAAGGAAAAATCCAATATCATACCCTTTTGCTGGTAAAAGGGGCAATGGAATATCTAATTTCTGAACTCTTGTAATGCTATTCTTTGGATACGTTTATTGCTGAAAATTTTACCCATTAAATCCATGTCTTATAATAATTATTAGCTCAACATTTACTACTGTGAAACCTAATATTTCACTGCATGAAACACACCATTTCTCTGAGACTATTGTCAGTCTCTCTGCCCTGATCCTCTCATGTTGCCATGACATTCCATAGAGTAGCCACCTGCTCAACCTGGGCCTTCTAGCTCTGTGCTCTACAAGGTACAGGCTCCTACCAAATCTGAAGGGGAGTGAGAGAAAAGATGAAAAGAAACCCTGGGTGGTGGTCAGGAAGTGTCCTGTCAACCCTCTGGGTGGGCCTGCAACATGCATTCTTCATGAAGGGATATCGCCCCCCCCGCCCACCTCTGAGTAGGGAAGGGGTACAAATATCAGTGTTTGAGGAGCAAAAAAATCTGAGTCATGACAATGGCTTGTGGCCTTTCAAAGGGTCACAGTACATAAACAGATATATAAACAATGTATCTGTGGCATTACAACGTCAAGGGGGAGCAATTAGAAAAAAGGCTAAAAAGACTCCAAGGCAGGGGGGATGTAATTTTTAAAAAGTTGATGTATACTGCTGTGTGATGGAGAAGGAGGGCCGCTTTGCTTTTTTTCTTAACCATTCCAAAGCCCCCGATTTGGCCAAGTGAACAATGGACACCCTTGTGCTGGCAGATCACGTCTAAGTCCCAAAGGTGCCCGTGTTTGCCTTGTTGCAGGCAATGAGGGAGGCTTGGGCAACCCAGCTGTCTTCTCCACCAAGCCTAATCTCTAAAGCACTGGTTCATAGATGGCATCTTCTAGCTCCAGTTCTCCAGGTCCATATGCCTATTTGAAAAACACTCAGACACCAGTTGCATTGTTTCAAGCTACTTCACAGAGGGGTGTTCATGAAGAGTTATTGGTAAGGAGAAACTCCAAAAGACTTGAACATCCTGGGAGCATTTTCATGCTAACCAGTTTTGCTGTCTTTAGGGGAAAGGATTGGCATTTTTCTTTTCCACCAGAATAATTTAACCTTAAACTCTTTGTAAATGTCGAAATTCCAAATAACACTCCTCTAATATGTTAAAGTGGAAGGGGAAAAAGAAGAATGAAACACATCAGTTGGCCTTTCCTTGGTCTCTTGATCCCACACTCTCCCATGGTGAGGACCAGCAGAAGTGAAAATGGAGCTCTCTGGAAGAGTGAGGATTTTCCTAAGGCCGTCTCCTGTGCTTCCTCATCCCCAGCTCGCCACTTCTGGAGTAAAACAGCAGCTGTGCAGTGAGGACCCTGAGCAGATGAAGATCCAATTAACAGAGTCTCGGGCTGACGTGTTCACACTTGGAAACCTCTTTGGAGACAGGCTACATGGCAGTTACAGAAAGGATGTTCTCGCCTCTGGGATGAGCTCTGTCAGTCAGAAATTTATTTAAGACATTTACCCCCCCCACCTCCTGCAACAATTGGTGAAATTTGGGAAAGATGCTAGAGTCTAATGATCTCGTTTCTTTGCTATATATTCTCACAAAGTGAATCCTACAGAATAAAAGATTAATTGAAGATTAATTGAAGGTCAAGGAACTATTTATCAGTGCCAGGCACTGCTCTCAGCACGCCGAGGAGTAAAAAGCAGTCTGGGTATGAAGAAGCTGATGGGAAATAAGAAAGTATAAACCCAACAGCAGGAAAAAGCAGAACTTGAGCATGCCATGAGAAAGGCACAAGAAAGGTACTGTGAGTGATCAAAGAAAAACGTAGATAATGTCTGATTGGAAGGAGTAGGACACACTTCCTGGAAGAGGTGACGTGTGAGATAAATCTGTAAACAAGCATATGATTTGAAGGTAGGATGGTGGGAAGCCTGTTCTAGAGGGAGGGAAGTATGTGAGCAGAGGCTTGGGTGGGAAAGCACCAGGTGCATCCAGGGAACAAGCAGCTGGTTCTGGGAACCGGAAGTTACAGGTGATGTTTGAGAGAGCAGTTTTTTTTTTTTTTTTTTTTTCCAGTTCAGGGCAGAAGGCACCTGTAAGAGTGAAGGAAGGAGGAGGAAAAGAACTGGCAGAGGCTGCAAGGTCAGATGGCTCTTCAGAAGGCCTGAAATGGAGTTGAAAGACAGGGCAGCTCATTCTGCAGCAACCCCCATATATTTTCTTCTGAATTTTGAAGGGTTGTGTGAGCTGACTTCCTTAATATCAGGCCAGACATCTTGGTGTCCGTGTGAGAGGTTAGACTAGGGGGAAACAGAGGAGAACCTTAGAAGGGAAGGCTCCTTTCTCTGTCACACCTCAAAATTTAGTGAGTCTCTGCTGAGTCCAATAGGAAGTCCTAGGAAAAATGTGTGACTCAGGTTGGATGGACCCCAGACCACCAGCCTGCAGCTCTGATCTTACTGGAGAAGTAAGACTCATCTCTAGTTTTACTGAGTGACATAGTCAAGTCCTGACCAATCTGGGCCTCATTTTTCTGGTCTTGTGCATGGTGCTATTACCTTCCCTACATACACAAGATCCAATTACAATCTAAGGTGCTCATGTCTGTGAAAGCACTTGCAACATTTTTTTTTTTTGGTACTGGTGTAAGATGGTAGTGTGAGTCATAAGTTACAGGTTTTTTAATAAGCTCTTTGCTCCACTGGTCTAAAATATAGAATCTGAGACTCTAGGGGTTATTTTAAACTCATAGATCCATAGAATGTAAACACTGAAAGGGACTTTTTAGTACCATCTAAACTCCCCTTGGTGAAAGGCAGCACACCATCGTGGTTAAGAGTGTAGATGCTGAAATAGATTCAGTAGATGCAAATTTCATCTCCACTACTTAATAGTTACATGATTTTGAACAAGACTATTTTAACCTCTGTGTGCCTCAGTCTCCTCATTTATAAAGTGGGGGTGAAAAATGCTCTCTAGCTCATAGAATTGTTGTGAGCTTGAGTTTGTATGTGTAATGCCTTGAGAACAGCACCTGTGTGTAATAAGTACCATACGCACCGTGATAGCTAGTTCGACTGACTTGTTTTTCACATGAGGAAACAGAAATCTAGTGAGGTGAACTGACTTGCTCAAGGCACTTATTTGCCCAGTGGCAGGGCCAGGACATTAGAATGTGTTTCCTGACTCCCAGGTCAGTATCTTTCTATTTCCTCTCAGTGTTCTCTGTTGATTCAGTCAGCATAATTTGCTTTTGGTAAAAATGTTTAAATGAAGAAAATTATGCCAAAATCTTTCAGGTGTTTTCAATGGGGAAAAAAATCATGGAACTTCAGGGAGAAGGAAGGGTCTCTCAGAAGGACCTCTGTAAAATCTGTCCTTTGACTTGCACGTGGGCCACTGAGGAGAGAACGTCTGGTCTTTCACTGACAACATCTCTCAAATAGCCTTCATAGCATCCTAACTTCGAACAAATGTAGAGTTTCCAGATCACAGCTGGATAAAAAGCAATATTTCAAATAATAATACTCTTTGTAGTAGTCATTGGCTAAATTTATGTATTTTTATTTTTATATCTCATAACAATCGTGGAGGTTGGATGAATTATCTTTATTTAAAAATGAAGGCAAGGTAAGGTGGTTCACACCTATAATCCTAACACTTTGGGAGGCCGAGGCAGGAGGATCGCTTGAGGCCAGGAGTTTGAGACCAGCTTGGGCAAAGTAGTGAGGCCCTGTCTTGACAAAAAATTTTTAAAAATTAGCCAGGCATGGTGGCGTGTGCCTGTAGTCCCAGCTACTGACTCAACATCTCTAGTGGTGAGGTCAATAAATCTGTATTTCTTCTGCATGCAAAAATTTGAGCAGCACTGTGCTACAAGCCTTCTTCCCAAGTCCCATTCTGTGTTAGCCCTGGAAGAGCCCAAGCTTTAGGACAGAGATGCCAGGAACTGAGCACTTATCACTTATTTGGCACTGGGGCCTGATGCTGTGGGCCATGCCACTTCCCTACCATTTTCTGTAACCACTCAACAACTGCTAAAGAAGGTTCTCAGGCTCTTTAGGAAAGAGCCTTACATTCTGTATGCGAAGACAATGATCAGAAGGGATGACAACTCACATCTATTTCTGGAGTATGAGGAAGAATCAATTGTAATTGTGAAAATACCTCCATGTTAAACCTTCCAGTAACACTTTTACTACAAAATAGGAAAGAGAGAAGCTTACTGTGGACACAGAACTCAATGTCTCTGGATATCAAGGGAAAATAAAGGAGCTTTAAAAAACAGAAGCAGCCAAGGGCAAGTGGTCGAATCTCTTGCCTAAAGAGGAAGAATGTTTGTGTCCCCTTTGAAATGAGTGAAAATATACAACCTGTTGTGTTGCCAGATGCTTTGACCTAATACGTCCCAGGTACTATGCTTTTAATTTGTTGATGACTCAAAGAGCACTCATAGAGTGATCTGGCAGAATACAGGAAGATGATTTTTGCCATTGCTTTTAATGGCAAAAACAGCAATTACTTTTGCACAAATGTAATGTTAATAATTACTTCTAGATATCTCTGTCATTAAAATGCCTGAAATGCCATTGTTAGAGATGCATTACTTATGGCTAAATGCTTCATCCAGGCATCTTTCCTAGCAGATCTGGGGAAATATGGCCTATTGACATTAAAATCCCATTGTGAGATGGGACTCTGGAGAACTGGAGCATGTGGGGATATTGGGGTGGAGATTGGAAAGGGGGGAAGCTTTGCAGAAAGGAAAATAATAACTTTCTTAAGGTTTACCTTGTGTGAATCCATCACTCTTTCTAATACTTTGTGAAGCTCCAGCTAACCAGACCAGAGCCAACTTTTAGAGTTGACAGCCCTGCCTTCATCAAATGCCCCTGGTCAGAGAACCCTGAGCAGAGACACAGTTGGTCCCTTTGACTTTGGTCTGTGATTGAGGAAACGGCAATTTCTTTTACCAGTGGGCCATTGCTGCCAACCAGCTGTGGGCATTGCTAGATCTTCCTCTCTTCACCTGGTAATATGCAGCCAGGTCACATGCCAGACCCTGACGTATGCCTCCTTCAGTTTCTGATCTCCTTTTCCAAATATCTCCATCACCTACCATCCACATCTGTAATTGTACTCTATGAGTCTTGAAGACTTCAGAAATCACTTATAATATGAAATATAGCTGCATGTGATCATATTTTATTTTCTGTTATCTTCCTTAAACATGACTTAATAATTCAGCAGATACTAATAGATGGTCATTGAGAACAAAAAGGAGACAATTTGGGAATATTATGATACAATGATGCCAAAATATTTTGCTCACAGAGGACTTTGCAGAGCTGTAGAAAGGACAATAAAAAATAAAGTGAAAAAAAAATTACCAAAATGAATACTAAGTTATTCTTGTATGTAAAATATGTAAAAGAGTAGTGTTGTAAGAGGCCCCAGAATTTGTAAATGGGAATAACTTAAGGTATTGGGTTTTTTCTTTAAAGTTGCTATTTAATAGGATTCAGATACTTAGATGCATTTTCTATAGCTTCAGTGTATATATGTATATATGTTATATGTAACAGGTATATGACATATGTATATTTATTACATGTATTTATTTAATTTAGATATAGCAGAGGATAAAAATGGAGGAATTTCTGAAGGAACTGGATTGTAAACCAACCTTTCGAAGAAGCAGGTATTGAAAGAGAAAATTGCCATTTAGAGGGGATGGCATAAGCTCATGGAGGGGGAAATCACACACGAGGGGGCTACAGGCTGCTTGAACAAGGCACAGTGGCCAAAGGGGCGAGGCTGGGGGTGTGAAGTTCAAGCCAGGTGGAGGGAGCAGCTGATGAAGCAATCTGTAGGGGCAGCCTTGGTGTGGATATGGAGGGTTCCCAGTAAGCTCCTGGGCAGAAGGATGACTCCATATGAAGACTGTGAAATTGGCACTGGACAGACAGCTGGGTCAGGGCTGTTGAGGGAGACAGGGGACTGGAGGGAAATAAAGTGTCTGGTTGATCTCCAGCCATACACAGGTGAGTCTGACAAAGTGGGCAGAAATAATGTCTCCACCTCTTTCAGGGTGGGTGTGGAGGGTCTGCTCTCATTTCCCTCATCTAGGCAATTTCTTGGATAAAGATGAAGAGACTCGGAGGGATGGTTCCCTCTAGGTAAGGCTTTAGAGTGGGTCAGGTGGTCCTTTTCAGATGGCCCTTGCCCCTCCCTGCAGAAGGGGCTCAGGCTCCCTTCTGTGCATCTTTTTTTGAGATGAACTATTAGGAAACCCATCGTGTTCAGGGAGCTGTGTCTTTTGCCTTGTGGTAGAACAACGACACATGCATTCTGGCTGATGTCTGGCTCCATTTTTGGAACCCATAACAATTATTCCTTTAAAATTCCAGATTGAAATGGAGAACTGAAATCTGAAAGTGGCTCTTCAAATGAGTGGGGCAATGTGTTTTAAGCCTTTAATCTCGAAAGATTCCACTCACCTCCTCCAATTATTTTAGAGGCTGACTTTCTCTGAGAATAGAGAAGCAAAGAGAGGAAACTCATTTTAATCTAATGTACTCTTAGTCAGTTTAGGGGGCTAAGGCCACAATTGGTGTTTGAAGGGAAAAAAAAATAGACCCCCAAGTGTAGCCAGGAAGGCTTCCATTTTCTTCTCAGCCTTAACGCACCCTCAGGAAATGATTGAAGCCTGGGAAATTATGAATATCAGACTAATTGAACAGGAAAACCAGTGAACAGCTGCAATTTTCTATCATGGATTTTTTTTTTTTAAATTTAAGAGATAGGAAACCTTTTTATGCATTGGGTTTTCCAAATTGATTTCAAGAGTATATTACCCTAATATGTAGCAATTTTACACAATAAAAATTGGCTTTCTACTTGGAATTTTAGGCATGAGAGTTGCATCATGATTGTTATACTTATTCGTTCTCTGATGAAAGAAAAGAAGATTGAACATTAAAAGCTGAAGGTCATCCATACAGTTGTCCCAATAGCAATCTGTGTACCTTTAACCCTGAGGAGGAAAAGTAATTACCCTATGGCTTCTGGTGACCTCAACTAACCTTTGCTGAAGGGCCAGAGAAAATAAAAGCTGACCATCAGCCTGCCCTGGTTGCCCTGGGCTTAACCTGCTGTGTGAATGAAGAACAACCCAACAATAGGATGAGAGGATGTTGCCATGGAAATAGCCCTGGACGAAGGAGCAAAAATCAGAAATTTATCACAATTAATTGTTCTATTAAGAACCTCCCATCTTTTGGATTATTCCCTGGGGGTAGGGAGGGAAGATGTGTTCTCATTTAGATCTTATGAGAGAAAATTATGCTTGCATAAATGAGGCAGCCCATAAAGTAAAACCATTCTAAGTAGTGACGAGAATTGGACAGCTTTGTGAGAGACGGAAGGATCTATATCTCCTCATAATCTATAAAGATGCAAATGCAAACAGCCAGGACGAGGGCCAAAGAACCTCATTCTATCAGGGGAACCAGGTGAAGTGTGGGTCTGGACATACGTCTTTTTCATATTTTCAGTAGACTGTTGCCTGTGCTTTCATGCCTTGGCAAGGTCTGCAAAGTACAGGTAATGATATTTTAACAGTACAGAAATGTGTTGTCATATTTTATTCTGCTTATTTAGCCTTTCTGTTAAATAGAATCCAAGTTCTATGTATTTTTAACGTGAGCTTGTTTAGATCAGAAAATAGAAGCTTGCTATCCGATTATGTTCAGATTAAACTAGACTAATCCATGATGCTCTGGGTGCCATAGACTAATTGCAGAAAAAAGAAATGGAGTGAGAAATAGTTCCTTTATGGAGAACCTACAAGTTATCTCTTAGGTAGAAGCAGACGTATTTAAAAGTAATAATATTTTTATTTTTAACATGAGAATGTTTTCATTTTTATTCATCATACGAAGATGAAATTAGACTTTAAAAATGTGGATTTTTTTGATCAGTTCTTTCATTTATTTGTATTAAGTGGATTAATTAATTATTGAGCAACGGACTGTATGTCAACTTAACTTCTTTTTTGCATAACAGATAGCAATATGAAACACTATTTTCTGTATTTCCTAAATAGTGAGTTACTCATGTTAATCAGTTTTTAAAATAATTTGTGGTGCTAAAACAAAGCAGGTGGTTAAGCTCAGACATTGATTTTCTCTTTAAGGGGTACTTCATCAGTGAAATTTTAACCACCGATGAAGGAGAATATAAACCATAGTAGGCGTTCACTGAAGACTCTTCCTTACAATGAGAAGATATGTTTTTCTGTCACAGCATAAGATGCCAACATGAGTTTTATCCATGAATATATGAACCTATGAATTTTAACTCCAGATGTTGATAGGAAATTAATCTCATACTGGGAAGCATTATCAGCTTTCATTAGAACTTGGGAAGTTTACATTTAGTAGAAATAAACTTTTTAAATGAAGGGACATGTGTTGGAAATTCTGTTAACTAACAATGAAATCCAGCTCTTGGGCTTCTTGTTTACCCATCTGCTCTCTGCAGTTAGTTTATTACTCGTTTGGTGCGATTCTGGTATGGTTAGGGCCAGGATTCTGTTTGCTAACCCCCCAGGTACCTGTGGTTGGAAGGCCCATCTCAAATAATATAATAGACTTGGCCAGACTCATTCAACTCTCTTTGTGGCCTTTGGCAGGCTTTTAAGCTTTTTCTCTGCTATAGATAATAGTTTTTCTTAAGTGGCAGCAACATAGCTCTAAAAATACATCTACAGTAAGGTCCTAGTTGTACTTACCTTATAGTTCAGCAGCACCTTGCTGGTGGTGATCATGCTTCTTAATTTCCATTTGCTTTAGTTTGCTGGTAAGCACATACCTGCTTGTAGGGTGCTAAGAGTGTTCTTTCTGGCTGAGATGTTTGCAGCGTTGGCCTTCGTCTTTATAGTTCTCACTTTATTTGGAACCTCTCCAGGTTTTCTCTGTTTATTAACCCTCACCTGGATGGCTTGGCTGAGGCAGCGGAACCAAAAGTAAAGATGGTAATGGGTTTCTGTTGTTTTACCTGTTTGGGCCAATAGAAGAATGAAAGGGAGAATGATGATCAAGATCAAAATGTAAAAAACAGTGCTAATCTTTCCTTACATAGAGAGAGGCAGCAGATATCTACCTGGTCTCCCCCATTTAAAACGATTATGCATAATTTCTGCTGGTTTGGATAATCAGTTCTGTATTATAATTATGGAAAGATATTTAATTATGTACAGTTTACTTATGGACTACATTTTTATTGTTCTCAATTTTGTTCAGAGGAAAAAAATTATATATATTTAGTGAAGTTTACATAGAAATCTTGCCAAAATAATTTTGTAAGGAATAAGGTAGATCAAATCTCTCAATGACTAGACATTTAAGTGCAGACATGAGAGTATTTACTGATTTATAACTAATAAAGCTTCAACTTAACTGCTCTTTAATGACACCTATAAAAATGGTATTAAAGTGTGACGAGCAATTTAAAAGACAAGGACTACTGAGAAGAGTTTTTTATATTTTTGTAGCTATCTGCACTTTATTTTTAATCTTTTATTCTATGCGTGCAGACTTAACTATGAAATAAATCCACAAACTCTTCAATGTAAATGAGGAGCTAAATACAGAATGTAAGAATCACAAAAATAATTATGTCATAAATGAAAGTAAAAATTAGATGATAATATGTGTGTGGAAAAATGCCAAAAATTGCCAGCCACTACACTTTGAATGTACATATTAAAAAACCAACATGGCATTTTGTGAAGAGAGTTCAAGATAATTTTTATAGGGTTAACATTACATATTTTAAACAGCATGGTATTTTGTCAGTAGAGTTTAAGATAATTTATATAAGGTAAACATACAAAATTTTAAAATTGCATGGCATTTTGTCAAGAGAGTTTATGATAATATTGGGTTGAGTAGACACTTTCAACTGAAAGGGGAAAAACTATTTTAACAGTTTTTGGGTGTTAACACTACCAGCTCCAAATTAAGCAAACATTAACGACGTGACATTATTCTGACATACTCAGTCTTTAAAATATCTTTCCATGGATTATGTGTGGTGTAATGAATCATATATAGAATATAGGATATTTTAGCGGAATATCAAACTGTGGTGTTAGTACTGTGTCTGGGTTAAAGAATGTGAAAACATCATAAAAAATTATATGGCATCAGTGTTCCTCATCAAAGGACATAATTCAGTCTTGTTCAACAGACTGATGGAAATGATATGCTGTCAACCTTTCTACGTTTTCAAGCACAATGTATAAAGAAGGTAACTCATGAAAACAAATTTAGATCCATTTAAATACACCACAGAAAACAAAGATATTCCAAAGAAATAGTCAAATTTGCTTCTCATCAAGTCCTGCAAGGTTCATCCTGGGTTGAAGCAGGGAGTAGGAATTTTATAAACGATTATGTTATTTAATAAACATATATATATATATATCTCCATATATATTATGTCATCCTGAAGCAAACGATTAACCCAGTTTAAAGTCACAACTACTAGAATTCAATATACAATAGTACCAGGTATCCAGCTGTGAAGTAGCTGGGCTTAGGGCTTTCTACTTCCACCTCCCCACCACAAGCACATAACTACAGTTCATATCTAAGCTTTGAGTAAGAATATCAGCTACCCTAAAAGTTACCTTCAGGATGGAATACCTTTAAATGCTGCAGCGCCCTGGATTTCCAGTTAACCAAACTATATTTCCAGCAGAAACTCCTGGGGTATAGAGTAGTTCTCGTCTGTAAGCCCTTCCCGCTGGTCTTCTTAGGAAGCGTTGCTGGAGCGCTTTATTTATTTATTTTTAATCCTGTTGATAATTTGACTCTCTGTCAACTAATGCTTGCCGACTCATCACTAGCCTTTCTTAGGGTGGAGATGACTGGAAGGTTGAAGGACTGCAGGCCATACATCATTCTCCCCTTCTCAGTGCACCTTAATGTGAACATGGCATCATGACTCTGAGGAAAGGAGGGGAAAGCTGAGCCATCAGATATTCCATAAATTGCAGGCTTTCCCTGTGTCCTGTAGTGCCGGAAAGGGGGATTATTGCTGCAGAAAAAAAAAAAAATCTGGCCACACCGTAGAAATGATCACTGCAGTCGAGCTCCCTGCTATCTCCCCCTGTTTTTTTTCTCTCTCGTTCTCTCTCTGTGTCTCTTCCTCTCTCTTTTTCTTGCTCTCTGTACGAGGCCCCAGCTGATTCAGGCTGCATCCAACCATACATAAATCATTCCCCTTATTCTATTGGTTACATGGTACATGGCAAGTATTGATTTTTTCCGTTGCCTCATTGCTGGAGAACACTTGGTTTTTGTGAGACAGAAAAAGAAAAAACCAAACCAAACCAAAGCAAACAAAAAAACCCTCACCAGAGTTTTGTCTAGATAAGAAATAATCAGGTAGATGTGTACCATGCTGATGATAAGTGCATTCTAAAAAGAGCATACTTTTGGGAGGCCTTTTACTGTCTATTTGCATGTTCCCAATATCTCCTGTCTCAAAATTAAAAAAAATAAGAATTGCTTCTAGTGGTGGAGAGCTCTGGGCTAAGGAAGTAGGAAGGATACACACAGAGAGAGATCCTCTCTAATTGTTCAGGGTAAGGAGGCAACTAATTGATCACTGCTAACTCCAGGAAAAAAAGAAAGTTTAGTGAAAACACAACTCACTCACAAAACAGGAATAAAGAGGCAAACATGATGCCTCATGGCCAAATGACAACATACACGACAGGAAGAAAGAGATGTTTGCCTAGGTTTATTTTGTGTGGTGATAAAATGTTCAATTGCGCCTTGTTTGTGTGAAGTATAAATGTAAAACACTGTCAAAATACTGTGTCTTGTAATACTCAGGGGCGGGAAATAGCAAAAAAGCAAATGTGTCTTAGTTTAGGATTCTGACATTTAATTCTTCAGAACCTAAGTTAAAACACACAGGAGTCTTAATATTTGTCACCAAGAGCCATTTGTTTTAAAGTGATAGTGGCTCTTGGACTCTATCCAAAGAGGTTTTATTCCTGAAATATCAAAATGACTTCTTTATGAGGTAATGCTGTCCAAAGGAGCATCCCAATATATGAGGAAATTGTTATAACGAGGAGATCATTATAGGAAGGTGATAGTGCTAATATAAGATATGACAAGATGGTAAAAACCCACTTTCATTTTATGAGCCTATGTTACAACTGATTATTAATCTAAGAAAGGGCGAAGTTTAAGAACAAAACAATTCAGTGAGTTACACAGGTGGCAGGGTATTTGTGTTTTTTTCTTTTTTTTGAGAGGGAGTCTCACTCTGTTGACAGTCTGGAGTGCAGTGGCGCCATCTCGGCTCACTGCAACCTCCGCCTCCTGGGTTCACGCCATTCTCTTGCCTCAGCCTCTCGAGTAGCTGGGACCACAGGCATCCGCCACCACGCCTGGTTAATTTTGTTTTTGTATTTTTAGTAGAGACAGGGTTTCACTGTGTTAGCCAGGATGGTCTCAATCTCCTGACCTCGTGATCCGCCTGCCTCGGCCTCCCAAAGTGCTGGAATTACAGGCGTGAGCCACCGCACCCTGCCAATTTTTGTATTTTTGGTAGAGGCAGGATTTTACAGTGTTGGCCAGGATGGTCTCGATCTCTTGACCTCATGATCTGCCCGCTTCAGCCTCCGGTGGCAGGGTATTTTGTTTTGTGTTCTACTTAGAGCTGTCAACTAATAAATTTACCATGCAAGTGAGAAGTGTAATGGCTTCTTTAACCTACTTTATGAAGTTAAAACATTTCTTTTAAACAAGCCTTTACTCCTTACATAAACAGGGTCCATTAAAGTTAAACTGTCAGAAGCCTCACAAGTCAGACTATGATTTCTCCTTTTTTTTCTTCACAAAAGTTGTGCTGGAGGATTCTTTTTGTCTTTTTGGTCTGTGAGTTTACTTTGTGGCCCTTGGTCCTTAATCCATGTTTATGGTAAGTTCTGCCCAACAGAGGATTCTGTGGAGTTGAGCTGCGAGGGGCTCAACCTGCTAACGCAGGTTAGAGCTGTGGCCAGCCCTTTGAGTGTTTAGCCTCTCAATGCACGGAATACTACTCATCTCTCTTCTCTTTATCAATCTCTTTTATTGAAGCACCCAGAGCTTCTCTTTTTACATTTAAGTGCTGGTTTATCTAAATGTCCATTTCAAGGGAAACCATGAATTAAGATTTGGGAGAAGGCCTTAGGAAAACCTGCATGGAATTTTGTAGATATTAATGTTTCGTTGTTTTGTTTGTTATAGTTTGGGGCTCCAGACCACTGCTTATTTTCTCAATCATCTCATATCCATGTACTGGGGAGAGTAAGACTGCCTGTCAACTTACCTAGATGGCGAAAGAGTTCCTAAAGGACTTTGAGCACTTTGAATTTAAAAGGAAACGGACAAGAAAATGACAAAAACCATAGGCAACGCTTTGAACCTGACCTTTTTATTTTTTTCTTTTCTCTGCCTCATCCTTTCCTAAGTCAACAACTTGAACATCTTTCTTGACCATTAGTTGTTGCCAGTGGTTCGCTGGGCCGAGGGGAAGCTGCAGAGCTAAACACCCATGCCTCCTCCAAACGCAGTGGGCTCACTGGGCAAACATACAGGCATAAAAACTTCTGCGCAAGTAGAGGTGCATGTCACACACAGTATAGGTTTCTGCTGTGTAACTCTAGTACTCTCTATAGGTCTGTTTCTCTAGAAAAATCATATAAGAACCTTAAGTAATGAATACCAAAAGTGCTCTTCGTTTCAATGTTTTATTTTCATTCACTCTAACAAGATTTTAACTGACAAGCAGAGCCTTGCCCACAGTGGACACTAAACAGGCATTTGTTTGTTTAGTTTGGTACAGTGTGGGCTCCAAAGGAGAGGTAACTATAACCAAGGCTAGCAATTATTATGCACTTGGGGGGTCACATGTATTATTTCATAGCAACCCTGTTTTTAACCAACCTTATTTTTATGCCCATTTTAAAAAATGAGGGCATTGAGGCAGAGAGAGGCCAGGTAATTTGCTGAAGGCCACCTTGCAAATCAAAGGTGGAGTTGTGTTTCAGACCCTGTTGCTGTTAACCATCACCCAGTGAGGTGGGGCAGTGGCTGCCTGGCAGAGGCCCTTTTTGCCAGCTGGGAGTCTTGAGCAAGAGCTTCAGCAAGAGCATAGCTTCTGTGCTGGACTTGAAGCACATTGTATCCCATGATTTTCATATTCTGTGGGTATACGTTGGTTCACTATGAAAAAAAGAAATCTTTAAAATTTCCTAATGGCGATTGCCATTGAAAGGAATTTCTTTGTGAACGCTTTTGAACATGAGTATCATTTTTGGGAGGAAAATGTCTACCTGCTAACTATTTGGTGTGGTATAGCTAATGTGAGGCTCACGCATGGAAGAAGTGATGGTGGCAGGGCCCCAGCACATGAGAGTCCCAGATAGAACCCACACCCTGCTCTGAGGAACCGTGATTTTCCACAGAAAGTGGTAAGAATGCTCAGTTGAATTAATAGGTTTTTCCGAGAACCCAAACACCACTCTTTCTTTTATCTCTTCTACTGAAACACTGCCGGGGAAACAACATAGTGAGTGGGGCTTACCTTAGATGATCTCCTGTAACATCAGGTCATAATGGCTTCAAAATTTTAAGGTAGGAAGAAATGTAGTTGAGAAGCTGGTTGTTGATGTTGTCTGCAGCAAACTCCTTAGAGGAGGAAGATGGCTCAAACCTATTCTGAGGGGACTAAACTGAGGTTTTCCTGCCAGAGTCCCCTCTTACCCAGTGCTCTTGGTCTCTGTAACCGAACATTTATGCTTAAGTATTGAGGGCAAGTATGTATTTCAAAATGTAAACTAAATAATAATAATAATAAAGTTGGTAACTGACGTGGGCACACATCACCAGGCATCCATTTACCTTTCTTCTCATCACATTCCTGCCATTGTTTTTGCTCTTCTTTGTGCCCATCTGATGGATATATTGGCCAATTCCCAAACTAAGATCTGGAAGGGACATTATGACAGTGGCTACCTTAGAGCATATCCCAAGAAATACTGCTGCCCAGCCATTTGCTTACTCCTGGACTGCATTAGCAGTTGATAAGTCCCAGTAAACAGGGCTGTCCCAACTTATCGGCACTCATTTCATGGCCTGGGTAGAAAAACAAAAGAGGTGTGAATGGGCTGTGGGAGAAGACAATGTAACCAATACCCTGTGTTCTAAAACTGGACCAAAAAGAACCAGGGAAAGACATTTTACCTGAATTCATTGCTTAGCAACAAAGACATTACCTCCAGAGAATGCTGTCCTATAGCTTACCGAGTAACTGGCTGTGACAATTACCAAACAGCTGGCCTACTAATCTACATACCCTTTAACCCCAGCCAGCTGAAAAGGGACCATGGACAGTTCACAAACAATAGACACACGTCTAATGTTTTATTTAAGAGCTGACAGAAGTCACAGCTGTATGGGTCCTGCAGCCACTTGGCTTGAACTGTTGTAACTTGGATGTCCTGCCCTCCAGGGTCTGTGGCACGTGAAGAAACAGTTTCTACCAGAAGGCAACCTGGTGGAGCTTTAGGGAGGAAATACTTCTTGTAACTAACCCCAAAGTGCAAAATTTTGTTGAGGAGGAAGAACTGGATGCAAAGAGTCATTTAAAGGCAAAATAAAATCTGCTTTTTCCCAATTTCTAATTGATAAATACTGAGTTGGCCTGGCAATGGAATATCATATACAACAGATTAGAGACTTATGATATTGTTAGATATAAACAGTGCTTAGCACAATTTTGACTCTAGGAGGATTAGATTCAGATATTTTTACTCTAAAAGACCACATTATAAGCTGGGATTTCTTACTAAGTAATTTATTTTCTGGGACTCTGAGAAAAAACCATCAAACCAAGATACATTTGTCTGCATATATTATTTACATGCATATCTTGAGGATTTTTAATTCCTAACATCTGAAAGTACTTTCCTCTGTATCTGTGAACCCTCAAAATGTCTACTTGCAGGCTGACATGAAGGTCAATCTATTGCATGATGGACTGTCCAGAATAATTTAGAGGAGGCCTCCCTACAATCCCCTGCCCCACCTGCCTCCATAAGACCCACTGCCTCCATAAGAAATAGAGTCTCTCAGACTCTATTTCTAGTAAATGGAACTATAAAGTGCTGAAATTGGTCTTTAAAAATGAACATGCCAGAACCTCCAGCCTCCACCACTAAGTCATGAGTCGTCATTCTTGGAAGTTTTACTTCCATTTCAGTTGTGCTGGTATTAAGTGAGACATCTTAGGAACTCTTTGGAACTTGTTTACCATCACATAAGGAAGCCCATTATCTTACTTTATAGTCATGTTTCATTTTGGAGAAACAAGAAAAAAGGCCAATAAAAAAGGAAAAAATCTGACCCCGCTTACCGGAATGGCACAGTAGTAGTGCAGTTTGATGATCGGAGTTTTGTTTAAAATAATGTGTTTTAATGGATTAATGGCCTTTCAGCTTTAGAAGATAATCCGAAATGATGTGTTGAATGCTAAAATGTAGTCAGACAGCCCTTGTAGATCCTAGCATTTCTAGGATTTCACGTAATATTTTTAGCTCTGCACATTGTAGAGGTGCTAGCTTTTCTATACATCTATAAATATACTGGTTATTTTTGGTGATGAAGTTTTTTAAAATCATCTTTGGGAAGCAATTCAAATATCACACATTTTCTACAAGTACATGACTCTCTGGGTATTCCCTAGCTATTTCATCAATTAAGTTAGTAGGTCCAATATGAATAATAGCTGCCATGCATTAAGTGCCTACAGTGTACCAGTCACTTTACAGGCATACCTCAGAAATATTGTGGGTTTGGATCCAGATCACTATAAACAAGTGAGCCACACAAATTTTTTGTTTCCAATTGCATATAAAAGTAATGTTTATACTATACTTTAGTCTGTTAAGTGCATAATAGCATTATATTTTAAAAAATAATGACCATACCTTCAGTTAAAAATATTGCTGAAAAATGCTAATGATCATCTGAGCCTTCAATGAGTCATAATCTTTTTGCTGGTGGAGGGCCTGGCCTTGATGTTGATGGCTGCTGACTGATCAGTGTGATAGCTGCTGAAGATAAGACCACAAATAAGTTTGACACATAAATTGACTCTTCCTTTCATGAAAGATTCCTCTGTAGCATGGAATGCTATTAGATAGCATTTTACCCACAGTAGAATTCTTTCAAAGTTGGAGTCAATCATCTCTGACCCTGCTGCTGCTTTATTAACTAATTTTATGTAATAAAATAAGTTACATAATAGTCTAAATCCTTTGTCATTTCAACAATTTTTATAGCATCTTCACCAGGAGAAGATTCTATCAGAAGAAACCACTTTCTTTGTTCATCCATAAGGAGCAACTCCTCATCTGTGAAAATTTTATCACGAGCTTGCAGCAATTCAGTCACATCTTCAGGCTCCACTTCTAATTCTAATATTATTATTTCCACCACATCTGCAGTTTTTCCTGTAGTAAAATCTGGAACCTCTCCAACTCATCCATAAGGGTTGGGTCAACTTCTTCCAACTCCTGATAATGTTGATATGACTCCCTTTCATGAATCATGAATGTTCTTAATAGCATCTAAAATGGTGAATCCGTTCCATAGTTTTCAATGTACCTTGCCCAGATCTATCAGAGGAATTTCTATCTGTGGCAGCTAAAGCCTTACAAAATGAATTTCTTAAATAATAAAACTTGAGAGTTAAAATGACTTCTAGATCCCTGGGCTACAGAATAGATGTTGTGTGAGCAGGCATGAAAACAACATTCATTTCTTTGTATACCTCCATTACAGCTCTTGGATGACCAGTGCATTGTCAATGAGGAGTAATGTTTTGAAAGGAATCTTTTTTTTTTTTTCCTAGCGGTAGGTCTCAACAGTGGGCTTAAAATAGTCAGTGAACCATGCAGTAAACACATGTGTTGTCATCCAGGCTTTTTTTATTCCATTTATAGAGCACAGGCAGAGTAGATTTAACATAATTCCTAAGGGCTGTAGGGTTTTCTGAATGGCATATGATAATTGGCCTAAACTTAAAGTCACCAGCTGCATTACCCTCTAAAAAGAGAGTCCGTTCTTTGAAGGTTTGAAGCCAGGCATTGATTTCTCATCTCTAGCTATGAACATCCTACCTGTCACCTTCTTCCTAGAGAAGGCTGTTTTACCTATGTTGATAATCTGTTGTTTAGTGTAGCCATCATCATCAATCATCTTAGTTAGATTTTTCTGGAAAATTTGCTGCAGTTCCTATATCAGCACTTGCTGCTTCGCCTTGTACTTTATTTTATGGAGATGCTTCTTTCCTTAACTCTCATGAACTAACCTCTGCCACCTTCATACTTTTCTTCTGCACCTTCCTTACCTCTCTCGACCTTTACAGAATTGAAGAGAGTTAGTACCTTGCTCTGGATTAAGCTTTGGCTTGAAAGAGTGTTGTACCTGGTTTGATCTTCTATCCAGACCACTCAAGCTTTCTCCCTATCAGCAATAAGGCTGCTCTGCTCTCCTATTATTCGTGTGTTCACTGAAGAAGCACTTTTCATTTCCTTCAAGAACTTTTTTTTTCCATTCAGAACGAACTGTTTGTGCAAGATGCCTAGCTTTGGTCTATCTTGGCTTTCAGCAGGCTTTACTCACTAAACTTAATAATTTCTAGCTTTTGATTTAAAGTGAGGAACATGTGACTTTTCCTTTCACTTGAACAATTAGAGATCATTGAAGATTATTAATTGGCGTAATGTCAATATGGTTGTGTCTCACGGAATAGGGAGCCCAAAGAAAGAAAGAGAGACAGGGGCATGGCCAATTGGTGGAGCTATCAGAACACACACAGCATGTATTTATTAAGTTCTCCATCTTAATATGATGCACTTGATATGAGCACTGTTTGTGGCACCCCCAAAATTGTAATAGTAAAATCAAAGATTGCAGATCACACATCACCAAAGCAGACATCATCATAATAATAATACATTTGAAATATCGCAAGCATTACCGACATGTGACACGGAGACATGAAATGAGCAAATGCTATTGGAAAAATGGTGCCAATAGGCTTTCTCAATGCAAGGTTGCCCCAAACCTCTTTGTAAAAAACCTCTTTTTAAAAAACACAGTATCTGCAAAGTGCAATAAAGCAAAGAGCAATAAAATGAGTTTTGCCTGTATATATTTCACTTAAAATTCTTAAACCAGTTCTGCAAGATGTTGTCACCTGCATTAAAAAATTTGTTTTGATTTTTAGATCCCATAAATGAGAATATGTGACACATAATAATTGTACATATTTATAGAGTACATGTGATATTTTGATACCTATATACAATGTATAATGATCAAGTCAAGTTAATTGGTATATCCATCACCTCAAACATTTATTATTTCCCTGTGTTGGGAATATTCAAAATTCTTTCATCCAGATAATTTGAAATATACAGTAAATTATTGTTAACTACAGTCACCCTGCTGTGTTACAGAACATTAGAACTTATTCCTCCTACCTAATTGTAATTTTGTAGCTGTTAACCAATCTTTTCTTATCCCTCTCTCCTCTTTCCATTCTCAGTCTCTCGTAACCACTGTTCTACTTTCTGCCTCCATAAAATCCACTTTTTTAGCTCCCACATATGAGTGAGAATATGTGATATTTGTCTTTCTGGCTTATTTCACTAACACAGTGTCTGCCAGGGTCGTCTGTGTTTTTACAAATGACAGGATTTCATTCTTTTCCATGGCTGAATAATATTCCATTGTGTATATATACCACACTTTCTGTGTCCATTTATCCATTGATGGACACAGGTTTATTTCATATTTTGCCTGCTGTAAATAGTGCTGCAATAAGCAGGGGAGTGTAGGTAGCTCTGACATATTGATTTGCTTTCCTCTGGATATACCCCCAGTAATGGAATGACTGGATCATATTATATTTCTATTTTTAGTTTTTTGGCTAACAGCCATACTGTTTTCCATAATGGCTGTACTAATTCACATTCACATAAACAATCCATAGTAGTTCCCCTTTCTCCACATTCTTGCCAACATTTGAATTTTTTGTCTTTTTTATAATAGCCATTTTACTGGTAAGATGATATCTCATTGTGTTTTTGATTTGCGTTTCCCTCAACAAAAAATGTTGAGCATTTTTGTCATAGACCTGTTGGCCTCTTTTAAGAAAATGTGTATTTAGAGTGTTTGCTCATTTTTTAATTGGATTTTTTTGTCTTTGCTACTGATGTCTGAGTCTTTATATACACTAGATATTAATCCCTTGTTGGATCGACAGTTTGTAAATATTTTCTCCGAATCTTTAGGTTGTCTCTTCACTCTGTTGATTGTTTCCTTTGCTGTACAGAAGCTTTTTAGTTTGACATAATCCCATTTGCCTATTTTTGTTTTTGTTGCATGTGCTTTGAGATGAATCTAAGAAGTCTTTACCCGGACTAATGTTCTGAAGTATTTCCCCTATGCTTTTGTCTAGTAGTTTGATAGTTTTGGGACATATGTTTAAATCTTTAATGCCTTTTGAGTTGATTTTTGTACATGGTGGGAGGTAAGGGTCTAATTTCATTCTTTTGCATGTAGATATCCAGTTTTCTCAAAACAGTTTATTGAGGAGATTGTTCTTTCCCCAATTTTTGTTCTTGATGCCTTCATTGAAAATCAGTTGGCTGTAAATACATAGATTTATTTCTGGGTTCTCTATTCTGTTCCATTGGTCTGTGTATCTATTTTAGTGCCAGTACCATGCTGTTTGGTTACTATAGCTTTGTATTATATTTTAAAGTCAGGTAGTGGGATGTCTCCAGCTTTGTTCTTTTTGCCCAAGATTGCTTTGGCTATTTGGAGTCTTTTGTGATACTATACAAATTTTGGGATTGTTTTTTCTATTTCTGAGAGGAATGTCATTTGTATTTTTCTACAGATTGCATTGAATCTATAGATCACCTTGGGTATTATGGACTTTTTAACAGTATCAATTCTCCCAATCCATAAACATGGAATATCTTTTTATTTTTTGTGTGTGTCCTCTTCGATTATTTTTAAATCAATGTTTTACAGTTTTCATTGTAGAGATATTTTGCCTCTTTGGTTAAATTTATTCCTAGATGTTTTATCTTGTTTTTGTAGCTATTGTAAATTAGATTTCTTTCTTTTTTTTAAAAAATTATACTTTAAGTTCTGAGATACATGTGCAAAACAAGCAGATTTGTTACATAGGTATACATGTGCCATGGTGGTTTGTCGTACCCATCAACTCGTCATCTACACTAGGTATTTCTCCTAATGTTATCCATCACCTTACTCCCCACCCCCGTCAGGCGCCAGTGTATGATGTTCCCCTCCCTGTGCCCATATGTTCTCATTGTTCAACTCCCACTATGAGTGAGAACATGCGGTGTTTGGTTTTCTGTTCCTGTGTTAGTTTGCTGAGAATGATGGTTTCCAGCTTCATCCATGTCTCTGCAAGGAACATGAACTCATTCTTTTTTATGGCTGCATAGTATTCCATGGTGTATATGTGCCGCATTTTCTTTATCCAGTCTAACATTGATGGGCATTTGGGTTGGTTCCAAGTCTTTGCTATTGTGAATAGAGCTGCAATAAACATACGTTTGCATGTGTCTATATAGTAGAATGATTTATAATCCTTTGGGTATATATGCAGTAGTGGGATTGCTGGGTCAAATGGTATTTCTAGTTCTACATCCTTGAGGAATAGCCACACTGTCTTCCACAATGGTTGAAATAATTTACACTCCCACCAACAGTTAAAAGTGTTCCTATTTCTCCACATCCTCTCCAGCATCTTTTGTTTCCTGGCTTTTTAATGATCGCCATTCTAACTGGTATGAGATGGTATCTCATTGTGGTTTTGATTTGCATTTCTCTAATGACCAGTGATGATGAGCTTTTTTTCATATGTTTGAGTGTCCGTTCATATCCTTCACCCACTTTTTGATGGGGTTGTTTGTTTTTTCTTGTAAATTTGTTTAAGTTCTTTGTAGATTCTGGATATCAGCCCTTTGTCAGATGGATAAATTGCAAAAATTTTCTCCCGTTCTGTAGGTTGCTTGTTCACTCTGATGATAGTTTCTTTTGCTGTGCAGAAGCTCTTTAGTTTAATTATAACTCATTTGTCAATTTTGGCTTTTGTTGCAATTGCTTTTGGTGTTTTAGTCATGAAATCTTTGCCCATGCCTATGTCCTGAATGGTATTACCTAGGTTTTCTTCTAGAGTTTTTATGGTTTTAGGTCTTACATTTAAATCTTTAATGCGTCTTGACTTAATTTTGTATAAGGTGTAAGGAAGGGGTCCAGTTTCAGTTTTCTGCATATGGCTGGCCGGTTTTCCCAAAGGAGTCCTTTCCCCATTGCTTGTTTTTGTCAGATTTGTCAAAGATCAGATGGTTGTAGATGTGTGGTGTTATTTCTGAGGCCTTGGTTCTGTTCCACTGGTCTAAGTATCTGTTCTCGTACAAGTACCACGCTGTTTTGGTTACCATAGCCTTGTAGTATAATTTGAAGTAAGGTTGTATGATGCCTCCAGCTTTGTTCTTTTTGCTTAGAATTGACATGGCTCTATGGGCTCTTTTTTGGTTCCATATGAAATTTAAAGTAGTTTTTTCTAATTCTGTGAAGAAAATCAATGGTAGCTTGACAAGAGTAACATTGAATCTATAAATTACTTTGGGAAGTGTGGCCATTTTCATGATATTGATTCTTCCTATCCATGAGCATGGAATGTTTTTCCATTTGTTTGTGTCCTCTCTTATTTCTCTGAGCAGTTGTTTGCGGTTCTCCTTGAAGAGGTTCTTCACGTCCCTTTTAAGTTGTATTCCTAGGTATTTTTTTCTCTTTGTAGCAACTGTGAATGGGAGTTTGCTCATGATTTGACTCACTCTTTGTCTGTTACTGGTGTATAGGAATGCTTGTGATTTTCGCACATTGATTTTGTATCCTGAGAATTTGCTGAAGTTGCATATCAGCTTAAGGATGTTTTGGGCTGAGATGGGGTTTTCTAAATATACAATCATGTCATCTGCAAACAGAGACAGTTTGACTTCCTGTCTTCATATTTGAATGCCGTTTATTGCTTTCTCTTGCCTGACTGCCCTGGCCAGAACTTCCAGTACTATGTTGAATAGTAGTGATGAGAGAGGGCATCCTTGTCTTGTGCCAGTTTTCAAAGGGAATTCTTCCAGTTTTTGCCCATTCAGTATGATATTGGCTGTGGGTTTTTCATAAATAGCTCTTATTAATTTGAGGTATGTTCCATTGATACCTAGTTTATTGAGAGTTTTTAGCATGAAGAGGTTTTGAATTTTATTGAAGGCCTTTTCTGCATCTATTGAGATCATAAAGTGGTTTTTGTCATTGATTCTGTTTATGTAATGGATTACCTTTATTGATTTGTGTATGTTGAACCAGCCTTGCATGCCAGGGATGAAGGTAACTTGATCGTGGTGGATAAGCTTTTTGATGTGCTGCTGTATTCAGTTTGCCAGTATTTTATTGAGTATTTTTGCATCAATGTTCATTGGGGATATTGGCCTGAAATTTTCTTTTTTTTTTTTATGCCTCTGGCAGTTTTGGTGTCAGGGTGATGCTGGCCTCATAAAATGAGTTTGGGAGGATTCCCTCTTTCTCTATTGTTTGGAATAATTTCAGAAGTAATGGTACCGGCTCCTCTTTGTACCTCTGGTAGAATTTGGCTGTGAATCCGTCTGGACCTGGACTTTTTTTGGTTGGTAGTCTATTAATTACGGCCTCAATTTCAGAGCCTGTTATTGGTCTATTCTGGGATTCCACTTCTTCCTGATTTAGTCTTGGGAGGGTGTATGTGTCCAGGAATTTATTCATTTCTTCTAGATTTTCTAGTTTATTTGCATAGAGGTGTTTATAGTGTTCTCTGATGGTAGTTTGTATTTCTGTGGGATCAGTGGTGATATCCCCTATATCATTTTTTCTTGCATCTATTTGATTATTTTCTCTTTTCTTCTTTATTAGTCTGGCTAACGATCTATCTATTTTGTTGATTTTTTCAAGAAAGTAGCTCCTAGATTCATTGATTTTTTTTTGAAGGGTTTTTCATGTCTCTATCTCCTTCAGTTCTGCTCTGATCTTAGTTATTTCATGTCTTCTGCTAGCTTTTGAATTTGTTTGCTGTTGCTTCTCTAGTTCTTTTAATTGTGATGTTAGGGTGTCAATTTTAGATCTTTCCTGCTTTCTATTGTGGGCATTCAGTGCTATAAATTTCCCTCCACATACTGCTTTAAATGTGTCCCAAAGATTCTGGTACATTGTGTCTTTGTTCTCATTGGTTTCAAAGAGCATCTTTATTTCTGCCTTCATTTAGTTATTTACCCAGTAGTCATTCAGGAGGAGATTGTTTATTTGTATTTGTTTTATGTATTTGTCCAGTTTTCAGTGAGTTTCTTAATCCTGAGTTCTAATTTGATTGCACTGTGGTCTGAGAGACTGTTATGATTTCCATTCTTTTGCATTTGCTGAGGAGTGTTTTACTTCCAATTATGTGGTCAATTTTAGAATAAGTGTGATGAACTGCTGAGAAGAATGTATATTCTGTTGATTTGGGGTGGAGAATTTTGTAGAGCTCTATTAGGTCTTCTTGGTCCAGAGCTGACTTCAAGTCCTGAATAACTTTGTTAATTTTCTGTCTTGTTGATCTGTCTAATATTGACAGTGGGATGTTAAAGGATAGTTAGCTCTTCTTGTTGCATTGATCCTTTTACCATTATGTAATGCCCTTCTTTGTCTTTTTTGATCTCTGTTGGTTTAAAGTCTGTTTTATCAGGCAACCCCCCTTTTTTTTTGCTTTCCATTTGCTTGGTAAATCTTCCTCCATCCCTTTATTTTGAGCTTATGTGTGTCTTTGCATGTGAGATGGGTCTCCTGAATACAGCACACCAGTGGGTCTTGACTCCTTATCCAATAAGCCAGTCTGTGCCTTTTAATTGGGGTGTTTAGCCCATTTACATTTAAGGTTAATATTGTTATGTGTGAATTTGATACTGTCATTATGAAGCTAGCTGGTTATTTTGCCCATTAGTTGATGCAGTTTTTTCATAGTGTTGGTGGTCTTTACATTTGGGTTTGTTTTTGCAGTGGCTGGTAGCAGTTTTTCCTTTCCATGTTTAGTACATCCTCAGGAGCTCTTGTAAGGCAGGCCTGGTGGTGACAAAATCCCTCAGCATTTGCTTGTCTGTAAAGGATTTTATTTCTCCTTCACTTACGAAGCTTAGATTGGCCAGATATTAAATTCTGGGTTGAAAATTCTTTTCTTTAAGAATGTTAAATATTGGTCCCCACTCTCTTCTGGCTTGTAGGGTTTCTGCCTAGAGATCTGCTGTTAGTCTGATGGGCTTCTATTTGTGGGTAACCCGACCTTTATCTCTGGCTGCCCTTAACATTTTTTCCTTCATTTCAACCTTGGTGAATCTGACGGTTATGTGTCTTGGGGTTGCTCTTCTTGAGGAGTATCTTTATGGTGTTCTCTGTATTTCCTGAATTTGAATGTTGGCCTGTCTTGCTAGGTTGGGGAAGTTCTCCTGGATAATATCCTGAAGAGTGTTTTCCAACTTGGTTCCATTCTCCCCATCACTTTCAGGTATACCAATCAAATGTAGATTTGGTCTTTTCACATAGTCCCATATTTCTTGGAGGCTTAGTTCATTCCTTTTCATTCTTTTTTCTCTAATCTTGTCTTCATGGTTTATTTTATTAAGTTGATCTTCAATCTCTGATATCCTTTCTTCTAGTTGATTGATTCAGCTATTGATACTCGTGTATGCTTCACAAAGTTCCCATGCTGTGTTTTTCAGCTCCATCAGATCATTTATGTTCTTCTCTAAACTGGTTATTCTATTAGCAATTCCTCTAACCTTTTATCAAGGTTCTTAGCTTCCCTGCATTGGGTTAGAACATGCCCTTTCAGCTTGGAGGAGTTTGTTATTACCTATCTTCTGAAGCCTACGTCTGTCAATTTGTCAAACTCATTCTCCATACAATTTTGTTCCCTTGCTGACGAGGAGTTGTGATCCTTTGGAGGAGAAGAGGCATTCTTGTTTTGGGAATTTTCAGCTTTTTTGCACTGGTTTTTCCTCATCTTTGTGGATTTATCTACCTTTGGTCTTTGCTGTTGGTGACCTTCGGATGGAGTTTTTGCATGGTTGTCCTTCTGGTTGATGTTGATACTACTGCTTTCTGTTTGTTAGTTTTCCTTCTAACAGTCAGGACCCTCTTCTGCAGGTCTGCTGGAGTTTGCTGGGGTCCACTCCAGACCCTGTTTGCCTGGGTATCACCAGCAGAGGCTGCAGAACAGCAAAGATTGCTGCCTGCTCCTACCTCTGAAAGCTTCATCCCAAAGGGCACCTACCAGATGCCAGCTGTAGCTCTCATGTGTGAGGTGTCCATTGACCCCTGCTGGAGGTGTCTCCCCATCAGGAAGCATGGGGGTCAGAGACCCACTTGAGGAGGCAGTCTGTTCCTTAGCAGTGCTCGAGCGCTGTGCTGGGAGATCTGCTGCTCTCTTCAGGGCCAGCAGGCAGAGTGTTTAAGTCTGCTGAAGCTGCACCCACAGCCACCCCTTCCCCCAGGTGCTGTGTCTAAGGGAGTTGAGAGTTTTATTTATAAGCCCCTGACTGGGGCTGCTGCCTTTCTTTCAGAGATGCCGTGCCCAGAGAGGAGGAATCTACAGAGGCAGTGTGGCTAGAGAAGCTTTGCAGCACTGCGGTGGTCTCCACCCAGTCCGAACTTCCTGGAGGCTTTTACAGTGTGAGGGGAAAACCGCCTACTCAAGCCTCAGTAACTGCAGATGCCCCTTCCCCCACCAAACTTGAGTGTCCCAGGTCAACTTCACACTGCTGTGCTGGCAGCAAGCATTTCAAGCCAGTAGATCTTAGCTTGCTGGGCTCCATAGGCATGGGATCTGCTGAACTAGACCACTTGGCTCCCTGGCTTCAGCCCCCTTTCCAGTGGAGTGAACGGTTCTGTCTTGCTAGTGCTCCAGGTGCCACTGGGGTACGAAAAAAAAATTCTTGCAGCTAGCTCAGTGTCTGCCCAAACAGCTGCCCAGTTTTGTGCTTGAAACCCAGGGCCCTGGTGGTGTAGGCATCCGAGAAAGTGTCCTGGTCTGCAGGTTTTGAAGACTGTGGGAAAAGCATAGTATCTGGGCTCGATAACACCATCCGACATGGCATGGTCTCTCAGGGCTTCCCTTGGGTAGGGGAGGGAGTTCCACTATTCCTTGCATTTTCTGGGTGAGGCAACACCCCACTCTGCTTCTGTTTTCCCTCCATGAGCTGCACCCACTGTCTAACCATTCCCAGTGAGATGAACCAGGGACCTCTGTTGGAAACGCAGAAGTCACCTGCCTTCTGTGTTTGTCTTGCTGGGAGTTGCAGACTGGAGCTCTTCCTATTCGGCCATCTTGCCCGGGAATAGATTTCTCTCTTAATTTCTTTTTCAGATTGTCCACTATTGGCACATAGAAATGTGGACTGACTTTTGTATATTGATTTTGTTATCCTGCAATTTATTTTTTACTTTTAGTAGTTTTTTTTGTAGAGTCTTTAGGTTTTCTAAATATAAAATCATGTCATCTGCGAACAGAAACAGTTTTGACTATCACCTTCTCAATTTGAATGTCCTTTATTTCTTTCCCTTGCCTAATAGCTCTGTCTAGGACTTCCAGTACTATGTTGAATAAACATGGTGAAAGTAGATATCTTTGTCTTGTTTGGATCTTAGAAGAAAGGCTTTCACCTGTTCGCTCTTCATTATGATGTTAGCTGTGGATTCGTCATATATCGCCTCTATTGTTTTAAGGTTTGTTTCTTCTATCCCTAACTTGTTCCGGGATTTTATTGTGAAGGGATGTTGAATTTTATCAAATGCTTTTTCTACATCTATTGAGATGATCATATGGTTTTTGTCTTTCTTTCTGTTGATGTAATGTATCATATTTATTGATTCTGTATATGTTGATCCATGTTTGCATCCTTGGGATGAATCCACTCGATCTTTGTGTTTAATCTTTTTGATGTCCTGTTGAATTTGGTTTGCTGGTATTTTGTTAAGGATTTTTGCATCTATGTTCATCAGGGATATTGGCCTGTAGTTTTCATTTTTATTTGTGTTCTTGTTTAGTTTTGTTATCAGGGTAATACTGGCTTCATAGAATGTGTTTGGAAGAATTCCCCCTCCTTCAGTTTTTTGGAATAGATTGAGAAAAAATGGTATTAGTTCTTCTGTAAAAAGTTTGTAGAGTTAGACAGTGAAGACATCTGGTCCTGGAGTTTTCTTTCTTGGGGGAATTTTTATTACTGATTCAATCTCATTGCTGGTTATTGGCCTGTTCAGGCTTTCTATTTCTTCGTGGTTCAACCTTGGTAGATCATGTGTGTTCATGAATTTATTCATCTCTTCTAAGTTTTCCAATTTGTTGGCATATAATTGTTCATAGTAGTCTTTAATCATCCTTTTTATTTCTGTGGTATCAGTTGTAATGTCTCCTTTTTCATCTCTAATTTTATTTATTTCAGTAAAACAAATTTTTGTTTGTTAATCTTTTATATTTTCTTAGTCTTAATTTCATTTATTTCTGTTCTGATCTTCATTATTTTTTCTTCTGATTTTGAGTTTTGTTTGGTCTTGATTTTATAGTTCCTTCAGGTGCATCATTAAGTTGTTTATTTGAAATTTTTCTACTTTTTACATGTAGGCATTTATTGCTATAAACTTTTCTCTTACTACTACTTTTGCTGTATTACATAGGTTTTGGTATGTTGTGTCTCCGTTTTTTAATTTGTTTTAATAAATTTTATATTTTCTTCTTAATTTCTTCATTGACTCAACTCATTTGTTCTCCAAGAGCATGTTGTTTAGTTTCCGTATATTTGTACACTTTCCAAAGTTTATCTTGTTATTGATTTCTAGTTTTATTCCATTGTGTTCAGAAAAGATACTTGATATAATTTTAATTTTTAAAAATGTATTGAGACTTTCTCTGTGGCCTATTATGTGGTCTATCCTGAAGAATGTTCCATGTGCTGATGAGAAGAATGTGTATTCTGCATCTGTCAGATTAAATGTTCCATAAATGTCACTTAGTCCATTTATTCTAGAGTGTAGTTTAACTTTGATGTTTCTTTGTGGATTTTCTGCTAGATGATCTGTCTGTTTTTGAAAGTTGAATGTTGAAGTTCCCTACTATTGTTGTATTGCAGTCTATCTCTTCCTTTTGGTCTATTTATATTTGCTTTATAGAGTTGGGTGCTCCAGTGTTAGGTGCATATATATTTATAATTATTGTATACTTTTGCTGAATTGACCTCTTTATCATTATATGATGACCTTCTTTGTCTCATTTAACAGTCTTAGCCTGAAGGTCTATTTTCTCTAATATAAGTATAGGTACTCCTGCTCTCTTTGGTTTTCATTTGCATGGAATATCTTTTTCCATTCCTTTACTTTCAGTCTGTGTGTCCTTACAAAGTGAGACAAGTATCCTTGTAGGTAGCATATAGTTGAGTCTTCTTAAAAATTCATTTAGTCACTCTATCTCTTTTAAATGAGGAATTTAATACATTTATATTCAAGGTATTATTGATAGATAAAGACTTGCTCCTGCAATTTTGTTAATTGTTTTCAAATTGTTTGGTAGATCATTTGTTCCCTACCTCCTCTTTTGCTTGCTTTCTTTGTGATTTGATGACTTTCCATAGTGGTATGCTTTAGTTTTTTCTTTTTCTCTTTTGTGTATCTATCATAGGCTTTTGCTTTGCAGTTATCCTGAGGCTTACATAATACATCTTATATGTATAAATAGTTTATTTAGACTGATAGCAGCTTAATTTTTATTATATACACAAACTCTCCATTTTTACTCCCCCTTCTTCCACATTTTATGTTTTTGATGTCACACTTCACATCTTTTTGTAATATGTATCCCTTAGCAAATTATTGAAGCTTGCATTGTTTTTAGTAGTTTTGCCTTTTGACACTTATAATAGAGACATAATTGATTTGCCTATCACCATTACAGTATTAGGGTGTTTTGGATTTGACAGTGTATTTACTTTTACTAGTGAGTTGTATAATTTCATATGTTTTTATGATACTAATTAGCAGCCCTTCCTTCAGATTGAAGAACTTCCTTTAGCATTTTTTTTGTAATGCAGATCTAGTAGTGTTAAGCTCTCTCAGCTTTTGTTTGAGAAAGTCCTTATCACCTCTTGTTTTCCAAAAGACAGGATTGCTGGGTATATATTTTTTGTTGACAGTTCTTTTCTTTTAGGATTTTGAATATATCACCCCACTTCCTTCTGGCTTGCAAAATTTCTGCTGAGAAGTCTGCTGATAGTCTTATAGAGACTCCCCTGCATGTAACAATTTGTATAGAGACTCCCCTGTATGTGACAATTTGCTTTTACCTTTGCTGCTTTCAACACTCCCTCTTTGTCTTTAAGTTTTGACAGTTTATCCATGATGTGTCCTGGTGTGGGTCTCTTTGAGTTTATCTGATTTGGTGTGCTATGGGCTTTCTGCCTCTGGCTTTCTGATTCCCTCCCCAAACTTGGGAAAGTTTCTGCAATTATTATTTTGATTATGTTTTCGTTCCCTTTCTCTATTTATTTTCCTTCTGGCATGCCAATAATGCATACGTTGTTCTGCTTGATGGTGTCTTAGAAGTCTCTTAAGCTATATTTGCTCTTGTTCATTCTTTTTTTTTTCTTTCTGCTCTTTAGATTGGATGATTTCCAGTGATCTGTCTTCAAGTTTACTCATCCTTTCTTCTGCTTGATCTAGTCTCCTCTCGAACCCCTCTATTTACATTTTCAGTTCAGTTATAGCACTCTTTAGATCTATGATTTCCATTTGGTAATTATTTATACTTTCTGTCTCTTCTTGAAGTTTTCGGCTTGCTCTTTTATTGCTGTCTTGACCTTGTGAGTATCTTTATAACCATTATTTTGAATCCCTATTAGGCAAATCATAAAACTTCACTTCATTCAAGTTGGTTTCTGGAGATTTACTTTGTTCTTTTGTTTGAAATATATTCCTCTGTTTCTTCACTTCCTTGATTCTCTGTTTTTGTTTCTGAGCATTAGATAACTACCTCTCTCTTCATGTTATTAGACTGACTTTGTATATGAGTTTTCACCAATCTGTCTGGCCAGAGATTTTAAGGTGCCTCTCAAATCTTTGTGTTTGTCGAGACTGTTATCTCTGTTTTTGCTGGCTCACTGGAGCTTATGATGTACCACATCTTGATAGTAACCTGAGACTGGTATGATAGGACCCAAGTTATTAAGATGTAGCTGGAAAGTTTAGGGTGTTAGATGTGTACCCCAGTTCTTTGTATCTTCATGGTGTGACTGGGTGCAGGTACAGTAAGTTGAAGAGAGGATCTGCAGCAAATGTCTATTCTCACAGTCAGGATTTACCTTCTAATCCTAGAGGGATAGTTGCTAATATTGGGATAATTATACATCCACTTGTTTGTTTTCTGTGGTCTTGGGTCACTTAGGATTGCAAAGTCTGTAGCTAGGTCATTAAGGAGACAGTCCCTTGAGTGGGAGTTATGCAGGTTGTGGGCTGCCCACATGGCCAATTCTTTCCAGAAGGAAGGAATAGGCCTGGATTTGTCTCTGGAGTGAGCTAGAGGAAGGTCTTGTGAAGTACCGTGCTCTGGCTCTGGCTACCTAAAGGCCATTGCTTGTTTGCTCCATTAGCTCTCAATGCAAGTTGATTAGAAACCAAGTCCTCAAGGAGCTACTGAAAGTGTGTGCTATAAGCCCTTATTGAAGAGAAAGTGAGAGCTGTACATTCCTGCCCCTTTTGTGAACTGCTCCAAGAGGGTATAGCCCCTAGAAGTGTTTGAATGCCTGTTTAAAACCACCTCTTTGTTTCATGATCAAGGGAGACTCACATATGCATAGTCCCTTCTGTTGTCAGAGCTACTAGGTTTAGGATGGAGCCCTTTGGGAGATAGCTTTAAAAATTAGCTTTCAATATGTATCCTAAACCCCTTCTGGGGAGAAACAGGGAGTTTTATTATGTCTTAAGCCCCTTCTCTGCAAGGAGATGAAATCCCTGGAGATGCTTGCATACCCATTTAAAAACACAACTCTTTTCCTGTTGTTTAGAGCTACGTGTATATGCCAGTCTCTTCTGCTCCCAGAGCTAGGAGACTAAGGATGCAATCCCTTAGGTAGATGTTATAAGAGTTAGGGATGCTAGGCCAGGCACAGTGGCTCACGCCTATAATCCCCGCACTTTGGGAGGGTGAGGCTGGCAGATTGCATGAGTCCAGGAGTTTGAGACTCGCCTGGGCAACAAGGCGAAACCCCGTCTCTACAAAATATAGAAAAATTAGCCAGGTGTGATGGCAGGCACCTATTGTCCCAGCTACTTGGGGGGTTGAGGCAGGAGGATCTCTTGAGTCTGGGAGGCAGAAGTTGCAGTGAGCTGAGATTGCACCACTGCACTCTAGCCTGGGTGATGACCTGTCTCAAAAAAAAAAAAAAAAAAAAAAGTTAGGATACTTGGTGTGAATGCAGACTTATCCTAGGCTGGTGGTGGTTTAATAATTGACTGTCCCTTTAACTGCCCAATGTAAGCTAGTTAGAAACAGGGCCAACAGGTGGCTGCTGGAGGGATGTTTGAAGTCCCCGGAATTGGTGTGCACTTGCCTCTTTTTTTTTTTTTTTTTTAAGTCTAGAGGGATGTGTGTGTATAATCCACTCATCTCCCATAGTTGGCAAATTAAGAGTCAAACCATGGGAAAACTTACTGTTAGAGCCCTATTTTGGGGGTCCAGATCCTCCTCTCCACAGGGAGAGACTGGGTGTGGGGGATTCCTTTCCAAATTTTATGGTGCAGTGCCTGGGATGGGGTCCATGCCTGAGTGTGCCTCAGCTTCAGTGTAGATGTTTTCTCAGCTGTCAGTGGGTAGGAGCCTCTCTGTTGGTCTTGGACCTTCTCTTTCTTTCTTTCTTTTTTTTTTTTTTTTCGAGATGGAGTCTCAGTCTGTCACCCAGACTGGAGTACAGTTGCGCCATCCTGGCTCACTGAAACCTCTGCCTCCCAGGGTCAAACAATCCTCCTGCCTCAGCCTCCCAAGTAGCTGGGATTACAGGCGTGTGCCACAATGCCCGGCTAATATTTGTATTTTTAGTAGAGACGGGGTTTTACCATGCTGGCCAGGCTGGTTTCAAACTCCTAACCTTGTGATCCGCCTGCCTCAGCCTCCCAAAGTACTAGGATTATAGGTGTGAGCCACTGCGCCCAGCCAGACCTTTTGTTAAAGGGAATTGGTCTGTGGTAGATGTTTATTTGGTGCATCCATGGGCAGAGGGAGAGTCAGGAGCTTCCTTTTCTATCATATTTCTGTTGCCACTCTGTCACCTGCATTTTAAAGATGAGAAAATAGCTCAGAAAAGCTTAATTTACCCAACTAGTGAGTTGAGGTTGGGATTCGAAACTGATCTGCTGGGCTCTGAAGTCCATGATTTTTTCAGTATGCCACAAACTTATTTTTTTTTTTTTGGTAAAATGCTTTTTTAGTATAAGGACAATTTGAAATATCTGAAATACAGAAATAATTCCTTAAACTTTCAACATTTATTCAGCAAAACATTCATTGAGAACCTACTCTTGCTCATGTCCTGTGCTAGCTGCTTTATGAAGCAACATTCATATGACTGACTATCTCCCTAAAATCAGCTTCAACTATGTCTGGAAGGACAGAGGCATAAACAGCCAAGGAAGACTGGGCTGAGAGACACAGAGGAGAAGGAGTTGGGTTGGGGTAATGGCAGTTGAGGAAGGCTGACTTTCATTCGTGCCATGAGGGATGAGGAGCAGCCACTGAACAGAGAAAGCCTGGAAGGACATCTGGTCAACATGGCCACAAGAACGGTGGAGTGAGTGTTGGTGGGGTCTTCAGGGAAGTGTCTGTCATTAACTGAGTCTAGAGTCCAGCCATAAGTGTAGAGGGGAGTAATGGGATTGAAAGTTGCAACATGTCACAAAAAATGACCTGAGAACTCAACCTAAATTGTATATTTGGCACTTAGTTTTCACACTTTTGACTTTTCTTCCTCTGGCCTCTTACTTTATTTCTTTTCTGATTATCAGAGTTCTGCATGTTTGTGGTAAAAACTTTGGAAAGTACAAATGAATGCAATGCATCAGATTAACAAAAGTTACTCTTGTCTAGTATGGCTAGGATATCCATACCTCTCTCCCTCCACATATCAGAGAGAATTTTGACCATAAGACTTTACAGTAGGCTTTTCTTTCTTAACTTCTTATGATGAAGCTCCATGTGGACTTCATTATATTCCATGAAATGTGTAGTGTCTTTGCTCTCTGCTCCTCCTACATCCGTTCACTGAAGATGCTTTGCACCCAGACCTGCTGAGAAGCAGGTAGGCCTTACCAGTTCTATGTCCATAGGACAACCCCTTCCCCAGTGGTCACACCTAACTGAACCATATGTAAACACCTGACCCAAGTTGGGCCTATTATATTGTCTTCCCAGAAGTTTGGGACTAAGGCCCTGAAGAACTGTGTCAATAAGATGGTGCTGGGTTCTGGAGCCAGGTTTGGCACTAAAGCCAGTCAAAGCCACATGCAAACTAAAGTTGTAGAAGAGGATCAGGCATGGTTTTCTTTCCCTCCTCAGGAGAAAGAAAGAAGGAAGTGTGCTCAGGGCCAGAGAAAAGAGACCATGTGGACCAGTGAGGAATGGAGATGGAGACAGTAGCTGCCTAACCATTTTCCTGTTCTCATGAGATACAGCTATACTTCCTATACTTTGTCTCAGTCAGATTCTCCATAAGTTTTTCACAGGGAAATAATTTGAATAGATGCCTGCTCTTGGTAATCAAAACATTTCTTACTAGAGCAGTTTACTTAAATGGTTTTTTTTCCTTTAGTTTTTTCTTCCAATTTTTGCTTTGGTGTTTTTAAAATACACATATGTTTAAATTTTTTTGGTAGTTATAGCTCAAGTGTTTTTAAAATATACATATGTTTAAAATTTTTTGGTAGTTATAGCTCAGATCTTTTCTTTGTCATTACTTCCATTGCATTTAAACTTAAATATTTATCTAGTCAGAGAGCTTTAAAATTTTATATCTTTTTTGTAGGCTTCAAAAAAGATATAACATTTTACATTTAAATGTATAATACACACGCTCTAATCCATAGAATCCATGGATTCTAATCCACCTAAAAATTATTTTGACATATGTGTGAGATGAGGATCTAATTGAACTTTTTAAATAAAATGTAAATAGCTAATTAGCTGGCCCAGAATCATGCTTCATTTTCCCACTGATTCATGATCTCTCCTTGATTATATGTTAACTTTATATACACATGTTTCATATGGGTTCGTTACTGAGCTGTCTATTCTGTTTACTCAATTATTTAAAAAGAAAATGTTAAAGAAAATATTTCTAGTCTATGTATAATTATGACTCCTAGAGATATTGACTGGATTTAGAGAAGGATGGTGCTAAGTTAGAGAACTCTGGTTACCAAGTCATTTGATTCCTTTGATTTTTCCCTCCAGAACTCCAAATGACACGTTATTGTTTGTATTGGAATATATCCATCTTCTTCCTGGGGCAGCTTGAGTAGTCCTGACAAGTTTGCTAATTTTGGTAATTTCTTGAGTCTAAGGAGAGTTTTTATATTATAGAATTTCAACTTGTAAGACTGCTTTAATTTAAAAAATACAAAACTACTGAGAGTTTTAAAATGTGCTAGATTTGAGCACCTGACAAGGATAATAAGCACATACTGTCATTCTCTCTTTTTGCTTCCATAGTAAAGATTGTTAATTGATTAGGGTCTTCCTTACAACTATACGTGGACAACATCAGACTCCTTCTTAACATAGTGGTCCAAACAACCAGCTCTATTAGTGAAGCTCTAATATCAGCTTAATACCAGTTGGTATTGCCTGATAAGATGTAACCTATTTGCAGATTAATTCTAGCAAGCGATATAAATCCCAAGGTTAGAGGTAAAATAGTATAGCTTATATTATAGAAGTGGCTAGTATAGATTTAAGGCATTGTTTTAATTTTTTTTACTGCACCCCTTAATAATTAATACATTTTACATTTTCACATTTAGCTATATAAAGAAGAGTACAACTGGATAAAAGTTTGATGTGTTTTAGGGAATATATACTTTATGTTAATTCTGTAATGTTGGAATCAAAATAGGTTACCTTTAAAATAATTCTAATTTTTCAGAAATAAAACACTCTTATATTTACTCTTCTTAGTGATTGGTGTAATTAGATGGAATGATTTTTGTCCCAATCTCTTTGTGGTTTATATGAGGAAAAAAATCCATATTTTTATTTTCCTGAACTTAAGTACCCCATCAAGGCTTAGAATAAACCTCAGTAGAAATTTGCCAATATGTAGAAAAAAGTTTGTGGCATCATCAATTTTCAGGCCAGGCAATATTCATTAAGTTTGTAGTAGATTTTTAGGTTCGAGGATGATCATCTCCCTTATGCCTAATCATTATTTACTTAAGAAAACAACTGTGGGCTGGACTCTAATATTTGCAAGCTGTGTGACCTTACCCAAGGTACTTGAACTTCCTAGTTTGAAACCCTATGACAGCTTTGTATTACTTCAAAATTTATGCTCTTTTTTTTCTTACTATGGCAAACTTCAGCATCTTTTTCCTTTAAGCAGTTTTGATCATTTCAGCTGCAGTTTTCATTTTATTCATCTGTCAGTATTATGTGCTAAAGCAAGTAAGGTGACATGGTATGAAAACATGTTAAAGCAAGCAAAGTGAAGTGATCCTGGGGATATGTTGAACCAAGTAAGGTCAAGTGAAGCTAGGGGTGTGCTTGGAGGCTGGACGAAGACAGAGAGTGAAGGAAAAAATGGCAGCTTCATATCTCTGGAAGTGGAATGCATAGCATTATATTTTATCCTGTGGTTCTTCAGCATTTGGCTTTGCTATATAATTAGGCAGAGGGGATATTTATGGGATTTAATAACTGTTGTTTCCATCCTTGTCATTAGGATCCAGAAGTTTCTTAGATTATGAGTGCTCCAGAAGTGAAATTAATACCCTCTGCTAGAGCTGAAAGTTGAAAGTTCCTATTGTCAAGATTTCAGTTCTGTCAGCTTTTTCTTTTTTGATCATTAAAAGTGAGGCATTCTCGGACTTGAACAGCACACCTCATGAAGGAGATCTATGAGGGATTTATGATGCTTGGTTGTAAGAGAAGATGACATCCACAGAAAACTGGTAATCTTGGAAGGACAGGCAAGTAGGTAGTTGGAAATAGTTCAGAAACGTTTGCTTCTACAGTTCTGAAGGCAATATATGTCAGACTTGGAGAGCTCTAGAGAGGGGCCACTCACCTTAGAGTTGAAGACCATGGAAATTTAACCTGCTGTCAAGCTTTGATCATTACATACAGTCACTGCCTCATCGGTTGAGGATTAGAAAATCAAAAAGGTTCAAAACTTGGGATGTTATAATGTCAGCATGCTAATCAGAATTTCAGAAGTACATGCTCATGGAAATAAAATTTCAATAAAAAATAAGGGTGCCAGATGAAAAGTGTGTCTAGTTCCACTATCCATAGCCTGGTTCTCAAGAGGCTGCCACCCATGATGTTTTCTGTCTTTAGCTCTTCCAGGGATTATCACTATAACTCGAAGTATCTGTTTCATACAACATTAATATCTATTTCTTATCTTACCAACTTAAGCTTGTCTTTTAACTCTTTGCTGTAAAAGATTACTATTTCAGCTCATAGCAACTACTCTGCTTCGTTTTTCCCTGTATCTGCTCCCATTTTTTCTTTTTGTTCTTCTATTGTTTATACTTTAAATAATATTTTTGACTTTTATTTCTTGTTCTGTCAACTTCAGACATATCATGGTGTATGATATGGAGTCGGTCACTCCTACACGCTCTCCCATCTCTCCTTCCCACCTCTAACTCCTACTGTTCATCATTTCTACCACTACTTTTATATTGCCAAGGTTTAAAACATTTACATTCTGAATGGAAATTTTAATTAAGTATTCATCGCTTTGTCTATACATTGATTCAGAGAAGCAAAAATAGATAAACATCATTTATAATATTATGATATTGTTCAATATTATTCACTGCAGAACCAGAGTGCAGCTGTAGAGGAGATATAATTTATATTCTTAAATCAGATCTACTTAAAGTAGAATATTTCAAGTTCTAAGTCAAGATTTTCTTTTCTTAGACTCCATAAATTTCCTATAATAATGCTTCATATTTTCGTCATGAATTTTTGTACAGCATTTTCCTTTTCCTGGAATTTCTAGTTTCCCTTAATTTTTCTTATTGAAGTCGGAAACATAAACGTTCTTCATTATGCACCACCCAAAAGCCAGCCAACAGATTCTTTAGCCAGATGCATTATTAGTGTCTGCTCTCTTTCAGGTTCCCAATGCCAGGGGTCTCTTCATAGAGTAACAGATTCCACCTTCACTGCAGCTTCTCTTGCGGCTTCTCTTGTACTCTGAATAGTTATTTTTCTCTGTTCTATTTTATCTGTTAGTGTAATCCCATATGCCATGCATTTTTAAGAGAATTTCCTAATTATTTCACCTATTCATATCCTATCCTTTTGCATATCTTTACTATCATTTCAATGGGTTTAAGAGAGGGAAGTACAAATATTTGCTAGGTTCAATATGTTTAATCAGAGCCCTCAGAATTATTGGTTTACTATAGTCAGAAATTGGTATCCAAGAGGAAAACGTGCATCTAAAATTTACAGACTATGCCCCAGATCTTAACTTAGAGAGGAAGCATTTATGCTTATTGCATGAAAGTCCTGTTTTAAATTTGGAGTATCTTTTTCACGTATTTTATCTTGTAACCTACTTCGAATTAAGACGCCACCTGAAATTCATAGCACTGCAAAAATTGCTGATGTTGCATCATCTGTCCTCATACAGGTTTCATTATCTTAAGCACTTGGAATGAGACCTCACTTCATCATCGAAGGAGATTCAATGTCTATAACTCCATAGATGTCAAAGGACAAAGTACAGCTTCTGATAGGGTCTTAAATGCAAAAGGTGAATTTGCTGGATTCAGCAACCACCAGGTGGGGCCAAGGAGTTTCGCCTTTGTCAAATAGGAGCTTTTACTGGAAAAGCAGTATGTGTTGCTGCTGAGCAATTTCTAGAAGGAGTTTCAAACTTGTTGAGGTAGTTGTTTCCTCTAACATCATGTATCAAAATTGTCTTCTAAAAGAGACAATGTGGGAAGCATTTTCTAAAGTTAGGCTCCAGAAGGAGATGTAGTTGACTAAAATGATGCCTTGGGTGGTCAGGAGGCAAAGTTTGCATGTGGAGCCACTGGATTAGGAATATTCTTCATATTGTTCTTGAAAGAACTTTTCCATTTATGAATTCTGAAAATGGTTTGTGGTTCTGGAAAGAAATAGAAAGAATTGTTTATGAACTGTGGGCCCTGATAATTTTAGAGGATAATGGCACCAGAGGTGAAAGGAGGCTTTCTGATATCTGCCTGTCTTGCGGCTGGCCAGGTACAGAAGAACAAGTCTCTCTACAGATAGTGATGTTGTCCATGCCCTTGAAGATCTCAGAATCTTAACATTTATTAAATACTTAATTTGGGCTTACCCCAAACTGGGTGAAGAGATCACAAAACCAAAGAGATATAGTCCATGCCCTGAGGAGTGTTTGGTGCATGGGTGAGTGAGATAATAAGAGGACTGAGTATGGATAGTATCAAGAGACTCTTTATAATAGGTAAAATCCCAGAGGAAAGTGAGATGTGAATATAGAAAAATTCCAGATCAAAGGAACATCTCACAAGCACCTGAATTCTGACCAGATGTGAAACATGGCTGTTAAAATCTCCAATTTGTGGAGAAATGATCCCCCACATCATACCCAGTAGAAGCTTGTTTGAATCAGTGTACTATTCACCATTGTTAAATGGTGCCAAGGGTGTCACTTCTTTTTAGGAGTGAACTTTTACTTTAAGTTCAATATAAAGTGCTCAATGAATTTTTACAAAGTGAGTACACTCTGTACTTGACATTCAAATCTGGAAACTAATCATTTCCAACTCCCCCTTCTAGCCCTACTCATCACTCCTCCAAGTGAAAAAAATCCCGATTTTTTTTTTTTTTTTTTGAGAAGGTATATCGCTCTGTCTCCCAGGCTGGAGTTCAGTGGCCTCGGCTCACTGCAAGCTCTGCCTCCTGGGTTCATGACATTCTCCTGCCTCAGCCTCCCAAGTAGCTGGGACTGCAGGCACCCGCCACCACGCCTGGCTAATTTTTTGTATTTTTATTAGAGACAGGGTTTCACCGTGTTAGCTAGGATGTCTTGATCTCCTGACCTCGTGATCCGCCCGCCGCAGTGTCCCAAAGTGCTGGGATTACAGGTTGTGAGCCGCCGTGCCCAGCCAAAATAATTTTTTTAAACCTTTTTCTTTGTTAAGGATAGAGCTGTGGTCTATTTGTCCCTTCACTTTAAAAGAAAGAACATTTTGATCTGGAATTGAAACATTGATTTCTTAAGCCGTAGTTGATTCCTGGTATACAATTCCCATTTGTGTTTAAAATCTGGACTGGCAACAAGGTTAGTAATGATTTTGTTTATAGTGGCACTGTAAGAGGAACAGAGAGGGATGTTCTTAAAGAAAAGGGCATGCCAGTTGTTATCAGGATACCTCTATGCAAATAAACTAGAAAATCTAGAAGACAAGGATAAATTCCTGGATGATACAGCCTACCAAGACTAAATCAGGAAGAAGTTGAATCCCTGATTAAACCAATAACAAGCTCTGAAATTGAGGCAGTAATTAATAGCCTACCAACCAAAAAAAGCGTAGGATTAGATGGATTCACAGCTGAATTCTACCAGAAGTACAAAGAGGAGCTGGTACCATTCCTTCTGAAAATATTCCAAACAACCAAAAAGGAGGGACTCCTCCCTAACTCATTTTATGAAGCCAACATCACCCTGATACCAAAACTGGGAAGAGACAAAAAAAGACAACTTCAGGCCAATATCCCTGATTAATTGATGCGAAAATTCTCAGTAAAATACTGGAAAACTGAATCCAGCAGCACATCAAAAAACTTATCTACCGCGATCAAGTCAGCTTCATCCCTGGGATACAAGGCTGGTTCAACATACACAAATCAATAAATGTAATTCATCCCATAAACAGAACCAAAGACAAAAACCCCATGATGATCTCAATAGATGCAGAAAAGGCCTTTGACAAAATTCAACATCCCTTCATGTTAAAAGCACTCAATAAACTAGGTATTGTTGGAACATATCTCAAAATAATAAGAGCTATTTATGACAAACCCACAGTCAATATCATATTGAAAGGGCAAAAGCTGGAAGCATTCCCTTTGAAAGTTGGTACAAGACAAGGATGCCCTCTCTCACCACTCTTATTCAACACAGTATTGGAAGTTCTGGCCAGGGCAATCAGGCAAGAGAAAGCAATAAAGGGTATTCAAATAGGAAGAGAGGAAGTCAAGTTATCTCTGTTTGCAGGTGACATGACTGTATATATAGAAAACCCAATCATCTCAGCCCCAAAACCTCTTGAACTGATAAACAACTTCAGCAAAGTCTCAGGATACAAAATCAATGTACAAAAATCACAAGCATTCATTTACACCAACAACTGGCAAGCAGGGAGTCAAATCATGATGGAACTCCCATTCACAATCACTACAAAGTAAATAAAATACCTAGGAATACAGCTAACAAGGGATGTGAAGGACCTATTCAAGGAGAACTACACACCACTGCTCAATGAAATAAGAGAGGACACAAACAAATGGAAAAACAATCCACCCTCATGGATAGGAAGAATCAATATCATGAAAATGGCCATACTGCCCAAAGTAATTTATAGATTCAATGCTATTCCCATCAAATTACCATTGACGTTCTTCACAGAATTAGAAAAAACTATTTTAAATTTCATACGGAACCAAAAAAGAGCACGTATAGCCAAGACAATACTAAGCAAAAAGAACAAAGTTGGAGGCATCACACTACCTGACTTCAAACTATACTACGAGTTTACAGTAACCAAAACAGCATGGTACTTGTACCAAAACAGACATATAGACCAATGGAGCAGAACAGAGATGTCAGAAATAACACCACACATTTACAACCATCTGATCTTCGACAAACCTGACAAAAGCAAGCAATGGGGAAAGGATCTCCTATTCAGTAAATGGTGCTGGGAAGACTGGCTAGCCATATGCAGAAAACTGAAACTGGGCCCCTTCCTCACACCTTATTCAAAAATTAACTCAAGATGGATTAAAGACTTAAATGTAAAACCCCAACCATAAGAACCCTATAAGAAAACGTAGGTGATATTATTCAGAACATAGGCATGGGCAAAGACTTCATGACAAAAATGCCAAAAGCAATTGCAACAAAAGCCACGATTGACAAATGAGATCTAATTAAACTAAAGGGCTTCTGCACAGCAAAAGAAACTATCATCAGAGTGAACAGGCAATCTACAAAATGGGAGAAAATTTTTGTAATCTACTCATCTGTCAAAGGTCTAATATCCAGAATTTACAAGGAACCTAAACATATTTACAAGAAAAAAGAAAACAGCCCCATCAAAAATTGGGCCAAAGATATAAACAGGCACTTCTCAAAAGAAGACATTTAATTGGCCGACAAACATATGAAGAAAAGCTCAACATTACTGATCATCAGAGAAATGCAAATCAAAACCACAATGAGATACCATCTCACACCAGTCAGAATGGTGATTTTTAAAGTCAGGAAACAATAGATGCTGGCAAGGCTGTGGAGAAACAAGAATGCTTTTACACTGTTGGTGGGAATGTAAATTAGCTCAGCTATTGTGGAAAATAGTATGGTGATTCCTAGAACCGAAAATACCACTTGACCCAGCAATCCCATTACTGGGTATATACCCAAAGGAATATAAATCATTCTATTATAAAGACACCTGCACGTGTATGTTTATTGCAGCACTATTTACAATAGCAAAGACATGGAGCCAACCCAAATGCCTGTCAATGACAGAATGGAGGAAGAAAATGTGGTACATATACACCATGGAATACTATGCAGCCATAAAAAGGAATGAGATCATTTCCTTTGCAGGGATATTGATGAAGGTGGAAGCCATCATCCTCAGCAAACTAATACAGGAACAGAAAACCAAACAATGCATGATCTCACTCATAAGTGGGAGTTGAACGTTGAGAACACATGGACACAGATTGGGGGACAACACACACCGGGGCCTGTTGGGGGTGGGGGGTGAGGGGAGGGAACTTAGAGGATGGGTCAATAGGTGCAGTAAACCACCATGGCACATGTATGCCTATGTAACAAACCTGCACGTTCTGTACATGTATCCCTTTTTTTTTTAAAGAATAAGTAAAGAAAATAAATAAATAAAGTTTTACAAAGCGAAATATTAAATATATCTGTTTCTTATTTTCATATAATTACCCAGGAAACACTTACTCACTACCTACCGTTTTTCAGGGCTCGATATTGTGGGGAATATAAAAGTGAATCAGACATATACCATCCCTCTTTAAGTAGAAGAGTCAGAAATATCTGGCTCTGTAAGTAATTGTAAAATATAAAAGAGAAAGTAATAAGTTTCATAAGAGAGATGCAAGCAGATGAGAGTTTTCCATGTAATCCGAATCTTTTTTTCTTTTTTACAGGAAGTATGGTGTTGATGAGCTTGAGTGAGAAAAAAAATGGATTTGGGTTAGAAGACTTGGGATCTTGCACTTACCAGGTACGTGGCTTGAGGAGGCTACTTTACCTTTTCTACCCAGCTCTACCCTGTCTAACATGAGGACAGTAGTAGGTTTCCTACTTATGGAACATAGTTTTTGGGAAGCATATAACAGATAATAGACATAGTTTTATATAAGTAACTTATTCAAAATAGGTATTATTTCTTCCAGGGAATAGTCAAACATTTTGTTCTCTAGAACAAGGAATTAATTTATCTTCTTCTAACTTTAATAAGGTGCACCATGAGCCAGTCCTAGGAATAGCAACATGGATTCAATTTAAATTGCTAATAGGCGATACTCATGAGGTAGCAAAGAGCCTCTTTCTGACACATCCATCAAATCTCATTCTCTTACCAGCCTGGTGAGAGCCAGTTATTTTGACGTTGATGCTGACTGCTTTTGAAAGCACATGCTGTGCAGCACTTTGCCCAGGGTTTAGCTTTCCCACAGACCTGACATTTGTATGTTGTTTTGCTTTCCTTGATCTTCTCCCCTTCTTCCCTAGCGTCTACTGTTAGCTGAATGTAGCTAATACTGCAGATTGTAAATGGGCTAAAGTGGAAGAAAGAGTGTCTGACACAATGGTTCTGAGCCCTGCAAGCACGTTAGGATCATCTCAGGAGCTTTAGAGATACACTGATGGCCCGGCTCTGAGGCCTCATTCCCAGAGGAACTGCATCAAGAGACATAGGGTGGGACCCATGAATTTACTTTTAATACTTTTAACTAATCCTGATTAATTCTGAAGCAGATGATCTGGGCACCACACTTGGAGAAACTAGCTAGTATCAATATGATAGTAGCCATCTGGTGACTTCTTTGTTACATGGATGACAGGGGCCATCAGAGAGAGGTGTTTCTCAATCCTTGGAAACTTATTTATTCACAGTTTCTCAAACACCTCATGTTTGAGGCACTGCACTGGGGGCTGCAAGGGATATGATAGGTGAATCAAACATGAACGTGATACTGACTAAGAATAGGGCTGAATGTAAAACTATAATTCATACCGTATATAAAGGTTTACTTCTGAAGTTGGTGTATGTGGTAAAAATCATAACTAGTCAAAATTACCTTTGGAAAATGGCAGAGGAGGGTAGTATTTTGGAGAGCAATATGCTGCCTTCCAAACACCCAGCACTGGCTGTTTTCCTCTAACTTTGGGACTGAATCCTGACTCTGTTTGAGTCTCAAATGTGGCTGGCTTACATTTAGGGGTAATGCCTGAAGAAGGTATGTCTTTAAATACTGGAATCATATTTGGTTCCCAGGACATGGCAGATTCATGGCTCCCAACTCAAGTTCACTGAGGCATGCGATCTGTGAGTGGGACAGAGTTGAGGGTGGTTTGGGGGTAGGTCAGGGGGAGTCACCTGCACTATTTAAATAGGGTTCCCTTCTTGCTCATGCTGTCACTCTCTTCGTTGTTTATCTAAGTTTTCTCAAGGTAAATGGATTTCTAATAATACAAGACTCTCTTCTAATAATACAAGATGATAAGATTTGAAGACAGACACAGGCAGCCCCAATTGTTTAAAATAATTCTAAAAATTATCAAGGAGAGAACATTTACCAGATTTTAATAATTTATATTTTTTGAAGAATAACGTAAAATCTACGATTAAGATTGTTCTGGGAGACTGAAGAAGCAAAAAGATATGGCAAAAGATTTATAAAATATAAATAAAAAGTAAGACATTAATCTACAGATGAAAGATTAATGCATTTCTCTTTGAGGGCTCTGAAATGAAAACCAAAAATAGAACAGTCATGTTTCACCACAGCGTTATGAACACACTGCAGAGTCACATCCTTGAGACCATCCAGTCACATGCAGGCAGGGAATTTGCTGGGCAGAGCACGTTCAAGTCCCCATGACAACCAAGACATGGAAGCCACAGGCGGGGCCTCTAAACATGAAAAGTGTCATTGTTGTTTTGTATTCCTTGTACTTTCTGGAGCCCTTAAACACAGATACAAACAACATCCATCCAAACAGACCAGTCCTCCTAGGAACATTTGGCAAAGCTCAGTAGGTCTTTCTTGGATACTGACTTCATAGATGGTAACACTGATTCACCATGGCCTATGTGCTTGTGTGCTTCCACCTGAGACTAGGAGCTTTCAAAAAAACAAATAAACAAACAGAAACAAAGAAAAACAAAACAAAAACAGAGTCTTGACTTCAAGAGAAGGGAAGAGACTTATTTTCCTACTTTCCTTGTTGGCTTACTTTGGGGCTTCAATCACTTTATGTTAACTTTTGGTGACTCATACACTGGCCGCTCCTAACATTTCAGCAGCTGGGATGAGAGGACAAACAGAGGCCCACAAACCATATGTCTATACACATAAAGGTTCTAAATCAAGCTACCGATTTCAATAAAACATGTTCTGACTTTCCTCTTTGACAGATATACATTCCTAATGAAGAAATAAAAATAATGTGGGTGAAGCTATGGTTTTTATATAATAGAAAGTTGGAAAAACACTAAAGATGACTAAGTTTAATTATTATTTTTCATGCCTTGGTATTCTGTAGATAAGCCATTATTGTTTGCGTGAGTAATAAAAAACATGCATAGTTAGGCCGGGCACGGTGGCTCACGCCTGTAATCTCAGCACTTTGGGAGGTCGAGGTGGGTGGATCACCAGGTCAGGAGATCGAGACCATCCTGGCTAGCACGCTGAAACCCCGTCTCTACTAAAAATACAAAAAATTAGCTGGGCGTTGTGGCAGGCGTCTGTAGTCCCAGCTACGCGGGAGGCTGAGGCAGGAGAATAGCTTGAACCCGGGAGGTGGAGCTTGCAGTGAGCCGAGATCGCGCACTGCACTCCAGCCTGGGCGACAGAGCGAGAGTCCCTCCCAAAAAAAACAACAAAAACAAAAAACATGCATAGTTAATAAATTATTATGCATTATTCCATAAGATCTATTTTTTCTCTTTAGCAAAATCATTAATTTTGTTGTTATACTTAATATTTTTTATAATTTAATTGTTTATAGAAATGAGCTAAAGGATTAAAAATAAAATGTATCTGTATGCAAACTACACAATTTGATTATATTTTGTTAAAAAATAGAGTACATATAAATATGAAAAAATTATATACTATATGTCTTAAAAGTTATATTTCTCCTAAAATATCAAAGCATTATTAAAAATAATAGGCAAAATACAAATACAATAGGCATAATAAAATAATTGTTATGCTCATAAAATTTCTAGGTAAAACTGAAATTCGCCATTTATTTTGAAATTCTATTTTTATAAATATAAAAGTATTCACAGTTCTGACACTGAAAGTTCATCTGGTTGCCAATGTAAAAAACTTTTGTATTCTCCACGTATTTTATGTCTAGAGCTAAATAAAGATAAATTTAAGAGTAATATGAATTGTTTAACATTATGAAATATTCAACTTCCGAAACTGTTGTGAATATAGTACCAATTTGTGAGCACGTCTGGAATCACAGATTGGTACCTGCAGAGAAGCAATAACTCTTAGTTCTGTGAGAATCTATCACATTCATTCTATCCAGGAGGAAAAAGTTTGGTAAGGAAATTAATTTGTCTTTTCTCTTGCCTAAGTGCTTTTGCTACTCAACTTCTCCTCTGCTCTGTGGCAGTGTTTATCTTGACCTTTGCGGAGCTTCATAGCATTTGGACATGGTTTCTTTTTGTTTTGAGGACACAGGGCAAGATATCTGGAGATGCCTAAGCAGTGTTAGTCATGCACTGACAGTTTAGGGTTCTGGTCAGTTTAGGGTTCTGTGTGGCACCATGCTAGCACTGAGTGTCAGGTCCTGAGTGCTAGAGCGCTAGGGATACGTGTGTGTGTGTGTGTGTGTGCACGCGCGCGTGTGCGCATGTGTCCGTGTGTGTAGGCGGAGAGTATACTGGATCCTTTCAGGGACACAGATTCAGACCAGGATAAATTCAAAAATTCTATTCTGAAGCTCAGTCACTACCGAAGATCTGACCCAAGGGTAGTCTATCTCGAATGCAGGTTACAAATCTGAAACTGTCCTAAAAGGCCTCCTTATATCTCATTAGCTGAATTTCCATCACGTTTTCCCTTTCTTGCTCCTTGTACTAAGACAGCTTTTGTCCAGGGTTAATGCCCCGGAAAGAAAAAAGAACTAGAGCAACTGGTGGATCTTTCTGAATCCAGTTCAACGACCACTGCTCCCCCAAGTCCTTTCATAAGCCCCTGAAGAAATGGGACTTCAACAAGCTGAATCTGGATCACGGACTAGTAACCAGGCATGGGCAAAGGAGTAAGGAGCCTTGGATTTCATCATTTTTTCTGCCATTTATTAGCTGTATGACCTTGACTTACCTACTTGGGACTTCAGATTTCTTATCTGTGAAATTAGGGGATTTGTATAAGATTGTCAAGGTCACACACCTATTCTAAAATTATGTGGTTTTATTTTATAGAAAAACTGGGCAAAATATTTTCTAGGTTTTGCATATAATGATGAACTATGACAAGGATTTTGGGACTGTCTGGGGAGTACACAGCAGGTTGAACAGAGACTTCCAATGCTTATATAGTATACTGGCTCTGGCTAAGTGATATTTTGTTTATTGACTCATTAAGAACAAAGAAATTCTACTTGAAAATCATTTATTCACCACCTTCCACGTGCTAGGCTATTATTATGTGAGATGCTAAGGCTTCAGTGATGAGGAAGCCAGAGTAACTGCTCTCAGGAAGCTCAGGTAAGCATGCAAACTATTAATTTTAGTTGAATGTGGTAAGTAGTATTACTGACAGTTTTTCAAAGTGTGGGGGGAAGGTGCAAAGAACAAAGGGGTTCCTGGTGAAGAAAAGGGGGAAGAGAGTGTCAGGGAAGGTTCCCAGCTGAGAAGATTTTTGAGGGAAGTACTAGGAATATTTTAATCTTGAAGCTCCCTAGCAGTACAAGAACTATTTGGGCAGTAGCTTTATTTATTTATTTATTTTTTATTTTTTTATTTTTATTATACTTTATGTTTTAGGGTACATGTGCACAATGTGCAGGTTTGTTACATATGTATACAGGTGCCATGTTGGTGTGCTGGACCCATTAACTTGTCATTTAACATTAGGTATATCTCCTAATGCTATCCCTCCCCACTCCCCCCACCCCACAACAGGCCCTGGTGTGTGATGTTCCCCTTCCTGTGTCCATGTGTTCTCATTGTTCAATTCTCGCCTGTGAGTGAGAACATGCAGTGTTTGGTATTTTTGTCCTTGCAGCTTTTGATGACTCTACTCTTCAGCAAACCAATATGGCAACAGTGATTGGCCTTATGTGGAGGCTGAGCCAGCAAGCATTAGATTTTGCTGAGGGCCAGCTGCTTTTGATTCATGTATTTCTCTATGACAGTGGATGGTTCAGGTTTCAAATGGTGCATATTTTCCTGTAATGGGCCCAGGGGAGGACATACTGTTGAGCAGAGCTTTAGAGGTAGATTTATGGGCACAATGTTCAAGCCTTTAGATCACTTGTCTCTTTAGAAGTGGTGGGAATGGTTAGGGGTAGAGGAAGGAAGAGGCTCTTGGTATGCAAATGACTTCATAGTCAAAGTAAGGGCTCCCATTTCTACTTAGGAATCATTTCATCCAGGGAACATAGTACTGAGTATGCATATAGTGAGTTCTCCAGAAATATTTTACACATCAATAAATAGTTTCAGAATACTTAATATTTAATAGGTACTGTTGTAGGCATTTAATAAATATTTGTGGAATAAGTTAATTTATCATATTATCATATTGTTGGAATATTAATTCTAATGAGATTGATAATTCAGGATACTCATAAATGTAAGCCAAATGGGTAAGGGACTCTTTCCAAAATACGTCTTTTAATGGTTGGCCCCTCAGGCACCTGAAATGTTTGAATTTCCCAGTTCAGAGGCTTGAAGCTCATGAGGGCCAGACCATAAGAAGTTCCCCAAATCAAATGATTAGACCACCTGGGTCTCAGGCTGAAGTTCCTGTGCCTGAAATGGCATGACCATGCTGTTTCTTTTGGCTGACCCTGGCACCGACCTGAACAACTGGAATATTAAAAGGAAATTTTTGTTTCTGGAAGATTTGTGACTAGAAGAGTCACTGTGGTCTACACTGGGAGAGAGCTTAGCTAAGTCCAGTGATCAACATTCCATCCATCCGTGTCACTTGAGTGAACAAGTGCATCATTGGAATGTAAATGTACATTGGGCTATTTGGGGCTGTCGACCAGTCATCTCGATAATGTTAGCTGGAATCAGATCAATGCTTAGCTGAGGTAATTGAGACAGTGAAGTTTCAAATTGGGCAGGGAGGAGAAAACAGGGAAAAGAAGAGATAAATGCATAGGTTTTTGACATTAGTTACATTTTCTAAACAAACCAAAAACAATATGCTTATTCACACTGATAGATTTCATTTCCTTTTGATCTTTGGGAGTGATATTGAAATTTGGTTCAAATTTAGCTGCTAATCCTCAAGTACCATTGGTATTCAAATATATCATGATTTCTTTTCCAATCTCTCTTTATAAAGTCCAAAAATTATATGTTATCCCCAATTTCAACATGTTAAAACCTGCAAAGCCTGAGGCATAAAAAACAGCACTTGCAATTCCACTAACTTTGGTTTTTCCAGAAAGTGAAATTGTGATGCTTATTCAAAATAGCATAAATAAACTGGGCATGGTAGCATGTGCCTGTGGTCCCAGCTACTTGGGAGGCTGAAGTGTGAGGATTGCTTGAGCCTGGGAGGCCAAGGCTGCAGTGAGCTGTGATTGCCCTACTGCACTCCAGCCTGGGTGACCGAGTGAGATGTTGACTCAAAGAAAAATAGCAGAAATGAATGCAACCCGCATAGAACACAGAAGGGCATTTAAAAAACATACTAGCTAACTGATACAAACAAAACCTCAATAATAAATCCCTAGGGAAAATACAGAAAATAGTATTTCTTTTAGTTGTTATTTATTGCAATATCAAACTTTTATTGAGATGGGAACAGAGAGATGGAAACACAGAGAGACAGACTTATTTTTCTACCTCCTTGGATGTCTACTAGGCCTATAAAAGATACTTTTCACTCCCTAACAGGGGCCAATATTGGGAGGGAAACATCTGTCCTTCTCTCCTGGCTCCAAAGCTGACTGGTGGGATTGGGAAGAGGAGAGGAGCACTGAGACCTTCCTCTGTCTTATTTTCAGAACCACCTGAGCAAGCTATGTGTATGGTCTTCTTCTCTGCAGCGTGCAGTGAACTGTCCTGGATGGGGAATGGGATGAGGTGAGGCGGGAGCCTGTGGTTGTACAATTTTACCCCTAATTGGCCAATAACCTTAATTTGTAGGAAGGGGGCATTAGTTTCAAAATGTGGTCATAGATCTAGCCCAATTTTCCAGCCAGTCTTATGAACTGATACTGTGCTTTTCACTATTTGCCTCATGTCTTCTCTTAATGAATTCCAAATTCAGAGCAGATTTAAGGTGGTGAGCAGTTGTCACCCTAAATCTCTTTCAAGACACAGTGCTGCTGAGATTTCTCAAAGAAAGTGATTTTTTATTATTTCCTTTTATGATAGGGCTCTTTTTTTCCCCTGCTCTTTAGCTGGGTCCCTGAGTAAAGAGCAGAAGGGGTGTGAGAAGCTCATTATCTACTTTCCTCCTGTTCCACCACATCCTCACACATGATCCATTATTGCCACTTACATACAATCTGCCTTTCCGCCTCTATCCCCTCGCTTCCTTGATTTTGCATCACCGGGTACCCTGTGTTTATTTTTCACAGTCTTTACCCTTTTCTTAAATTCATTTCTTCCCTCTTAATCTTTACATATTTTCTGGCTTGCAAGATCTTACCTTAGCTAAGAGTGATATTTCTACCCCACCAAATGGGATCTATCAAACACTGCTTTGCAAGGTCTCCTGTATTGAATTGTCTTTTTGCATTGCAGTTGTTATTATTGTTGCATAACATCCTATTATTACATAACGAGGCCCAAAAATTCTATGGGGGAAATGTCTTAGATTTATACTTGTTTGTATGTCACAAAGAGCTTTGCAAATATTAGGTGCTTCATAAATATCAGCTCCTCATTTTACCTACTGGGCAGTCTTCGCAGTGTCATTTTAGTGTAGACATTTAAATGTGCTAGAGAAAGGTGGGAGCTCTGAAAAGTGATGACTCTATTTCAGCCAATAGTTTTAAAATGTGTAAACTCTTATTAGTTTCTGTCTCCATAAGTTGCTAATGGGGGTGACCAGAAAGGAGTAGTCTATTTTATTTTGGCTTAATAGAAACAAAAATGAACATTACCAAGTCTCTGCAGCACCACAGCCATCAAGCTAAGTGTGTTTTAGATATTTTCTCATTTAGTTATCAGAACTATAATATTGGTACTATCATTACCTTTGTTTCACCAGGGAAGCAGAGGCTCCAATATATTAACAGGTTTTAGGTATCAGAGCTGTGATTTGACCTTGAGGCTTCCTAACTCCAAACTTTTAGCCACAATGACACCTTGCCATAAAGCTTTTCCATAGCTATTCTCTATGGGGCTATTCAGGCATTCAGCAGGTGTTTGTGCTCTTCAGTTGTGATGAAAACCAGAGAAAGTATGTAGGGTGCTAGTATAAAGGTTGAGAATCCACTGGACCAGGGCTTAAATCTGATTCCCCTCATACAAATTCTGTCTGATTAGGAGTAGGTTCCTTAACCCTTCTTATCCTCAGTTCCATTATCTAAAATATTAGGATCATAATTCTGTTAAATGAGATATTGCTGACAAAACACTAAGCACAGCACCTGTACATGCTCAAGGAGTGTGAGCTGCCATTATTACAATTACATGCCGGCTTAACACTTCCACAGATGACATCAATGAAGGTAAATGAGGAAATTAGCCAATGGAGTCCTGTGTAAAAGGAATACTTGGAAAGACTGACAGAACTGCAGTCTCCATAGGAGGCGAGATATCTATAGCATATCAATATTTTCAAAACACATTATTCTTTTCTTTAGATATAAACGCAATAGCATGACACCTAACAGTTAGTCCCACAAAGCTGCAAGGACAATAAAGATGTATACATATGAACATGAAAGGATTGGGAATGAAGGACTCATGAGCAGGTTATGTGAGACACTCTCCCAACCCATGCACTATTTCGGGTCATCTGTAAGGGCTCTAGTAGAGCCCTCTGTGCTGCCTGCGGAGAACCCTGAGGCATTTGGACAGCATGCTGCCTATGGTGAAGGAGGTACAGGTCCCAAGTCAGGAGATAGAGGTTTCACTGCATTGGACTGGGAAATTGGAAATACTTGTTTAAAATCTTTTACTGTGTTTCTTCAGGTTCTCTGCTTTTTTGTTTTTTGATTTTTTTTTTTTTTTTTTTTTTTGCCAAATACATTTAGGGCTGTGATGGCTTTATATTTGAAAGGCTGGGGTATAAGAAAGAGTACTACCTTAGGGTGAGCAGACTGGCTTGGCATACTCACTCTCACTCCTTATTAGCATAAGGACCCTGAAGAAACCCCTTACGGGGCCGAGCCACTGCCATCTGCAAAGTGGAGACCATATCCATATGTATACTTCTTCCCATTAACTTCAAGGATTGCTACGAGGGCCAAGAAGGTAAAGATGTAAAGTACTAAGCTATGCAAATATTTTCCTGAAGAGCTGTCTGTCCTACCACTGCTCTGCGCCCTTGTCCCTCCCCAAATCCCTTTTTTTTTTTTTGCTTTCTAATGAACTCATAGAATGTACTGTCTTGCTCCACGTACTGTTTCCTCCAAACCTCCCCACCTAAATCTGTGAAAAGGAATAGGGGCTGGGCGTGGTGCCTCATGCCTGTAATTCCACCACTTTGGGAGGCCGAGGTGGGTGGATCACCTTAGGTTAGGAGTTCAAGACCAGCCTGACCAATATGGTGAAACCCCGTCTTTACTAAAAATACAAAAATTAGCCAGATGTGGTGGTATGTGCCTGTAGTCCCAGCTACTAGGGAGGCTGAGACAAGAGAATTACCTGAACCTGGGAGGCAGAGGTTGCAGTGAGCCGAGATGGTACCACTGCACTCCACCCTGGGCGACAGAGCGAGACTCTGTCTCAAAAAAAAAAAAGGGGGGAGGTTCCAAGATGGCCAATAAGGAACAGCTCCAGTCTACAGCTCCCAGCATGAGCAATGCAGAAGACAGGTGATTTCTGCATTTCCAACTGAGGTACTGGGTTCATCTCACTGGGGCTTGTCAGACAGTGGGTGCAGCCCACGAAGCAGGGAAGGGCATCGCCTCACCCAGGAAGAACAAGCAGTTGGGAAATTCCCTTTCCTAGCCAAGGGCAGCCATGACAGACGGTACCTGGAAAATTGGGAAACTCCAAACCTAATACTGCGCTTTTCCAATGTTCTTAGCAAATGGCACACCAGCAGATTATATCCTGTGCCTGGCTCAGAGGGTCCCACGCCCAAGGAGCCTCGCTCACTGCTAGCACAACAGTCTGAGATTGAACTGCAAGGTGGCAGCAAGGCTGGGGGAGGGGCGTCTGCCATTGCTGAGGCTTGAGTAGGTAAACAAAGCAGCCAGGAAGCTCGAACTGGCTGGAGCCCACCGCAGCTCAAGGAGGCCTGCCTGCCTCTGTAGACTCCACCTCTGGCAGCAGGGCATAGCTGAACAAAAGGCAGCAGAAACTTCTGCAGACTTAAACGTCCCTGTCTGACAGCTTTGAAGAGAGTAGTGGTTATCCCAGCACAGACTTTGAGATCTGAGAATAGACCGACTGCCTCCTCAAGTGGGTCCCTGACCCCTGAGTAGCCTAACTGGGAGACATCTCCCAGTAGGAGCTGAATGACACTTCATACAGCCGGGTGCCCCTCTGAGACGAACCTTCCAGAGGAAGGATCAGGCTATAACATGTGCTGTTCTGCAATATTTGCTGATCTGCAGCCTCTGCTGGTGATACCCAGAAAAACAGGGTCTGGAGTGGACCTCCAGTAAACTGCAGCAGACCTGCATCTGAGGGTCCTGACTGTGAGAAGGAAAACTAACAAACAGAAAGGACATCCACACCAAAACCCCATCTATATGTCACCATCATGAAAGACCAAACGTAGATAAAACCAAAAAGATGGGGAGAAACCAGAGCAGAAAAGCTGAAAATTCTAAAAATCAGGGAACCTCTTCTCCTCCAAAGGAATGCAGCTCCTCGCCAGCAATGGAACAAAGCTGAACAGATAATGACTTTGACGAGTTGAGAGAAGAAGGCTTCAAACGATTTGTAATAACAAACTTCTTCGAGCTAAAGGAGGATGTTCGAACCCATCACAAAGAAGCTAAAAACCTTGAAAAAAGATTAGATGAATGGCTAACTAGAATAAACAGTGTAGAAAAGACCTTAAATGAACTGATGGAGCTGAAAACCATGGCACGAGAACTACGTGATCCATGCACAAGCTTCAGTAGCTGATTTGATCAAGTGGAAGAAAGGGTGTCAGTGATTGAAGATCAAATGAATGAAAAGAAGCAAGAAGAGAAGTTTAGAAAGAAAAGAGTAAAAAGAAATGAACAAAGCCTCCAAGAAATATGGGACAATGTGAAAAGATCGAATCTATGTCTGATTGGTGTACCTGAAAGTGACGGGGAGAATGGAACCAAGTTGGAAAACACTCTTCAGGATATTATCCAGGAGAACTTCCCCAACCTAGCAAGGCAGGCCAACATTCAAATTCAGGAAATACAGAGAATGCCACAAAGACACTGCTTGAGAAGAGCAACTCCAAGACACATAATTGTCTGATTAACCAAAGTTGAAATGAAGGAAAAAATGTTAAGGGCAGCCAGAGAGAAAGGTCGGGTTACCCACAAAGGGAAGCCCATCAGACTAACAGCGGATCTCTCGGCAGAAATTCTATAGGCCAGAAGAGAGTGGGGGGCAATAGTCAACATTCTTAAAGAAAAGAATTTTCAAACCAGAATTTCATATCCAGCCAAACTAAGCTTCATAAGTGAAGGAGAAATAAAGTACTTTACAGACAAACAAATGCTGAGAGATTTTTGTCACCACCAGGCATGCCTTACAAGAGTTCCTGAAGGAAGCACTAAACATGGAAAGGAAAAACCAGTATCAGCCACTGCAAAAACATGCCAACTTGTAAAGACCAACGATGCTAGAAAGAAACTGCATCAACTAATGAGCAAAATAACCAGCTAACATCATAATGACAGGATCAAATTCACACATAACAATATTAACCTAAAATGTAAATGGGCTAAATGCTTCAGTTAAAAGACACAGACTGGGAAATTGGAGGGAGTCAAGACCCATCAGTGTGCTGTATTCGGGAGACCCATGTCACGTGCAGAGACACACATAGGCTCAAAATAAAGGGATGGAGGAAGATCTAATAAGCAAATGGAAAACAAAAAAAAGCAGGGGTTGCAATCCTAGTCTCTGATAAAACAGACTTTGAACCAACAAAGATCAAAAGAGACAAAGAAGGCCGTTACATAATGGTAACTGAATCAATTCACCAAGAAGAGCTAACTGTCCAAAATATATACGCACCCAATACAGGAGCACCCAGATTCATAAAGCAAGCCCTTAGAGACTTACAAAGAGACTTAGACTCCCACATAGTAATAATGGGAGACTTTAACACCCCACTGTCAACATTAGACAGATCAATAAGACAGAAAGTTAACAAGGATATCCAGGAATTGAAGTCAGCTCTGCATCAAGGGGACCTAATAGACATCTACAGAACTCTCCACCCCAAATCAACAGAATATACATTCTTCTCAGCACCACATCGCACTTATTCCAAAATTGACCACATAGCTGGAAGTAAAGCACTCCTCAGCAAATGTAAAATAACAGAAATTATAACAAACTGTCTCTCAGACCACAGTGCAATCAAACTAGGACTCAGGATTAAGAAACTCACTCAAAACCGCTCAACTACATGGAAACGGAACAACCTGCTCCTGAATGACTGCTGGGTACATAACGAAATGAAGACAGAAATAAAGATGTTCTTTGAAACCAACGAGAACAAAGATACAACATAGCAGAATGTCTGGCACACATTTAAAGCAGTGTGTAGAGGGAAATTTATAGCACTAAATGCCCACAAGAGAAAGCAGGAAAGATCTAAAATTGACACCCTAACATCACAATTAAAAGAACTATAGAAGCAAGAGCAAACACATTCAAAAGCTAGCAGAAGGCAAGAAATAACTAAGATCAGAGCAGAACAGAAGGAGATAGAGACACAAAAAACCTTCAAAAAAATCAATGAATCTAGGAGCTAGTTTTTTGAAAAGATCAGCAAAACTGATAGACCACTAGCAAGACTAATAAAGAAGAAAAGAGAGAAGAATCAAATAGATGCAATAAAAAATGATAAAGGGGATATCACCACCAATCCCACAGAAATACAAACTACCATCAGAGAATACTATAAACACCCCTATGCAAATAAACTAGAAAATCTAGAAGAAATAGATAAATTCCTTGACATAGACACCCTCCCAAGACTAAACCAGGAAGAAGCTGAATCCCTGAAGAGACCAATAACAGGCTCTGAAATTGAGCCAATAATTAATAGCCTACTAACCAAAAAAAGTCCAGGACCAGACGGATTCACAGCTGAATTCTACCACAGGTACAAAGACAAGCTGGTACCATTCCTTCTGAAACTATTCCAATCAATAGAAAAAGAGGGAATCCTCCCTAACTCATTTTATGAGACCAGCATCATCCTGATACCAAAGCCTGGCAGAGACACAACAAAAAAAGAGAATTTTAGACCAATATCCCTGATGAACATCGATGCAAAAGTCCTCAATAAAATTCTGGCAAACCGAATTCAGCAGCACGTCAAAAAGCTTATCCACCATGATCAAGTTGGCTTCATCCCTGGGATGCAAGGCTGGTTCAACATACGCAAATCAATAAACGTAATCCAGCATATAAACAGAACCAATGACAAAAAATCATATGATTATCTCAATAGATGCAGGAAAGGCCTTTGACAAAATTCAACAGCTCTTCATGCTAAAAACTCCCAATAAACTAGGCATTGATGGCAAATATCTCAAAATAATAAGAGCTATTAATGACAAACCCACAGCCAGTATCATACTGAATGGGCAAAAACTGGGAGCATTCCCTTTGAAAACTGGCACAAGAAAGGGATGCCCTCTCTCACCACTCCTATTCAACGTAGTGCTGGAAGTTCTGGTCACGGCAATCAGGCAGGAGAAAGAAATAAGGGGTAGTTAATTAGGAAAAGAGGAAGTCATTAATTGTCCCTGTTTGCAGATGACATGATTGTATATTTAGAAAACCCCACCGTCTCAGCCCAAAATCTCCTTAAGCTAATAAGCAACTTCAGCAAAGTCTCAGGATACAAAATCAATGTACAAAAATCACAAGCATTCTCATACACCAATAACAGACAGAGAACCAAATCATGAGTGAACTCCCATTCACAGTTGCTTCAAAGAGAATAAAACACCTAGGAATCCAACTTACAAGGGATGTGAAGGACCTCTTCAAGGAGAACTACAAACCACTGCTCAGTGAAATAAAAGAGGATACAAACAAATGGAAAAACATTCCATGCTCATGGACAGGAAGAATCAATATCGTGAAAATGGCCATACTGCCCAAGGTAATTTATAGATTCAGTGCCATCCCCATCAAGCTACCAATAACTTTCTTCACAGAATTGGAAAAAACTACTTTAAAGTTCATGTGGAACCAGAAAAGAGTCCACATTGCCAAGAAAATCCTAAGCCAAAAGAACAAAGCTGGAGGCATCACGCTACCTGACTTCAAACTGTACTACAAGGGTACAGTAACCAAAACAGCATGGTACTGGTACCAAAACAGATATAGACGAATGGAACAGAACATAGCCCTCAGAAATAATACCACACATCTACAGCCATCTGATCTTTGATAAACTTGACAAAACAAAACAAAAACAAGAAATGGGGAAAGGATTCCCTATTTAATAAATGGTGCTGGGAAAACTGGCTAGCCTTATGTAGAAAGCTGAAACTGGATCCCTTCCTTATATCTTATACAAAAATTAATTCAAGATGGATTAAAGACTTAAATGTTAGACCTAAAGCCATAAAAACCCTAGAAGAAAACCTAGCCATTACCATTCAGGACATAGGCATGGGCAAGGACTTCATGTCTAAAACACCAAAAGCAATGGCAACAAAAGCCAAAATTGACAAATGGGATCTAATTAAACTAAAGAGCTTCTGCACAGCAAAAGAAACTACCATCAGAGTGAACAGGCAACCTACAGAATGGGAGAAAATTTTTACAATCTACCCATCTGACAAAGGGCTAATATCCAGAATCTCCAAAGAACTCAAACAAACTTACAAGAAAAAAACAAACAACCCCATCAACAAGTGGGCAAAGGATATGAACAGACACTTCTCAAAAGAAGACGTTTATGCAGCCAACAGACACATGAAAAAATGCTCACCATCACTGGCCATCAGAGTAATGCAGATCAAAACCACAGTGAGATACCATCTCACACCAGTTAGAATGGCGATCATTAAAAAGTCAGGAAACAACAGGTGCTGGAGAGGATGTGGAGAAATACGAACACTTTTGCACTGTTGGTGGGACTGTAAACTAGTTCAATCATTGTGGAAGACAGTGTGGCGATTCCTCAGGGATCTAGAACTAGAAATACCATTTGACCCAGCCATCCCATTACTGGGTATATACCCAAAGGATTATAAATCATGCTGCTATAAAGACACATGCACACGTATGTTTATTGCAGCACTATTCACGATAGCAAAGATTTGGAACCAACCCAAACGTCTGTCAATGATAGATTGGATTAAGAAAATGTGGCACATATACACCATGGAATACTATGCAGCCATAAAAAATGATGAGTTCATGTCCTTTGTAGGGACATGGATGAAGCTGGAAACCATCATTCTCAGCAAACTATCGCAAGGACCGAAAACCAGACCCCGCATGTTCTCACTCATAGGTGGGAATTGAACAATGCAAACACTTGGACACAGGGTGGGGAACATCACACGCCGGGGCCTGTTGTGAGGTGGGGGAAAGGGGTAGGGATAGCATTAGGAGATATACCTAATGTGAATGTCATGTTAATGGGTGCAGCACACCACCATGGCACATGTATACATATGTAACAAAACTGCACGTTGTGCCCATGTACCCTAGAAGTTAAAGTATTAAAAAAAAAAGAATAGGAACGTTTGAGAATTGAAAAAAAAAATAACCAGCATATTTTTGCTGTTGGCCTTTATCTACCGAGGTTGAGCATCTTGGTCCAGCCATGGGTCAGCCACCGTTCTTTATCCACAGTTCTCTTGGAACCTCCTGTTGTGGCTGATTGGAAATGTAGCCCCACTCGGAACACCTCTGTGATTGTTTAGGTCGTGGTTCTCCTCATGCTCCGCAATCTAAATCCAAGGGTCTTCTCAGAGTAGTTTACTGAAGTCCTATCATCAGGCAGGTAACAATGTGTTATAGATGAGGCAGCAAGGTCTGGAAAAGAGAAGTGACTAACCTGAGGCTTCTAGGTGAGGGAGTAGGAAGTAGACCTTTTCATTACTCTGTGCTGTGCTTCCACTGAAAAATGGAAGAGAGCCAGGGTCAGAAGAGGGGAGAGTTGGAGGAATAGACAAAAACATAAAAAATGGAAGTGGCTACTACTTCCTTTTCTAGCAGTAAAGACATTTATACAAACATACCTACTATTATAATATATGCATGGTATAGTAGATATACAGCTATGCAAGCCTTCCCACTCCCTAGCTGCTCACTACAAAAATTCATCAACAACTACCTAGAATCAGGAAAGTCTGAGAAAAACTCCGTATCAGATACACCTGGTCCAGTTTTAACTCTTGCTTATTTTTAAGAAATTTAAAAAATTATGGAAAAGAATAAAGATGAAACTATAATAATCTCAATTTCCATTACTCAAAATGAACCATTATCAATATACTGGTATATTTGCTTCCAGTCTTTTTAAAAATAAAAATAGCTTATTATTATGTTTATAAAATTATAATTTTATACATTTCAAAATAAAGTGTATTAAATTTGATTTTACTTGAACTTGTAGAAGCAAGGCTAAAGGTATTATTAAATTTCAAATTCATATTGCTTTGTATCAAAAAATATTTTTTGTAAAAGTACTTTTTAACGTTAAGAGAACATGATAAACATTGGTGTTGGAATCAAGACTTTTAAAGGGCTGTATTTTAATTTTCAACATTTTAAATTTACTTCCTGCTATGAAAGAAAAAAGGCCATGGCCTTTTTTTCCACATCTTCACATTTTCTCTATCATCACCTCCAACTTTTGTAAGTTTTATTATTTTTTTACATTGTTTGGGTTTATAATATTGAATTTTGTTCTGTAATTACTGTTTTCATATGCTAAATAGGCAATATTTAAGTGGATTGAACCACTGGTTTTTTAAAAGACACATACCTTCTCTGTTTTAATTTTGATTAAAATGAATTGGCAAGTTTTTGTCATCTGTTTTGTTCAGACAAGCTCATGGTATTATGTTCCTTTAGTGCTCTCCTGGTTCATAATGCCTAATGCTTTTATACTTGATTGTCATCTTGGCTATGACATTATTGGGTCATGCTATTTTCACCTCAGAACAATTGTTCCATTGTCTTATAGCATTGGCTAATTCTGTGGAGAAGTCTAGGGCAGCATGATTTTAATCCCTTTTGGGTTATTTGTTTTTTCTGTCCAAATGCCTGAAATAATTTTATCCCTGAAATTCAAGAGCTTGGCTAGGATCTGTCTTGGTACAGAGAGTCCTGTATTAAATTTTCTCATTGCACATGTTCTTTTCCACTATATATAATTAAAAAATATTTCTTTTAATTCAGCTAAATTTTCTTGTATTATATTTTTGAATATATTAACTATTATTAATATATTAGAATATATTATCTATTAGGCTATTTCAAGTATATAAGTGTCTTGTATCTTTCATATCAATTCTCATTGATTTATCTTCTTAAATCTGCCTGTACCCTAAGTAGCTGAAACTTTTATTCTATTTGTAATTTCATTATCAGTGGTGCTTATTCGGTTCCTTGCTCTTCTAATTTATTTGCTATTTCTTTCATGATACTGCTTTGATTTTTTCAATATGTTTCCATAAATCTTCAGTTTTCTTTTTCATAACACTCTTTTTTCATCATTTTATTTTTGGCCCAATATTGAATTTGTATTCTTTTTAAGATGTTTTGTGTCAAGAAGTCAAGAAGGACTTGTGAGAAAAGTTTTTTCAAGTTTTAAAAAAAGTTAAAAGAATCTTTCAGACAGTATGCTTCCTTCTTCAATGATTATGAAAAAACAATCTTCCCAGTTGAATTGAAACAAAAAGCCCAGAATTATGTTGAGACACCTGCATGTTTTGATTGTGATTTCCTAGCTGACATTTCTGACAGAAGCCAAGACAGCAAAAGGGATTTGTAGATAATCAAGCTGGACACTGGCATCTACCCAGAAAGCTGACATCATTTCATCAAGTGTTTCTTTACTATGACTTGTAAGTTTTCTATTCCTACTCTGTTTCAATTCCTGAGCTTGTGGGCTTTCTGTGAAGTCACTGTTTCTAATTTTTGCAGGTTTAAGCCCATGCACTTGCACAGAGAAAGATTAAGAAACCTCCCTTTAGCCCATATCTTCTATGTTAACTAGAATACAAATACATGAGAAAATTTTAAATTAAAATTTAAATCATCACATGCTGGGAATTTTCTCTATAGATTAAAAAATTTACCGCATCCAACAATACTTCTTTTGACGTCAGAAGCTAAAAAAATAAAAAATAAAAAATTGAACTGGTTGAGAAGATTCAGTGCAAAGGAACAACGCAGAGTCAAATCTTTCTAAGACCAACAGCAACATATTCATAAGGAAGATGCAAAGACTTAAGACTTATATGGTATTTAAACTGTATTCAAGTAATAGCAAGATAATTGGTAAGAAAATTAACCAGCTTCATTTATGAGATCTCAATTTATCATAATACTCAATGTTTTTATAGTTTCTCCTCAATGCTCTCACAGTTAGATGGAGGTAATCCATTTCTATTACATGTGCTAAATTTAGTGGTCCTCTTAAATGATGCTCAGTAATGGGCTGTTTCAGCAAATATAATCAAGTTGTTTCACTTAACTTTAGCATGCAAATTCAAGCTCCCTAGAGTAGTTCAAAACAGAAAAACTTGCTGGCATGGCATATGCTGATGGTTTTGTTTGATTCTCCTTAGACTGAGAGTTGGAGTTAGCAAATAATGTGTTTGTAATTGTATATGGAAAACTTTATAACACCATGCAAATGTTTAACAGTATAGTGATTTTTGTTCAAAGTACATGTTCGCCAAAATCTCCTACTTTCTAGAAATATTTAACAAAGTATAAAATATAAATTTTATTAAACCTTGCTTAAGAGTCAATTCTAGACACACAGGAAGGGGGAAAATCCAACTTTTGTTTAGTTTCTAAAATGGGAGAAATGTAAAATTTAGAAAAACCTAGATATTATGAGCAATGTTTCTCTTTTCTGGTAGCTTATGATTTTCGGAGCCCTTCACTCACTAGAATCATTGTGAATATCTGGGTCCTCTAGGGATGTATTCTTAGGGTAAAAGATGCCCTAATTTCTTTTGTTGTCTTTTCTTATGTTTATCACACTTTGTATTGTCTTTTGAGGTAGGGGGCCAGCAGGAGTTGTTTTCTGGTCACAGCCCTGCTGACCAAAACAAGATCTGGTCCAGACAGGATAAAATGAAGAAACTGGCAGGAACCAGCAGATGGTGACAAAAGTGATCCCTAGCTTCCCTCATTGCTCATTAGCACAAGACACTCCCACCAGTGCCGTGACAGTTTACAAATGCCATGGCAAAGATCCAGAAGCTATCACCCCTTTCCATGGCAAGGACCTGAAAGTTACTGCCCCTTTCCTAGAAAGTTCTAAATAATCTGCCCCTCAATTTGCATTGGCCCACCCCTAAATTTGCTTGTAATTGAAAGTGGAGTTACCTGAGTATCAATACAGTTGCCAAGAGCCCCTTCATTGCTGACTCTGTGTGCGCTGCTTATGAGTTAGCACTGTTCCACTAGCAGCAATACTGTTCACTAATAGATTGCCGCTTAACACCATCAGCTCATCCTTAAATTCCTTCCTGGGTAAAGCCAAAAACGCTCCCAGGCTAAGCCCCAATTTGGGGGCTCACCTGTCCTGTAACACTGTCACTTGATGTCCTAGCTGCAGGCACATGTAATACCTAAAATATGTTTGTCTCAAAAAGCCAGCAGTGACAGAAAATGAATTTATTCACACAAAAGGAAATGGTGCCGGAGTTAAGATAGAAATGGTCATTTACCTCCACTTTAAAAAACAGAACAAATATTTGCTTGAGTATCTACTGAGATGGCCATTTTGCCAAATGGTATATGCAATACTTGCAATGAGCTTTGGGAGAAAAACAACTCCTTCCAGAATAATACAGGGCAATGAGCAGGGTTCCTTAGAATTGAGTCAGAGGGTGAGGTTCCACAGGAAATAGCAGTGGCTACTACTTCTCTCAGTTGTCCTTAAATAAGCAGTTGCTTTCTGGGACTGCCTGGTCAGACCTGGAAATCTATGAGTCTAGTCTTAGTGGCTACACAACAACAGTAACGGCACTAGATTATGTCTACAGAAGAGGAACTGGAATGCTTGACAGAAGGGAGGAAATCAAACTGATCCCTATGGATTAAAGGTCAATTTTTTTTTTTTGCTATGACTTCCAAATTTATCTCTGGTCATGTTTGTGAATTCCAGGCTCACAAATCCATCCATCTGTTTGACACCTCACAACTCACAGAATCACGAAACTAACGTGTTTGAAAATAGGACACTTGGTTCTCTGCTACCGCCTGCTTTGTGTCTTTCCTATCTTAATAATGATACCTCTGTATGTTGATCCAATTACTCCAAAGAGAAGCCCAGGAATCATTGGTGATAATTCTTTCCCTTATCCTACTCCATATATCCAATCTATCAGCAAGTCCTGTCAGTAATGTGTCTGGAATCTCTCTACTTCATTCCACTGGTCTAGGCCACCACCATCTCTCATTTAGATTAAAGCAACAGTGTCTGAATTTACAATCTGCCCTCCCAAACCCAACCCATTATCCGCCTGATGGGAAAGGTCACCTCTCAAAAGACATATCAGATTATGTTTCTGCCATGACTAAAATCTTTCAACAGCTTCTCAGCAAAAATAGAGTTTAAAATAAGATTCAAACTTCATATGATGGGCTACAAAGCTCTGCCTGATCTGGCCCCAGCCTCCTTTTCAACCCCACTCTCTGCCTCCTTGCTTCTCCTCCCTAACCCAGCTCATTAGGCCCTAGTCACCCCACTTGTCTCTCAGTGCCTCAGCATCTCATTCTGAGCTCTTTCTCACCTGAGAAGCTCTTGCTTGATGTAGATGACCTTCTCTCTAGCAGTCATCACCTCAGCCTCTTGTTTGTTTTCTCCATTACATCTATTTACACCTCACATTATACTGGAATTACTTTATTCATTTGCTTGCGTACCTGCTTCTTGTCTACCTTTGCCCACTAGTATGTAATGACTATGAGTCCAGAGACTGTCTTTGTAATTCTGCCTTTATCAGCAGCACATAGAGGGAACCCAGTAAATGTTTGTCAAATGAAGGAAGGAAGGAAGAGAAGAAAGGAAGGAAGGAAGGACTAGTGTGAAGGAGGCAAGACTGTGGCATACAGACACACTTCATGTTCTGCTGAGAGAAAAGCTGGAGCTAAGACATATGCTGAATTGATAATTAAGAACCAAAAGGAAAAGAGAAATGCAGCTTGGTCACCAAATCCCGAATCTCTTGGCTGGGGAGGTCACCTTGGCATTGCAGGGAAGCGATTTCAGAACAATAAACTTCTCACACTCATTAATTAGGAGGCAGTTTAGGAGGCTGTATAAATGAGTAGGAATGAATATCAAAAGGGCTTGGACAACTTTACGAATATTGGTGTCATATAAGGCTACCAAATGAGGAACGGGTGACGGCCTGAGGAAGAGCTACCATCCATTTTCTTTTTTGAGGGTCATAGCTCTTGTTGGTCTCTGTGTTGCATTCATTGTGCACAAAAGCAACCAGCACATTTTATCTTTAAACTGAGAGCTGTATGAAGTGCTTTATCCTCCCAACTCTTGTTTGGTGGACACTCCTGCTTTCCTAGTGAGAAGACAGAGTCTTGAGAAGCCGAGTGACCAGCTGCATGTCACATTTGGTGAAGCAAGAGCTGGGAAATGAAATGAAAGTGGTGCTGTCACCAGAGCCCCACTCCTGCCTTCTGTTCCCACCCTAATTAATATTCAGCATCCCAAGCCCTAGAGAAAATGACAAGATAGAGAAAATCGCATTTAGCATCTATTTCTCCATCCTTTACCCTGTTGGGTGGTCTCTACCCAGGCCCTCTAATCAGTTCTCAGAGCTCACCCCTGGTTGGAGTCCCTTTAGAAAGAATGAAAGCTGATAAGTCATTAACACTTTAGCATGAATTAGCTAATGACCCCACAGGGAAACCACTGACCTTTGTGAGGTGAAATATTTTGGCCGGAGGCCTTCCCCTCCCCCTCAAATCTCAGGCTGCTCCTCCTGGGTCCAAGCTGGCTAATGAGCATGTGTGGGCAGAAGAGTTCAATAAAGATTGACTGATTTATTGATCTATGGGAGCAAAGCTGAGCTTAATCTTCCCTTGCAGCTGCTCCTTTCCTTGCACATCTCTGGAGACTTGTGTTTGGCCCTGCCCAACATCACCATGCATAGCCTACCCTACTCCTTTGAACCAAGTCTTACTGGGAGTTTGATACGAAGTTAACCAGTGGCAGAGAAACATCTAGAGACCCTAAAGAGGGTCTCAAATCTGTAGCTCCAGGAGTTTCCATATCACATACAGGGAAAGCTAGCCAATGGTTTCCCACTGTCAGAGGGGCACAGAAGGAACAACACTAATCCCCCAGAGAAAGAACAAGTCAAAGCATCTCCAGGCCCCTGCCTCTATGTACAAAGCCATGAAGAGGCTGGGAGTGGCTCACAGACTGTGGCATGTGGGAGGAAAGGTGGTACTGGAGCTCTGGGTCCTCTTTGATCCCAAGCTGGTGTATTAGTCATTCTTGCTTTGCTATAAAGAAATATCTGAGACTGGGTAATTTGTAAAGAAAAGAGGTTTAATTGGCTCATGGTTCTGCAGGCAATACAGGAAGCATGGATGCATCTGTTTGGCTTCCAGGGAGGCCTCAGGAAACTTTCAATCATGGCAGAAGGTGAAAGGGAAGTGCATACGTCTTACACGGCCAGAGCAGGAAGAAGAGAGAGAGCAGGGGAGGTGCTACACACTTTTAAAATAACCAGATCTCATGAGAACTCACTCACTCTCACAACACAGTACCAAGGGGAAAATCTGCCCCATGATCCAATCACCTCCCACCAGGCTCCACCTCCAACACTGGGGATTACAATTTGACATGAGATTTGGGCAGGGACGCAGATCCAAACCATATCAGCTGGGAGAGGAGAAATGCCAGGGTGACTGCCCCAGCTAGTAGGTGGAGGAGGCGCAGCATCCAGCGTGGAGCAGAGCCCCCGAGTTGTCTTCTGAGCTGGGCCGCTGTGTGCAGAGCCTTATCTGGGCTGACACGCTCCTTGCCAACCAGTGCTGAAGGTGTGGTGTGGTTGTGGTGAAAGTGACGGTGGTGGTAGAGCCACCTTTAAGTGGGAATATTTGTCTTCAAGGTCCACACTGCACACCCCATGCTTAATTCTGGGGCTGCTCTTTGCAAAGGACACAAGAAACTACTCAATAACTGTCATATGAGCAAAGATGGAAGTAACTGGGGCTATTTATCCTAGACACAAAGGGACTTAGAGGTTACTTGAGAGCCTACTTCAAATACTGCTGGGATTGTCACACAGATGATGGCTCTGACTTGTTCTGTATCTCCCCAGAGGTTAGTATTAGAACCAATGGGTAGAAGATGGAGAGAAGATGAATCTCATCTAAAGAAGAGTTCTGTTATGACCAAAGGCATCTGAAGTGGAACAGGCATTCCCAGGAGCATGATGAGCTGCCCATCCCTAGGGACGTTCAAGAAGAGGCTGAGGGACTAGCTTGAATATTAAAATGCTCAAGCATTTGAGGAGAGATTAGGTTAGACTACTGAGGGCCCCTGCAACTCTGAGGTATAGGGTTCCAAGAAATCAAGAATATAGCAGCATCTGTCTATTTGGCTAAGAGCAGGATAGGTGAACATGCATCCATCTGTTTGGCTAAGAGCAGGATAGGTGAACATCCTTAGAACTCTCTACCTAAGCATAGGTAGCTGGGCACCAAATTGTTGGTTTTCCTGCGGAAAGAGAACATCACAGAAACTCTCAAAAGCAGCCTTTTAGCAATGGGGCTAAATCTGACTTCAGTGTTTCATTTTCAAATATGCCTAAACTCCAAAGCATGGAAAGATAGCATCTTAGTGAAGGGAACTTTCCTTTACTTCATACCTACCATGTTTTATGCCTTCACTGTCCCATATTTTAGCCACTATCTGCATGAGGCTGTTGAACACTTGGCATGTGCCTAGTCTGCATTGAGATGTGCCGTAAGTATAAAATACATATGATTTCAAAGATTTAGTATGACAAAAGGAATTTAAAATATCTCATTTATATTTTTATATTGGTGACATGTTAAAATAATATTTTGATATGTTGGGTTATAAAACATATAAATAAAATTAATGTCATCTGTTTCTTTTCCTTTTTAAAAAAGTGTAGCTAATAGAAATTTAAAATCACATATGTGGCTCACATTCTATATCTATTGAACAGTGCTATTCTAGATCCAGGATAAGTAGTTCTCTTCATTATCTTATTTAATCTTCACAACTATGACATGAAGTAGAAGACATTAGAATTTAGGGAGATTGAATAAATTGCCCAAGACCATGCAGCCAGTAAGTTGCCGCCTTGGGATTTGAACCCAGGCCCCATCGACTCTGTGACCACACTCTTCCACCACATGATGCCCCTATATTGATGTCCTCTTTAGGGAATTGCTGCTATGTTATAAAATGCTAAAGGAAGGAGGATGAGAAATGGTTGTGGAAATGCTGACAGCAGCTTAATTACATAATTAAAAATGCAGCAGGCTTCAGAAGTATGTGCATAGGCTCAGGAATGGACAGTGAACCTGGCTCCAAATTAATCCATGCCTGCAGGTAAAGGAGTCTGCAATCCTGGAACGTTGGAAATGCATGTCACTAGGGGAATTTTAAAGTATCAGAGATAGAGGGGGCATTCCAGGGATAGAGCTTCTGAGCTCTGTGGCCTGGGTTTAAGCAGAGGCAGGAACCCTGCACCACCACATGAAAAGCCTTAATGTGAACATTCTGCTGTGCTGGGTGTTGGGATCACTGATGGAACAGGGAGAAGATGGGAGTTTAGGGAGTGTCCTAGGGGAATTTAGTAGCCTCCTTGATTCTGACTCAACAAAACTTACTATCATAAATAACCATCCTGGCTGGGTACAGTGACTCATACCTGTAATCCTAGCATTTTGGGAGGCTGAGGCAGGAGAATTGTTTCAGGCCAGGAGTTCAAGACCAGCCTGGGCTACATAGAAAGACCCTAATCTCTACAAAAAGTAAAATAAATAAATAAATACATAAATAAATAAATAACCATCCTATATATGGAACTTCTGTATCTGACTCAAGGGGCACTTTCATATTTTTTTTCTTGTTAGTGTAGTGAGGCAGGCTTGGACCTTTTTGGAAGGGGTTTTCACATTTCCCCATACACACAAATCCCCCTATCTCCTGGCCCTGCCTGCAGTGCCTCCTTAGAAGAGAGAGTGCTGCTTCCTCTGGCCTTGTTGGATCATGGGGTCTCCAAGCCAGGCTATTGGTAGGCTAACGGCTACATGTTGGGGGGCCCTCGAGGCTGTGCCACATGAAGGTTTCTTCTGGGGATCATCTGTCCATGTACTCACAGTTAGAAAAACAGAAGGCAGCCCTAGGCTGTTGAAGGGAGGAAAATCAATGACGGGCCTTCTGCAGTTCTGAGTTAAATAAATAAGTAAAATCACTCCCAAATAATATTCAGTTGAGAAGATTCATAAGAAGCAAAGTAAATGGCCTGTACAAATGCCCGACTGAGGAGAGAAAGAAAGCATGGTAATGATTTTGCCAGCCCAAAGGGAAGTGGAAGCAGAATTAGAAGGAAGTGATTGACTTACAATTACACTGACTAGGGATCCTGGGGTTTGTGACCGCTGAAAATTACTCAGGTAGCCCTAGAGCAGCAACAAAGCCCCCAAAGCCCAATGCTCCAAAGTGATTGGCTACATATAGTCAATTCTAGGTCACTGAGGAGGATGTGGGGCATGTGGAAGGGGCAGTGGGATGCTGGCCAGCTCAGGAGGTTCTGGGCAAAGCTGCAGGTAGGTGGAGCTGTTTCAAGGACAACACCACCCAGGACCATGAAAGCGGGGTGTGGAGAGACAGGAGATCAGTTACAAAGAGAAGAATTTTCATGCACAAGCCATAGAGAAAATTTGAGTGCCCAATCCTCCCAGCTTCTGAGGGCTCCAGAATGGTGTAGCAGAGGCCAGCAGATAGGACAGACAAATAAATGACCCTCAGCTTAGACCTATAGTTCCTTCAGCTCTGCATTCTAAATGTGGGAGAGTCTTCCAGAATGAACTTAAGGAAATGCAGTCGTTTTCCCTGCATGGCAACCTCAGAAGGCTGGGGCTGTACCTGCGGACAAACTCTAACAGACCTGCCAACTGGGGATTTTTCCAACTTCGTGGGACCTGCTTTTATTTCTAGCTAGTTTGTACTAGTAGTACTATTAGCAGTAAGGGTGGTGATCAATCAGAGGTCAGAGTAGGGCAGAGAAGGTCAAGAGAGGCCCTCTTTTTGTCGAAGGTAGAACAAGGCTGGTGTACCTCTGAAGATAATCCTCAACTCCCATTAGCCCCAACAATTCCATCACAATTTTTATCAGGTCCTAAACAAGGAAGTAAATTAATAAATCTGTTTTCTGTTTATTTTCCCAGTCCACATAGTAAGTAATTAATGTACATGAAATAAATGCCTGAAAGCTATAAAGTGAGGCTTTGCAGTTATGTTTTTCCAAGGGTCATTTATTGTATTTCCTCTGAAGTCAGCACACAATGGTAAAAGGGAGACTTACTGAACTAACTGCTTTGCAGGTGCTCCTGCTCCATTCAGATTCTTCCCTCCATGGCATGACCAGTGAACATCCATTAAGCTATGTCAATCGGGCCAGAAAAATACACATCTTCCTTTTCTAATAAGGGGGGCACATTATTTTAGACTTCTAAGGTGAGCCTTCTAGACTTCCAGACAGGGGCTGAGCAAAGCTTGTCATTTGACAACAGCTCCGGTAGAAACAGTGAAATGATAGCAAGAATTTGAAAGCCCAGTATGAGATGCACAAATGGCACCTGGAGTTAAAAAGGGCTTAAAAATTAAAACTAGTTCAGCATCTTCCCTTGCCTCAACTGTTTCTCAGAGCAGTATAGAAAGCAAAACCCCCACAGATGCAGCTCTGCCACACAGTGTTAGCAAGTAAAGTGCAGAGCAGGTCACAGTATTTCTAATTCAGATTAATGACCCCATTCAGCACTGTCTCCTTAGCAGCAAATTAGAAAGTATAGGAAGGAGCAAATAGTGATTCATAATATGTGACTCTGAGTATTGGCAGTTGTGCTAGTTAAAAGCTAAGATATTGTTTTGATACAAAATAATTGAGTCTGACTTATTTATGGGATAAAGTGTTCCCCATAATAAGAGATTCTTTTTTTGTAAAGTTACATACCCATATATTTGAAAGACAGGAGAACTGACCTTTGCCCATTTTGTGTTTGCTGAAGCTCTGTTAGAAACAGTAATTTGGGGTAATAGGTTGGTAGGGTCTCATATGTTTCTGGTACTTTGCTGTTGATTCTATATCTTTTTTTTTTTTTTGGCCCCTCAACATCTCTCCCTACCAGGGCTTAGTCCTGGTCTTCCATTCTCCACTCTGCACACTTATTTTTCAGGGAACTTATTTAATTTAGGGGCTTCATTTGCCTCCTGTTTGCCTCCAGTCATGACCTTTTCCCCATGTCTTGCCATCTCACACTCTTCAACACACATACACACACACACACTTCAGTTAGATTCATATAGACTTATATATGAAACTCAACTCATTGTTGTCTCATGTATATTTCATTGTTTCTCTAAAAACCTGTTCATGGCCATGCATATCCATTCTTCTTTCCTTTGCCTTCCATATCTTTTTTTGTTGTTGCTGTTGTTTTAGATGGAGTCTCGCTCTGTTCCCAGGTTGGAGTGCAGTGGTGTGATCTCTGCTCACTGCAACCTCCACCTCCCAGGTTCAAATGATTCTCCTGCCTTATCCTCCAAGTAGCTGGGACTACAGGCACACACCACCATGCCTGGCTAATTTTTTGTATTTTTAGTAGAGATGGGGGTTTTGCCAGGTTGGCCAGTCTGGTCTTGAATTCCTGAACTCAGGTGATCCGCCCGCCTCTGCCTCCCAAAGTGCTGGGATCATAGGCGTGAGCCACCACGCCCGGCCTGCCTTCCATATCTCGTCTGTCACCAAGAGCTGCCCCTTCCTTTCTGGATTCAGCCTTTCTCATTCATTTCCTCACTCAATATATAAGCTTGGCTCAGTCTCTTTTGTTTAAGAGAGAGAAACAATTTCTTTGAGTAAGAGCCATGACAAGCCCAGTCTTTGGGCTTGTCCAATAAACTTTAACCTATGAGGATGCAGTCTTTGTTGTATGCTATAGGGATGTGTCCACTCACAGATCATACACCCAAATAGTGTTGATAAGAATTGAGAAGAGTTGGATGAGCTATAGAAATAAGAGCGTCTGAGATGTTATTCCCAGCCCCAAATCTAAATTGGAATCTCCTGGGGAGTTTTTTGAAAATGCAGATTACAGCCAGGCGTGGTGGCTCACGCCTATAATCCCACCACTTTGGGAGGCTGAGGTGGGTGGATCACCTGAAGTCAGGAGTTTGAGACCAGCCTGGCCAACATGATAAACCCCATCTCTACTAAAAATACAAAAAACTAGCCTGGTGTGGTCGTGGGTGCCTGTAATCCCAGCTACTCAGGAGGCTGAGGGAGGAGAATCACTTGAACCCTCAAGGTGGAGGTTGCAGTGAGCCAGGATCATGCCATTGCACTCCAGCCTGGGTAACAAGAGTGAAACTCTGTCTCAAAAGAAAAAAAAAAAGCAGATTACTCTTAAGTCTCAATCTCACCTCCCAGGAGGTGTCTTGCACACTCTCCTGCTACCAGTCTCCTTGCTTTTCCTGGAACGCAATGAGCATTTTTCCTTCCCAGGGCCTTTGCACTTGCTAATTCCTCTTTATAACTCTCTTCACCCAGATATCTGCATTGGCTTGCTCCATTACCCTGTTTAGGCCTCTGCTCCTCAGAGAGGTAATCACACTATCTAAAACAGCATCCTTCCATTTGCTCACTTTTATTCTGTCTTTCCTTAGATCTACATATTTATAATTTTTTGGCCTATCGCCCCTCCTAAATAGTGAGTTCTGTGGGGGCAAATGTTTTGTCTAGTTGGGTTACTGCTTTATTCTCAGAGTTAGTAAGAAGCTTCCCACATAGTAGGCACTCAAGCAATGTCTGTTGAATCAGTGAATGACAGATGGATCAGAGAGGCTGAGTTAATCAGGGAAGTCTAGTTCTAAAACAGTGGTTCTTAAAGCCTGGTCCTTGGATGAGCAGCTTTAGCATTGCTAGAGACATTGTTGGAAATGCACATTCTTGGGCTTCACCCCAGACCAGCTAAATCAGAAACTGGGAGGCAGCTATGTGTGCTTCAGCAAGCCTCCAGGTAACTCTGGTGCTTGCTAAAGCTTGAGAACCAATGCTCTAGATTGTTATTTTGGTGCCATGTTACCTCTTCCACCTATTCCTATTTGTCAAGACCATACAAAATATCTTATGGTGTTCATATTTGACACTCACAATGATCTTAGACTATTCTTTGATTGTTTCGGGTTTACTGGGTCAGGGAGCTGGCTTGTCCTGTGGTCCTCAGGCATCCAGGGATAACTCAGGATACATTTGTTGGTTACTTGATTTTGCTATATTCCTTATATATTCCTTTTTTTTTTTTTTTGGTTCTAAGTACCATAAGGAGAAAGGTTATACTCTTCCACTGAGAGTTAGTGCAAGTATATATTTTATTAGGATAGAGATGGGACATTGATTAAAAATACTTGTAGGTTGGTTAATTTTGACTGGTTGTTTTATTATGTGTTAGGAATGTAGTAAAGTAGTTAAGAGCATGGGCGTAGGAGTCAGATTTGGGCTGGACCAGCTTTTAATTGGGCAATAATGCCTGCCTCAGAGGGTTGATAGCACTGGTGTCCAATAGGCACTCAAAGTAGATGTTAATAACAGTAATATATTGGCATTTTTAGAACATAAAAAATTTGTTATGTTGGTGCACGCTTGAGTATATTTATTAAAGCAGAAAGATGACAGTGGTAAGTATATTTTAGGACAGTAGTTCTCACAAAGTAGTGTTCAGACTAGCAGGCTCAGCATCACCTGTAAATTGTCAGAAATGCAAATTCCCAGACCCCACTCAGATCTACTAAAACAGAATGTAACAGCAGATTTAGCAATCTATGGTTTAACAAACCCTCCAGGTGATTCAGATGCATACTCAAGTTGGGGAAGCCCTGCTTTAAAATAATGTACACACACTCTCCACACCACACACCCCTTGTATATGGTATGCTTATTTTGAGAAACAATCTATTAACAAATGAGAGGACCGTGGTAGCCAACAACTAGATAATTCCTGCTGAGGGATAAGTCAATAGGGTCCAGGTCATTCGAATTTGGGAAACAGACTCAATTCCTGGTTTCTGTATAAACTCATTCAGTGGACTAGCTTTCTGACAGGTCTTTGAAAAATGAGACCCCTGGTAACAGCCCTCTCTCTCAAATATTTCCCTGGCCTGCAGCAATTAAACAGCTGAGCAGGAAACTGGACCTGAAGTTCTGTTAACCCTTTGTCAGCTAAAGCACATGAGCAATCTGTCTTGCTGGAGAGATTTTATTTTCAACCTCTTTCCCTCTCACCACACTACAAAGGAAAACTGCCTCCTGAAACATCTCCTGGTGGAGCTGCGAGCTTCCGTGTCTGTGTGATTGAAAACAGCAAGGTCAGAGATCAACAGAAATGAATGGTCATTACAAACTAAATGCAGCTGCTGAATCTCCTTGTACTTCTCCTTGGTGTCATGAAGACAAATAGCATTAAAAAAAGTTTTCCCAGTGAAGCAGCTCTCATTTTCTCCTCTCTCATCCCCTTCCAAACATTTCTTAATGAACTACAAGTCCATCATCTATGAGCCTGATGGTTTTAAAGCTGAGCATTACCCAGCTAGAAACGATCAGAACTGAGTGGGTTAAGCCACTTTCTGAGTGCTTTCGTCCTTGTGTTGGTAAGTTGGGGCTTTTGTCTGTCCAAGTCCTTATTGTTACTATGTATGAAAACATCAAATCCATGGTAAAGTCAAGCCAGTTCTTCAGTGCCAGGCAAGACTTGAGTTGCTGAACAACGCTCCCTGTTTATTGATAATTGTGGTGTCTTTTCCTTTGTCTTTTCCATGCATTCATTTTTTTCCTTATTGTCCACATGTGCATTGTAGATTTTCGGCGCAAATGTTGAATTCTAGACCAGTATCTCCCATCATCTACTCAGAGGTTTATCAGGGAACTCAAGCTAATTTGAATGTGAGTTTACACAAAAAGCAATTGGGTTTATAATCTTATTTAATCCACATCTGTTAGAACCCAGTAATTCTTAGCTAGGCACAGTGGCTCACGACTGTAATCCCAGCACTTTGGAAGGCCCAGGTGGGCCGATCACTTAAGGTCAGGAGTTCGAGAGCAGCCAGACCAAAATGGTGAAACCCTGTCTCTACTAAAAATACAAAAATTAGCCGGGTGTGGTGGCATGTGCCTGTAATCCCAGCTACTCGGAGGCTGAGACAGGAGAATCGCTTGAACCCAGGTAGAAGTTGCAGTGAGCCGAGGTTGTGCCACTGTACTCGAGCCTGGGCAACAGAGTAAAACTGTGTCTTGAAAAAACAAAGAACCCAGTAACTCTTTATTGAGGAAGAACAGTTTCTGTTTCTAAAGTTGAGAAGTTTTGAATTTAGAAAATAGAATAGGCACCAACCAAAAGTGTCCAAGCAAATACCTCTTTAATAAGAATCTCCTGCATTGAAACCCAAACCAATTTTGATGAGGTCTTTGTGGTATTTAGCAAAATGCTTTGCTCACAGTAGATACTGAACACGTTTTTTTTAATTCAGTGTTACTTACAAATGTGAGTTTTAGCCACCAAAAGCATAAAAACCGGAATGACAATATAAGACATCTCATTTATAGTAAAATGAGAATTAATCAAATTTGAATTTGTACTCTGTTGGTACAGATGATGGAAGAAAGTGATGCAGGGCAGGTGAGCCCCAAAATGGGTTTAGCCCATGAGGGTTCTTGGCTTTGCCCAGGAAACAAATTCAAGGGCAAGCCAGAGATAGAAGAAAATAGCTTTATTGAAGCAGCAGTGTTACAGCTCTAGAAGTGTGATAGCTCCATGACTACTCCTGTAGAGCAGGCCTACCTAGTTGGCAGAGGGTAGCAGCTCAGGGCCGTTCTACAGTCATATTTATACCTACTTTTAATTACATGCAGATTTAGGGGCAGTTTATGCACAAATTTCTAGGGAAGGGGTTGTAACTTCTGGGTCTCAGGTCATTGCCATGGAAAGGGGCAGGAATTCCCAGTTGGCATGGCAATGGTAACCTGACATGGCACACTGGTGGGCCTATCTTACAGAAAGCTGCTTCTGCCCCATCTGTGTTTTAGCTAGTCCTCAATTTGGTCTGATGTCTGAGCCCCACCTCTGGAGTGGAATTTCCACCTCCTAGCTCAAAAGCATTGCATTCCTGGTTTTAAGTGAATAATCCTATGTAGAGCAGTCAATATGAGTCCACTGCTCCCACATAGGAAGTGTTTGATGGATATGACTTACCTTTTCCTCTACCCCTCAGGTGAATGATGGTGTGGAGGAAAAGTTTCAGAATTATCTGAAAAAGATTTCGAATCCATTTGTGCACTGAGTTTTATATATAGACAGATTAAACACTGTCTCTTACAGGGAGTTTCTACTATGGGTTTCCCAAATAAAAGTATACACACTATTGTGGTAAGTAAAATACACATTTATCTATAACCATTACAACATTCATTGCAGTTTTTTGCCATCCTATGTTTTCTCAACCACTGTCTGAGAAATTTATTTTTTATCTTTTATTTTAGGTTCAGGGTTACATGTGCAGGTTTGTTACATAGGTAAACTCATGTCGCAGGGGTTTGTTGTACAGATTATTTCATCACCCAGTTACCAAGCCTAGTACTCAATACTTATTTTTTTATCCTCTCCCCACTTTTATCTTCCACCCTCAAGTAGGCCGCCATGTCTGTTGTTCTCTTTGTGTCCATGAGTTCTCATCACTTAGCTCCCACTTATAAGTGAGAACATGTGATATTTAATTTTCTGTTCCTTTGTTAGTTTGCTAAGGATAACGGTCTCCAGCTCCATTCACATTCCCACAAAAAACATGATTTTGTTCTTTTTTTACGGCTGCATAGTATTCCGTGATGTATATGTACCACATTTTCTTTATCCAATCTGTCACTGATGGGCATTTAGATTGATTCCATGTCTTTGCTATTGTGAATACTGCTGCAATGAACATCATGAGCTTGTGTCTTTATGGCAGAATGATTTATATTCCTTTGGGTATATACCCAATAATGGGATTGTTGGGCCAAATTTTTTGAGTAGAAGAGGTTTCCTCCTACTGAAAAGCAGGAGGAATGGCTATTCTGTAACTTTGCCTAAGGCAGGGCTTCCCAGGTATAGTCTGAAACCCTGGTGTTTTCTTTTTAAAATGCAGATTACCCCACTCCATCTCTGACTCTTTGGATTAGAATCTCTCAGGTGGGGACCTAGTAATCTGCTTTTTAAAACACATTTCCTCATGTCAATTTTCTTGTGCATTGAAGTTTGAGAACTATTGGCTTAAGGGAATTAGAAAATACCTTCACACAATCAGGAGTCCTCTCCAGATGGATGAAGCTTTGTTTTTCAGGTTTTACTTGAAGATGGAATATCTCTTACCTTTTTAAATCTATACTGTCCAGAAGCTTGCTAGAATATCTATCAATCATGCCAGATATCTAGTGACAGTTTTAAAGCATTGTAGTCCTGCTGGAACTCTAAAACCAAAGAGAAATGGTTTTGGATCACCTACAGATGTGGCTTAGTCATATAACTATTTGTCTTCACTTGTGTACACTGAAATACCACGCAAAATTAGATTACAGTGGGGGAGGGAAGCCGGACCGCAGATCTGAAATCATTAGCAACTCCTGGGAGCATTCACCTGATTTGTGTATATTTACATATAATCTTCAGTAAAATTAGGAAACCCTTACCACCATCTGTGTTGCTATAGCAAAGTGCAGGGGCAGCAAATATCTGTTTTCTGTTTTGACACTCTTGTCTCTAGCAGCTAAACATTTCTAATCAATTCCAACAATCCTTCCCTTTGAGCCAGAATATTTATGTGTCAGAAGCTTGTGCTCTAGACAGCTGTTACTGGATGGGATGATTGGAAGATGAAATATATTTGCTATGTTTGGGGTGGTAAAGAGGATGGGTTTTGCCGTCAAATGGCTTAGAAGGTTCAAATCCCAGTCTTGCTCCTTATGAGTTATGGGATATAGAGCGAGAGTACCTTTTTGAGCTCATTACCACATCCTTCCAAGCTGTACTAAGAAAAACAACTAGAATTTTTTTTGGAGCCTTTTATTGCCAGGAATCCTAAACAATTTACATGCATTGTTTCTGTGTTTCTCAACAATCTTACGAGGGGCCATACGAGTTCCATAAGCAAGCATGGAGGAATTTACCGCAAAGTGCATCCTTGTTGCAGCCCCTTCTCTGGGATTATGGCTTTTATAGGCCACATTTATCGAGGGATTCATGAATGCAAGAGATCATTTTAATCACTTTATGAGGAGTAACCCATTTAATCCTCACAAGAATTCTAAGAGGTAGGCGTTCTTATCTCCAGTTTATATATGAGGTGCCTGAAGCTCAAAAAAAGGTTAAGTAACTCATAAGGGGTGGAGTTAGACCAGCGCTGCTCAAAATGAAGTCCTGGGCCAGCAGCAGCAGCACCAGGAATTTAGTAGGAAAAATGCAAATTTTCAAGCTCCTCTCCTGACCTCCTGAGTCAGAACTGTGGGTGGGGCCCAGAAATCCTGTGTTTTAACAGGCCCTCCAGGTGATTTTGAGGTACATTAAACTTTCAGAACCTGAAGCTTTCTGACAAAGGAGATTGGCAGGACAAAGAGAAGTATAAGGAGTGAGATTGTGACCTGAGGATGTTCGAAAACGGCTCATCCCTCCCTGGGAAGGAAGTACAAGTGAGTGCCTTTTTCTGCTTCCTTTCTGTATTTCCTTCTAGTATCTATCCTGGAATTCTGTATGTACTTTTTCCTGTTAATGAGGAAAATTGGTTGATTTTTTTCTTTTTCTTTTACTTTGTGTTACACGTTCCAGTAGAATAAACAAGAAGCAACAACCTAATCTCCTTTCAAATCCACACTGTCCTTAATTTATACGGCAATGTGAGTTCCTGCATTTCACTTCATGCAGGTTCTTTGCCTTCTCCTAGTCCTTCAATTCAGTTCAGCAAATTCTGACCATCTAGGAGGGTTTTGCACTCTATCTGTTATATGAATTTGGAAGTGCCTTGTTAGAGGACTGTGGCATGTAATAAAAATTACAATAAAAAGATGAATGTGGACAAAGCCCAGGTCTAAGGACTGCTTAGTCACTGCTTCACTGAATCCTCGTAACGATCTTATGTGGTAACTTATTATTGGCCCCATGCAAATGAGGATGCTTATCAAGCCCCACTAATGCTTACCAACCCTCCATTTTGAAAGTGACCTCATCTGCTGAGTGAGCTGCAGGGCCGGGATCCAACACCAGGTATGTCTGATGCCACTGCCAGCTGTCTTAGTAACGTGCTTTATGTGACAGAGGAAGGAGTGACAGAAATCTGAGGCCACTGACATCACTAAGGAGGTGAAGACAGAATCTGCTGCTTAGGGTTTTTGGAGAGAAATCGGAGGCTAGGATTTAGAGACTCTCCTTGGTTATTTCATCTTGATTTTCCTTCAGCTCAGGCACAAGATCAAGAACCCAGAAAGGCTCTTAAACTGTTCTTTGTTAACTGGATTCCATCGGACTGCTGTTGTTTAGCTTTCAGAAGGACAGAGAAAAGATTTCCTCTTAAGATGCTACACTGTTTAAGTGTTAAGCAGGAGACTTTTTAGTATTCAGAGACAGGGGAGGAATTAGCAGCCCTGTGCTGACTTGAAAATCAGATTGCAAGTCCCAGTGTCCCTGTGGGGTGTTCTTAGGGCTGCCCACCTCAAAACTCTATGGTGAGGCTTGGGGATGACAGAGGAATCATCCCAAAAAACCGCTTGTATTTTCCAAGGTGAAATTTGCTTTTGTGGGGGGAGGCGTAAAGAAGGAAAACAATTATTTATTTCTAATTCTAGAAAGTGCGGGTTACCTACATCTGCCGCCTTCCTGACATCTAACAGATTTGTTCTGCCTCTGCAAACATAAGCTAGTAACACATAAATACCCAGCCAGAGCAAGTTACAAAAAAAGCAAGACAACACCCAGCCCAGCATTGACCTGTGTCTTTGGAATGCGCACAGACTTTCTCTAGTTTTGGCCATTGGGGCTCTCCATAGTTTGCGTTTCATTCTCCAGCTCCAGCTCCCTTTGCTGTAGCACCTTAGCTTCCTATGTTCACTGCAGACTTCCCCATTTTTTTGTTTGAGACGGAGTCTTGCTCTGTCGCCCAGGCTGGAGTGATCTTGGCTTACTGCAAGCTCCGCCTCCTGGGTTCACGCCATTCTCATGCCTCAGCTTCCCGAGTAGCTGGGACTACAGGCGCCCGCCACCATGCCCGGCTAATTTTTTGTATTTTTAGTAGAGACGGGGTTTCACCGTGTTAGCCAGGATGGTCTCGGTCTCCTGACCTCGTGATCCACCCGCCTCGGTCTCCCAAAGTGCTGGGATTACAGGCGTGAGCCACCGCGCCCAGCCCAGACTTCCCTTTTCTAACAATCAGTTTTGGACCCTTGTCTCCAGGTCTTAGTTTTCCTGGGCATGCTTGTGAGATTTGCTTTGCGCCCACGCACCATCTGTAGTAGGGGATGTCCCTGCACTCTACCACTCTGACAGAGGAGTAACCCTTTCCAGAGGAGGAGGGAGTCAGTTGCCTAGTGTGATGGAAATTTCCCAGCTCCTAAAATCTGGGCAGTGGATCTCAAATTTCAGAGTACCTAAGAATCACCTGGGGCCTTTGTTAAACTTTAGATTGTCAGCTCCTGCTGACCCCTAATTCTGATTCAGTAGGTCTAAGAGCCCAGGATTGAATTCTAATAAGCAGCTGGGGAGTCCACATGTTTCACTTTGAGAATTAGTGATTTGGTTGTGGTATTAGAATGTTAGTGTCGCATCCAGCCTTTGGACGGCAGGAGTCGTGGGCAGGGGTGTGTGGGTGGTTACGTTGATGTCCAAACGGGGAGTGTCAGGCAGGGGTGCGGTAACAGTCTCAGGGGAACACATTACTCTTCCTTTCTTCCATCCCTTTCCCTCCTCCTTCCCTTCCAAAAGAAATTTTTTAAAGGACCTCTTACAAGGAACTTTGCTATGCTGGTTGGAGGTGAGGGGTCTGGAAAGCTTCAAGCTGATCCTCTTCTCCCCTTTATCCCTTGAGGAAGTTTCTAAGGCAGATTCATGGACACCGTTGGGTTCCTTCAGGAGTAGCTTGAAAATTAACTTGATCTAACTCCCATTTTACAGATGAAGAAACTGAGGTTTGGAGAAGGGACTGAAGAGAAGCTGGCCAGAGGCGTACCTGGACGATCACCCTGGCCTCCTCATTTTCAGGCCTTCGAGATTTTCCCAACTAGATTCTGTCAACAGCATGTCCAACATGAGGTCCACAGATGTTCTGGGGGAGAAAGGGGTGAGCTGTATAACCAAGGAAGTTTGGGTGTCACTAGATGAAGCCCGGGTAAGCAGGTTTCTTTACTGCAGGACTTCATAGACCTAGGAGATTGTAATGTGAACTGTGACTCTTCAATAAAAGTCATGGAGGCAGAGTTTTCCAAACTCGTTTAATAACAGACTCTTTTCCCCACTTTTTTTTTTTTTTTTTTTGAGATGGAGTCTGGCTCTGTCGCCCAGGCTGGAGTGCAGTGGCACGATCTCAGCTGACTGCAAGTTCTGCCTCCAGGGTTCAAGCGATTCTCCTGCCTCAGCCTCCCGAGTAGCTGGGACTACAGGCGCCCGCCACCACGCCCGGCTAATTTTTTGTATTTTTAGTAGAGATGGGGTTTCACCGTATTAGCCAGGATGGTCGTGATCTCCTGACCTCGTGATCCACCTGCCTCGGCCTCCCAAAGTGCTGGGATTACAGCCGCGAGCCACCGTGCCCAGCTAACTTTTCCCCACTTTTTAACATACTAGCATCCCAACAGACACTACTGTTGTAAGGAAAACTGTTTGGGGATTGTACACTCTGCTTCCCCGAAACAAGCCAGAGAGAGTTCATAGTCACCGAAGACGAGAATTCATAGGTTTTAAATTTACGTAGGCTTCTCCGGACTGGCCAACTCTGACACCCAGACACCCAGATGGCCACACCTAGGATCTAGATGGACTGACAAGTTCCCATGAGAAGGAAGCTGCAGGCCGGAAACAACTGGGCCCACTGAGCAGGCTGGCAGAGTGGGTGTCAGCCCCACTCCACCTTGGATGCAGAGGTTCTATTCTCAGGGTTGCTTAGCTTAAGGGACACCACTGAGTGTGTCAGGGAGGCACAGTTAGCTTGGTGTTCAGTTGAAGACACTGAGGATTGCTGTTGTCAAGGATGGAACAAGGGAGGAGGCAGTTACTGTGGATCACTTACCCGCCACCTGCTATTGGAGAAGACACATTACAGGGAACTTGACAGAGCCAGGAGGTGCTGGGGCATTTGTCAGGGTATAGTCTTGAGTTCAGAAGGCAGGGAGGATCTGAGCTGCCGGTCAACTTTGCCTTGTTTTCTGCTCATTTTTTAAGCTGTGGCTGTGATTTGTGCACCTTCACAGCCCATCCTTAGAAGGCTACTTAAAAGTGAGCATTGTAGGTTCTGCCTCTAGGTAAACCAGAGACTTGGTAGCAAGATGGGGATGGAAAAAAGTCAGAGTCTTGGAAAATAGGAAGATTAGGTCAAACCAACAGTGGTTGGGTCCCTTTCTTACAGACCTGGTTCTGAGGCAGAACACCCAGCAAGTGTACCCAGGGTGGGCATGAGCTGAACTACCATGAAATGAAAGAGGGTGCCTCTTCTGGTTAGGGACAATGACTGCAGGGCAGTGTGTCCTTGAAGGCACTGGCTAGCGGGAGGATGAACAGCCTCACAGTCCAGATTAACCTTTTATGGTGGACAAAGGGCCAGCCCAAGAGGCTCCCATGTCCTGCTGAATAACCATACATGGAAGAAAATTTGGTTTTGGGTTTGATTTTATTTTAATCATTAATTTGTTGTCTGATTAAAAAATAAGTCCATGTCCATTTATTTGTGAAAAGTACTAGAGTGTATTGTTATGAGCAAGGTATTTGGAGATTGAGTTTGAACCCAGAACTCATAAGCTGTGTGACTTTGCACAAGTCATTTACTATTTCCTCTTCTGTAAAATGGAGAAAAATAATCATAGCTACCCCCAAGTGATTGTTCTGAGGATTTAATGAGAGAACTTACTTAATGTCCTTAGTGCCTGAATGCAGTAAGCACTTAGATTTTAGCTATTATTATCATAACTGTTATAGTCTCACCAACCTAGATGATCTATTAATGCTTTCATATATTCTCTTTTTTAATTATGCATTTATGTTTTAAAATAGGCAGTATCATATTAGGCATATGCAATTTTGTGTCCTACTTCTTTTCAATTAATACTATATCCTGTGTGTGGAGCTTCTAATGGAACACAGGTAAGAGCATTGGCTTAGGAATAAGCAGACCTCAGTTAGAATTTAACTTTACAACTTACATACCCAGGTGTGTGGCTTTGGGAAAGGCTACTTAACCCTTCGGAGACTCAGTTTCTCAACTGAGTTGGTGTGATAATTGCTACTTACAAGGCTGTGAGGAGAATTAATAAGAAGGAAGGTTAAAGATCTAGGTCGAGACCTGGCAAGTTGTAAGTACTGAACACTTGTTGGTTCCCTTATCAAAGGAAAAGTATAGTAATGTTTCTGAGCTTCCAGAGTTAGAGTCTGTTGTATGTCTCTGCTGACTGAAAAATCTTAACATTTCCATCGATAGATCAATGCCATGCTGGAATGTCCATTTTATGTGTGACAGACAAGTATGTTAAATGTTCTCTTGTGCCTTGCCCCAGCTCTTGGCCAAGTTGCCGCTGAATAAACTTACAGATCACTGGACCTTGGGTCATGAACTTTCTTTTAGCTTTTCTTTTTTTCCTTGGCTCACTGCAACCTCTGCCTCCTGGGTTCAAGCGATTCTCATGCCTCACCCTACCGAGTAGCTGGGATTACCAGCGCATGCCACCATGCCCAGCTAGTTTTTGCATTTTTTAGTAGAGATGGGGTTTCACCATGTTGGCCAGGCTGGTCTCGAACTCCTGACCTTAGGTGATCCACCCACCTCAGCCTCCCAAAGTGTTGGGATTACAGGCGTCAGCCACCGTGCCCAATCTTCTCTAAGCTTTTTCCTCACACATTTTCTGTGATTCCTGAGAGTAAGATGAAAGTACGTCAGTCAGAGACATGGTATGAACACAGCTCCCCAGGGATTGGTGCTGGAACAATGCCCTACCCACCACCCAGTGGTGCTTCTACCTAAGGATTTATCAGGACTCTTCCTGCAAGGAGTTGGTAGTTATCTCCTGAACCACAAAGCAGAGATGTCTAAATATTATTGTTAGTTCACAGTTGCCTTAGTCAGTTAAGGCTGTTAAGTAACCAGAGACTGGTGGCTTATAAGCAACAAAAATTTATTTCTCACAGTTCTGGAGGCTGGGAATCCAGGATCAGGGTGCCAACATGATCAGGTTGTAGTGAGGACCCTCTTCCAGGTTGCAGACAGCCATCTTCTCACTGTGTCCTCACAAGGCACAGGGGTTTCAGGGAGTTCTCTGGAGTCTCTAAACTCATTCATGAGAGCCTCATCCTCATGACATAAGTACTTTCCAAAGGCCCTGTTGTGGGTGAGCAGTGACTATCTTAAGCTGGTATCATGAGGGCGGTAAGAAGAATTTACCAAGCCGTTGTAGACAAAGGCAAATTTATTAGAGAAAGTATGAAAATACATTGCAAGGAAGCAACGGGCAAGTTAGCAAGAGAGGAGCTAACTGCAAAGAGACAAAGGCTTGCTGGGGATTTTATAGAATGGTGCTTGTGCTATGTGCTAAAGAGGGCTTTGTGAAGTCCTGATAATGTCAAGATTGCGGTGAGCTAACTTGCATTTGTCTATCAGTGAAGGCTCTGGTGATAGCTGGGCGCAGGAAGATTGTGTTATTTGCGCAGGAGGGCTATGTGTTCTGGACCATGAAGAAAGGCAGACTCACAGCTTACCTGCTTTTTCTTTTCACTTTCTCCTGCTCCCACCAGCCTGACTTCCTTTCCCTAATTAGGACTCCACCCCTCTGCTGAACTACCATATAACTAATTAATTCTTTAATATAGCTACATAATATCCATAGTATGGATATGCCAAAATTTATCCAACCATTTCCTACCAATAGGTGTTCAGATTAGTTCCATTATTTATTTTTTTGGTTTGCTTTGTTTTACTATTACAAATAATATAGCAACAAACATTTTTGTACATATATCCTTAGCTACTGGTGACTTTATTCCCAGATATAAGATGGCTAGATCAAAGGATATGTACATTTAAAATTTTGACATTACTGAATTTCTTTATTAAAAAGTCTTAATTCACATTGTTCAAGTAATGATTAATAGTGCTTTTTTCTCCATATGCCTGTCAGCACTGAGTATTGTCACTCTGTAAGTGTTTACATTTTACATAGTTCTTTTTTTTTTTTTTTTTTTTTTTTTTTTTTTGAGATAGCGTCTCGCTCTGTCGCCCAGGCTGGAGTGCAGTGGTGCAATCTGAGCTCACTGCAAGCTCCGCCTCCCAGGTTCACACCATTCTCCTGCCTCAGCCTCCCGAGTAGCTGGGACTACAGGCGCCCACCACCATGCCCGGCTAAATTTTTGTATTTTTAGTAGAGACGAGGTTTCACTGTGTTAGCCAGGATGGTCTTGATCTCCTGACCTCGTGATCTGCCCACCTCGGCCTCCCAAAGTGCTGGGATTATAGGCATGAAGCACCACGCCCAGCCCTTTAAATAATTCTTTATAATGGATATGTTTATGATGGGCACAATCAGTTTTCCACTGTTACTTTCATTGGCATTTCCTTCACTGCTAGTAAGGCTGAGCATACCTTCACTGCAATGGCAATTTTGAGTTCTTTTTTTGTGAATTGTCAATTCACAGCCTTTGCTCATTCTTGTATTGGGTTGTCTTTTTAAAGGTAGTTTTGTTAGGACCACTTCTGTATTGTAGATACTTTTTTTTTCTGTAGAGGTTCATTTGATTCAAAAACTTATGTAAACATTAAAAAGGATAGTTGAGAACAAACACAGTATATAGTGAACTATTTGGACTTTATACTGCTTATTAAATCTCTAATATAAGTACATGATAAATGTTATGGACTAAATGTCTTTGTCCCCCGAAAATTCATATGTGGAAACTTAACTTTCAGAAGCCCCAGGGGTTCCAGGGATGTTACCCGAGGGGCCAGCAAATGAGACAGGGCTGAGTTCCCATGTCTGTGTCTGCCCCTCTACTCTTCATAACCTCCAGCTCTCAGCTGTCAATAGAACCACTCACTTTTATCCATTTTATGTATTGGAATTTTACATACAATTTATTTGAGGAAAGTCCTGGTGCTTAAAATCAAATTTGAACACCATTGTTTTAAGGAATGTTGCCTTAGCAGGGATAATTCTGATATGAATATTCCACACATTATATTTTGAGGGAGTTCAATAGCCACGTGTAAGAAACATGATAAGAATAATTCCTGATTCCTACTTTCTTGTTACTAATGCTGGAAATTTCTCAGACCTACTAATCTGGGCAGAGGCATTTTAATCTGTGTAGTGGACTGTTATTATAACCATAGTTATGTTTGTCCAGCATGTCCCTTAATCTTCCTTCTCCTAGTCATACAACCCCTGTTTCAGCAGGGAGCCCATCCCATGTGTTTTAGGGTAGATATATGACCCAAGGCTAACTAATTAGAATACACAGTCCACCTGGGTATAGCAAATGTTTCAGAGAGGATACATGATTAAGTTAGGCCAACCGGAGCCTGCCCTGAGATTTTTATTGGAATTATTGGGAAAATGGATCTGCTTGTTTCACTAGAACCACAAGCTGTAAGGATTAGGTAAACCTAGAGCTGCTGGTGGTTCTCTTTGCCATCACATAGGAAGAGTGTACCTTAAAATGAAGCCGAGACCAGAAAGGCAGAGCTGAGAAATTGAGGGATTTCTGAAGACACCGTTAAGCCCCTGGATCCAGCTATTCCTGGAGTTGGTTTGCCTCTTCAACTTCTCATTTATGCAAATTCCTTTTGCATTTGAGTTGAGTTTCTATCTCTTATAGCTCAGAGCCACAGCCTGCTCTCTGCATGATTCTTGCTGGTGGATGTCCTGAGCCAGGTTGTTGGGGAAAGAGAAAAGAATGAGCCCCTTCATGGGGAAGCAAACAATATTGAGAGGGGCTGCAGAATTGTGTAGAAAGTTGGAAGATATTGAACCCCCAATGAGGGACAGGCAGGGTAGAACATGAAAGAGAGGGGAGGTGAGATCAAAATTGCTGTGTTGCCCATGGTTCCCCTGAGATGTGAATACCTGTACTTTGAATTCCTCACTCCTGGGGATCTAAACCCTTGGGGGCATTTTGCCTCCATTTCCATGCATATCACTGAAGGCCTTTCTAATAGCGTGTTATCAGAAGACCTTGCACGAGTCAGTGTTCTGGACTGTGAGCAACAACTCAGGCAGGGAGTGGAGAAGGGCAGGACCATGAGATGGACTGGAGGAGCAGGAGGGTAAGCTGACAAGAGGGTGCTCTGTCAATGTTACCTGAGGCAGGACTGATTGTAGGAGAGCAATGGAGCTTAGAGGAAACTGCAGATGCAAGCACTGTGATGATATTCTTGGATCCATCAGAGACAATTTCCAGGGGAAGCAAAAGATCCAAGGAAGCAATGTCACAAAAAGGCAGATGTCTCTGCATTGTGATCCATGCCAGGGTCTCAGACCTTGCTGGTTGATTACATCATCCCTGTGATAAAGCAGTCAAGCAAATGTGTAGTCACCAGAATTCAGCATTTAAATGTTATTGCTATTTTTAAGGCTTACAGGTTGACATAGATTCAGTTCTGACTTGTGCACCCTGCGTTTATTAAAACAATTAAGTCTGTCTTACCTCCCCAACTCTGTCCTTCTATCCTTCTGTGTTTGTTTTATTTTTTCAAGAGGGCAATATTACGCACCCAGTTCACACACATCAGCCAGAAATTTTCATTCACCTACTGCCATTTTGCAGTCTCAAGTGAAAGCAATGGTAATCAAGTTATGGGCTGGAAATGTGATTCCTCTGTGGGTAACCAGGATGTTCCTGAGTAGCTGCTTCAGAGAGGGGCCAGGATGGGGCATACATCATCTGAACAGTGGGCCAGGTCTGGCAGCTGGTTCTTCACTGAAGCTATCACTTATTGCCATGGTTCCCAGTGGCAGCGTCAATAAGATCTCAGGGAAGGATAAACGGGAATGTAATAAATGGTGCAGCTGAAATAAATGCAAATGGAAAATCTGCAGGATCATCTGCCCAGGAGCAGCAGGTGAAAGCAAAGATAGAAACTCGATGCTTTCAATTAATAGACTGGCTAGCTGTAGGCGGGTAATTCCATTGTTAGAAACTGCCTGTTGTCACAATCCTGATACAGTAATGACTTCTTTTATTCCCTATAAAGCTGAAGATGTCAGAAACTAAAAATTTCCATAGCATAAATCATGCCTTTTTCAGCTTGTGACAGCCACTGTCTCAAACTCAATTAGTCATTGTGCACAAGGAAAGCCGAGATCATCACAGATTCACACATGCTTAATGGATAAAGCATGACTGGGGAGAGATTTCCTCTGTTTAATTTCTGCTGTTCGTGTTCATTGGTAGATCACATGGCTATTAAAATAAATAGGGCAGTGGAAGTTTCTTTTGGGCAGGGTTAAGCAGATGTTCTTTATTTAAAAAGATTGAATGCATTTTATCCTAGAGAGAAAATTTGGGAGGCAGAGGAAATGAAAGAGGCATCAGAGGGTATAAAGAGTGTTTATTTAGAAAGCTTGTCTCATTGCTTGAATGCAGACCCTTCCCATTGGGATACCTATCTCTGAACCTCAGAATGTGAGCACCAGAACAAAGCCAGACCTCTGGAGGACCAAAGGGCTGACTCAGATGCTTCTGGGGAAAATGCTGAGCAAGAGACGAGGATTGTTTTTACTGATACTAGAAAACTGGAATTGCCTGGACTTCTTTCGCAATTTCTTACACAGTGATGTCTCCGCTACCTGTGTCTCTTGGAGTACCAATCATCATCATTTAAAAAAATACCAAATGATGGGTTTTTTTTTGTGTGTGTGTGTGTGTGGTTTCTTAATGCTGTAGCACTGGTTGGGTCTAGACTAGAGTTGTGAATACAACTGAAGTCTGGGAAGCAGTTTTAAAAAGTACTTCTTCTTCTTCTTTTTTTTTTTAAATAGCTCAAACTATTTATCTAAATCTTTCTAATTGCTTTGCTTGTCTGTGTTAGCATTGTCTGCTTTTTGTCTTTTTTTTTTTTTTTTTTTTGAGATGGAATCTCATTCAGTTACCTGGGCCGGAGGGCAGTGGTGCAATTTCAGCTCCCTGCAACCTCCATCTCTCGGGTTCAAGCAATTTTCGTGCGTCAGCCTCCCAAGTAGCTGGGATCACAGGTGTGCACCACCACGCCCAGCTAATTTTTGAATTTTTAGTAGAGACAGAGTTTCACCATGTTGTTTAGGCTGGTCTCAAATTTCTGACCTCAGATGATCTGCCCACCTTGGCCTCCCAAAGTGCTGGGATTACAGGCGTGAGCTACCATGCCTGGCTTTTTTTTTTTTTTCTTTTAAGACAGAGTTTCGTTCTTGTTGCCCAGGCTGGAGTGCAGTGGCGTGATCTCGGCTCACTGCAACCTCTGCCTCTTGGGTTCAAGCGATTATCCTGGCTCAGCCTCCTGAGTAGCTGGGATTACAGGTGCCTGCCACCACGCCCGGCTACCTTTTTGTATTTTCAGTAGATACGGGGTTTCATCATTTTGGCCAGGCTGGTTTCGAACTGCTGACCTCAGGTGATCCACCCACCTCAGCCTCCCAAAATGCAGGGATTGCAGGTGTGAGCCACCATGCCCGGCCTTGTTTTTAAATTTTAAATTTTAAAATTAAATTTAAAACATTTTAAATTAAATATTTAAAATTTAAAATTTGAAACCATGGGGCCTATTTTTAAACACAGTCAAGGGCAATGTTGTATAGAAAGAGGTTCTTAGGATCACAGCAGTCTTCCTCATGGGTTTATGAAAATGTTTTGAGGAGTCCAAATATCTAGGAGGTGGTTAAGGGCAGGGATTACTCCTATTTTAATCTGCAAAAACTGAGGCTCATGGGGCTGAACAGTTAGTACCAAGTTCTAGATCTCCTAAATCTCAGGCCTGACTCCTTATAGGAGAGGCCAATGTTGCCCAGATAAATAACTGGGGAGTGGATTAGGTGTGGGGTCAAGGCTAAGGCTGAATACCTTCCTATCATTAGCACTGAAAGTCCTATGGCCTGGGAAACCCCTCAATCATAGGCAAACTGGGACAGTGGGTCACCCTACTGCAAGATCGCAGTTGGCCTATCTCAGATGTCACGTACATCTCTAGATCCTTTCTCTTCTGTAATCTTAAGTGTGTTTGGAAGCTGGCTCTTAACCATGTGTTACCAATTAAACTCCTAAAAGTTCAGATTTGAGATTTCTGTGTGATTCTGGGTTATATTTTTCTGACAGGTCTAACAATCCTCTTGGGTGCTTTATCTCCTGAAAAAAATAACAAACATGTCTGGGCCGCTGAAGTCACCCTGATTCCTCTCTATGGGCCCAACAGGCTCATTTGATTCACAAACTTGTGTAGATGAATCTGAGAGATGAATATCTGTTGTTCTCTCTGGCTTGGAGCATATGAGATGCCATATGACAATCTTTTCTTCTAAAGAATGGGGATAATAATTATCAACCTCATAGAGTTGTTTTAAGTATTAAGGTAATATAAGAAAGGTGCTTAGAATAGGGACAAGCACATAGTAAATATTCAATAAGTATTAGGAAAAAGAAAAACTTAAATAGTACTATAGAAATATAGGCTATTGACTGAATTGTCATTGTCATTGTATTCGGCAAATTCTCATGATAGAGGATTTTCAGTCTGTGGAGAAAACATATTAGAGGTTAAGATTAAAGTCTTTCAGAGTAAGTGAGGACTTCCCCAGGGAAACCCAACCTGGGAGTCAGATGGCATAGGTCCCCCACAATTAAAACATGCATTCTTATATATTCTTACGTGCTTGGGAAGCCACTAAGCTGTGCCTGTAAACTAGCCAAACTTCAGAGCTCTAGCTTTGTGTGGTGGCCTGTGGGTGAGGATTCTACCACCAGAGGGAGTTGAAGACCCAATTCAAACTGGATTAAGCAACTAGGAAATTAAATTGCTCATGTACCTGGAAGTCTAGAAGATCATGCAACTGATCTTCAGGGTTAATAGTGGCTTTAGAGTATAATGCCAAACTCATTGAAGTTCTCTACCATTCAAGATGTCAGCTGTGAGAAATGAGGGGATCAGAACCAAGTGTTAATCCTTTCTCCCAGCAGAGATCAGAGAGCTAGGAAAGGTGGGGATAGGGGCTGCGGAGGCCCGTCTCTTATCTGGAGAAGCCAGGGTACCCAAACTCAGAAGCGTATGGAATCTAGCGTCAGTGGGGAAGGAAGGTCACCATAGTAAGCAGGGCTTGAGGTAGATTTCAAGAGTGGGGGTATAAAGGTCATGGAACTCAACATGTGAGGAGATGAGAGCAGTCATGGACAGGTTAATTAGATTTGAGATGGGGACTACTGTTTGGGCTGGGTGCTGCATGTTTGTTCATTCCCTCAGTGCACTGTAGATGGAGGGTGTGCCGGTAATATTTAAAGAACAAGGGTGGATTCACCTGAGAAACAGTTCAGGGCAGGGCTTTCCTTCCAGTAGGGGAATAAGAATGCATTCACGTAGAGATTGGAGGGTGATTCTTTCTTGCTCCAAGGATCTCAGGTGGGTACTTCTTTCCCAGGAATGCTGCACCTGGGCTAAGGGCAGCAAGCCCAATCCTGGACCCTGTATAAGTAGGACTGGAGTTCCTAACTCACTGCCAGGCTTGAAGCAGGGGCTAGTTCTTCATGAGAGACTGGCAAGATATTTGCTCACCTTCTTACTTTTCTCAGAAGGTAAATTAAAATTTGTTAGGGCTCATAATTCCCAATGCTAGGGTCCTTTCCCATCTCAGTTACTGGTTTCTTTGCTTACCAGTGTACCAGAATTAATTTACCTGTAACACGGGGCATGTTCTACTCATCGTGGCAAAGGAAGCCAGCAGAGACAGAACACGTGGGCTGAAACTATGGTTATAAGTCACTGAGTTGTATTCTGTCCAAAATACTTAAAAGTAGATGGCCAAACTTCATTAAGTATAGAATGTTTGAAAATAGCCTTTCCAAGAAGGGAAAAATTTTCTTGAATGTAAGGATTATCAAGGAATTGGATGCTACAGAGGAGGAATTGTCAGAAAGGAGGCATCGAGACAGGTTTTGTCATATAAGCCAGAAATTGATCCTGGGAGTTTTTTCCAGAAAATGGTTTTCTAAATGTTTTTAAAAATAGCAATGTAAATGAATCAACTTGATCATCCATAATCTCAAACATTTGTCATTTTGAGGGGTAGCACTCAGGCTAACACATGGTAGTCTGACATGTTTGTATAAAAACATTCTAATTACTTTCTTATACCTTATTTTAGAACCTAATTTAAATTTAAATTTTCTAAACTTTATATTAGGCATGCATCAAAAATATGCATCAATTTTTCTAAAATTTAAACTAGAAAAATGTTTAAATTTAATTTAGATTTTTCTAAATTTTAATTTAAATTTTAAATTAGAGGTTTAAATTTTAAAAAAATAGATGCATATGTTAGGTGCCCAGTGTAAATTTTTGCTTATTTATCTGTTTTTGATGAACAAATACTCCCACATTCTCTTCAGTCTGCATTGATTTTCTGGGCTGGTTGCACTGAATTTGTAGTCAGAAAGTAATTGAAAGTTGTAATGGGGTGCCATCTACTGGGGAAATAGAACATAGATTAAAAAACAGAATTGATAGGCGTTCCCACTGCAAAAAAGAATGTGATGAAGATGATGTAAAAGAAAACATGAAAAAAGATGGGAAGTTTACATTTTGCATAAGACTAGAAAAATTTTATTTGAACTCAAATATGCTTCTTTGATATACTACTTTGTTTTAACACTAGCACAGACACTAGATATCAAAAGAAACCCTCTGTTTATACTTAAAATCCGAAAACTTTCAAATGGCTGAGATCTTTGAGACCAACCAGTTCAACACCCTCATGTTACAGATGAGAAACGGGCTCAGAGAGGAGAAGGGATTCATCAACTCTCTCCAGTTAGGTAATGCGGACATTTATATCCTCTCCTCACCAAGATGGTCCTCACTTAGATGAAGTAGCCATTTGGCAAAACATAATGATATAAAGGTCACCAAGAAGTTATCCAGGGCCAAACAGAACACCTCTCTGGCTGACTTGACAGATTGTTAGAAAGCCTCATAATTAGCGTTGCTCCTTTGCATGGGAAGTGATGTTTATTCATTTGTACTGTAAGTTCCCACAGACGCCTTCAGGACAATAGGATTTTCTCTGATTATTTGCTGTTTACCTGCTTATTTAGAAAGTAACCAGCAGAACTGCTGCTTTAGATCTAATTCTTTTTTTTTTTTTTGAGATGGAGTCTCCCACTGTTGCCCAGGCTGGAGTGCAGTGGCGCGATCTCGGCTCACTGCAACCTCCGCCTCCCAGATTCAAGCGATTCTCCAGCCTCAGCCTCCCAAGTAGCTGGGACTATAGGTGCATGTCACCACACCTAGCTAATTTTTTGTATTTTTTAGTAGAGACGGGGTTTCACCTTGTTAGCCAGGGTGATCTCGATCTCCTGACCTCGTGATCCGCCTGCCTCGGCCTCCAAAAGTGCTGGGATTACAGGCGTGAGCCACCAGGCCTGGCTTAGATCTAATTCTAACCAAGAGAGGGTGATGAGTGGGAAGAACATTATGAGAATTGATCATGGCTTCCCAAGGCAGTAATATCAGGGAAGAAAGATGGGACTGGTGAGGCATAGACCTGGGTTCTAGCATTCAGAGCAAAGTGGGCACTTAGAGGGAAGAGTGTGCGTGAAGGATGGGGAGCTCTCAAAACCACAGTGCTCTGACTCCACAACTGCAAATACACCCAATAAGGAGTGATACGGTTTGGATCTGTGTCCCTGCCAAACCTCAGGTTGAAATGTAATCCCAGTGTTGGAGGTGGGACCTGGTGGGAGGAGTTTGAATCATGGGGGTGTATCCCTCATGAATTGCTTAGTGCCATCCCCTTGGTGATGAGTGAGTTCGTATGAGATCCAGTTGTTTAAAAGTGTGAGCCTGGGTGACAGAGGGATACTGTCTCAATAAATAAATAATAAAATAAATAAAAAGTGTGTGGCACCTTCCACTCTCTCTCTCTTGCCCCTGCTCTCACCATGTGATATGTCGGCTCCTCCTTTGCCTTCTACCATAAGTGTAAGGTCCCTGAGGCCTCCTCAGAAGCCAAGCATCTGCCATGCTTCCTGTACAGTCTGCAGAATTGTGAGCCAATGAAACCTCTTTTCTTTATAAATTACCCAGTCTCCTGTGTTCCTTTATAGCAAAGCAAGAACGGCCTAACACAAGCAGTAATTAAATGGGTGCTTAGGGAAGCCAGGGCGGCTACACATGTTTTTCTCTGTTGAACTCTGATTTCCAGCGAATACTTAGAAAAGAAACAGGAAGGAGTGCTTGGCCAGTGATAAGAGGAAGGCTTATGAGAACAGTATTATATAGCCTCTCATTTCCATGAGCTTGTAAGAAATGCTCGGGGCAACAAAACTCAGAAAATTATTTTTAGAGTAATCCCCACAAGAGGGGGTAGGGAACGGGCCTGCTTCTTTGGAGAGATTCTTGCATGCTGACCAATAATATAAATGCGCTCCTTTACTTCTGTTCATCTTCATTTTTTGCAACAAAGAATGATTTTCGAATTGAAAGCATAGAACAAATGTTAATAAAAGGGAATGGAAGTTCAGACTGAAAAAAAGCCATGTCAGCTAGTAACAGCTACACATTAGAATGCTTCCTACATTCAATATTTTACATATATTATCTCATTTAATCTATACAGTAACTATGGTTTTAGGCACTATCTTATTTAGGTATTAGGAACCTCAGAGAGAGAGAGATGAAAGTATTTGTTTACGTTCCCTGTAATAAGGGGAAAGGAAGGCGGCACACAATTTATCCTCAGGCCATCTGATCTGGAGCTTGAGAGCAGAGCTGCTCAATTACTGGGCCTCCAGAGTTCCTTTGGGAGGTCAGTCCTCCTGGTGCAGATACAGAACACCCCAGCCTATGAGAGAACTTGCACTGTGAGCCATGGCAAGGGGCTGCAAATCCAGGAATGGGAAAATGTGTTTCTCTTTTGAAACTTTTCCTAAAAGAGAGAGCGAGAGCGAGACAGAATAAGGCATATTCTGCACATTGCAAGTTAGTGAGCTTGGTGTAGATGCTGGGTGAAATCCTAAGATAATAGGGTAATAGCCCTAAGTCTTAAAAGGTTATTGTATAATAAACACCTGGGAAAGGAAGCAACCAATCCAAGCACCCAGTGAGGGTTCGTAACTGTGCCATCATTTACTCATTCAGAAAATCCTGACGGCCTACTATGTGCCTGCTGCTGTGGTGGGCACCCTGGCATAATAAACAGGGCCTCCCCTCAACATAATCTCAACTAGTGGAGGGAAGACACGATCACTAATGATTGCAATGCTATGGAAACATCAGATAGGTATGGGTTCGTTAGTAGAGATAATGTGCCTCAGGGAGGCACACAAACTAGACTAAAGAGAAAGGAAGCAGAGAAGGTATCCCAAGGGCTGGGCTCCTTTTCCTTTCATTAAAAACATTTTTTTAAAGTCACTTTGTAAAAATTTTAGGCTGAACTATATGAACCATATGAAATTGCCATTTTTTAGGCCACAAATAAGCAAATATTGGCAATTTTATATGATCCAATCTAATCCAAAGTTTTCAAAGTCCAACAACACAACAGCACTACAAATAGGTTTTAATATGAAATGGGCAGGAGGTCCCTGCTTCGCATCTTCCCACCTCAGACTCCTTTTCCCCAAAGGCTGCCATTCTCAAGTCTTATAGATAGCTGTTTTTAGCTATTTCCTTCGCTACATATTGCCAAATAATATATGTTACTGTCATTTCTGGATTTTCCATTTTAACTATCTATTGAATTTCTGCTCTGAGGATGAGGATTTAACACTTATGCCACCCCTATCGTACATGCCTGCATTCTCTGCCCTATCTTACATTACTATATTATAATTTCTAGTGAGATCACGCTTCATATTTGCATCATTAATGTCAGGAGGGAACTCATGATATTTTCTTCCATGAGGTGGGATTTCTGCTAAACATTTCTGTGATCTCTCTGCGCCTTTACTCATTAATTCATTTGCTTCTCTTTAGGGAAGGAAGAGTGGCTTAATCTGGTTAGTGAATTTGGATCACCCCTTTTTCCTTCTGCTCTCTGGAAGCTATTTAATAGCAAGGGGAGAGTGTTCCTTGCTGCTCCATCTAGGCAGGGAAAGTCCAGCCTTGTCTTGGCTTGGGCAGGGAGTTTGGGGAGCAGTGGGAATCTGCCTAATTCTGAGATTCAAGGCTCATTTGGTTCTCATACCTAAACTACATTAGCCAAATAGGCCTTTTTCTTTTTAATAGACAACAGAAATTTATTTCTCACAGGTCTAGAGGTTGGGAAGTCCAAGATCAAGGCACTGGCAGATTTGGAGTTCTGGTGAGGGTCCACTTCCTAACAGACAGCCATCTTCTCACTCTAATCTCACATAGTGGAAGCTAGTGAAGCCTTTATCACTAGAGGGAAATAAGGGTGAGGTTTTGTCCTTCATCTAAATTTTCTGATTTATTTGCCAATTTGTTTAAAACTTGGGTGAGAAATAAGAAAATGATTTACCAGTTTCCTTGGAAGGACCCGACAATTATAATTACATACTTTTAAATTTACTCTCCTTTTCCTATAGTGTTCTTTGTTTTTTCCTAGAGCTATGAACTGTTTCTGTTTATTTGAATAGCCCATCTGTAAACTCCTGAAGGCTGAAAACACCCCTCTATAAGTTCAAGTAATCTCTTGCACTCCCCAACGCCAATGCCCCCGCCCGCCACCTTTGAGATGAACCTTTTGGAATCCTCCTACCTTGCTTGCAATCATTTCTGACCCTTCTCTGGCCCTGAAGCCTGGCTGTTACCCAGAGGCTCCCCTCACCGTCATCCTGGGAATTTGGTTCACTTCTGTGTTTTATCCCTGGCTTCTTGGATTACATGACTTCCTGTTTCTTGTCTATATTCTACCCTCACACTTGACTAATGATTTTGCTAAGTATAGAATTCTGTGTTCAACAGAATTTCCCTCAGAACCTTGAAGGAACTGTTTTCCAGAAGCCCAGTGAGTGTTATGAAATTTCACAATGATGGGCATTTTGCAGGACATCTGGTAGGTCCTTTCTATTTTAGAAACACATTCTTCTTTCTAAGTTCTGAGAAATTTTTTGCATAATTTCTTTTATAATAGTTTCCCTGCATGTTCTCTGATCTCATTTTCCACACCACCCCCTCCTTCCCTGGAACCCTTGCTGTCCTGATGTTTGACCATCAATCCTCCAATTTTCTTGATTTTTTGCTGTCTTATTTCCCACCTTTTTGTCATTTTGTTTTACTTTCTATGAGATTTCTTTTTCTTTTATTATTATAAGTTTTAGGGTACATGTGCACAACGTGCAGGTTTGTTACATATGTATACATGTGCCATGTTGGTGTGCTGCACCCATTAATTCGTCATTTAACATTAGGTATATCTCCTAATGCTATCCCTCCCCCACCCCCCTACAACAGGCCCTGGTGTGTGATGTTCCCCTTCCTGTGTCCATGTGTTCTCATTGTTCAATTCCCACCTATGAGTGAGAACATGTGGTGTTTGGTTTTTTGTCCTTGCGATAGTTTGCTGAGAATGATGGTTTCCAGCTTCATCCATGTCCCTACAAAGGACATGAACTCATCATTTTTTATGGCTGCATAGTATTCCATGGTGTATATGTGCCACATTTTCTTAATCCAGTCTATCATTGTTGGACATTTGGCTTGGTTCCAAGTCTTTGCTATTGTGAATAGTGCTGCAATAAACATACGTGTGCGTGTATCTTTATAGCAGCATGATTTATAATCTTTCGGGTATATGCCCAGTAATGGGATGGCTGGGTCAAATGGTATTTCTAGTTCTAGATCCCTGAGGAATGGCCACACTGACTTCCACAATGGTTGAACTAGTTTACAGTCCCACCAACAATGTAAAAGTGTTCTTATTTCTCCACATCCTCTCCAGCACCTGTTGTTTCCTGACTTTTTAATGATCACCATTCTAACTGGTGTGAGATGGTATTTCATTGCGATTTTGATTTGCATTTCTCTGATGGCCAGTGATGATAAGCATTTTTTCATGTGTCTTTTGGCTGCATAAATGTCTTCTTTTGAGAAGTGTCTGTTCATATCCTTCACCCACTTTTTGATGGGGTTGTTTGTTTTTTTCTTGTAAATTTGTTTGAGTTCTTTGTAGATTCTGGATATTAGCCCTTTGTCAGATGAGTAGATTGCAGAAATTTTCTCCCATTCTGTAGGTTGCGTGTTCACTCTGATGGTAGTTTCTTTTGCTGTGCAGAAGCTCTTTAGCTTAATTAGATCCCATTTGTCAATTTTGGCTTTTGTTGCCATTGCTTTTGGTGTTTTAGACATGAAGTCCTTGCCCATGCCTATGTCCTGAAATGGTATTGCCTAGGTTTTTTTCTAGGGTTTCTATGGTTTTAGGTTGGACATTTAATCCATCTTGAATTAATTTCTGTATAAGGTGTAAGGAAGGGAACCAGTTTCAGCTTTCTACATATGGCTAGCCAGTTTTCCCAGCACCATTTATTAAATAGGGAATCCTTTCCCCATTTCTTCTTTTTGTCAGGTTTGTCAAAGATCAGATAGTTGTAGATATGTGGCATTATTTCTGAGGGCTCTATTCTGTTCCATTGGTCTATATCTCTGTTTTGGTACCAGTACCATGCTGCTTTGGTTACTGTAGCTTTGTAGTATAGTTTGAAGTCAGGTAGCTTGATGCCTCCAGCTTTGTTCTTTTGGCTTAGGATTGACTTGGCAATGCAGGCTCTTTTTTGGTTCCATATGAACTTTAAGGTAGTTTTTTCCAATTCTGTGAAGAAAGTCATTGGCAGCTTGATGGGGATGGCATTGAATCTATAAATTACCTTGGGCAGTATGGCCATTTTCACAATATTGATTCTTCCTACCCATGAGCATGGAATGTTCTTTCATTTGTTGGTAGCCTCTTTTATTTCCTGGAGCAGTGGTTTGTAGTTCTCCTTGAAGAGGTCCTTTGCATCCCTTGTAAGTTGGATTCCTAGGTATTTTATTCTCTTTGAAGCAATTGTGAATGGGTGTTCACTCATGATTTGGATCTCTGTTTGTCTGTTATGGGTGTATAAGAATGCTCGTGATTTTTGCACATTGATTTTGTATCCTGAGGCTTTGCTGAAGTTGCTTATCAGCTTAAGGAGATTTTGGGCTGAGACGATGGGGTTTTCTAGATATACAGTCATGTCATCTGTAAACAGGGCAATTTGACTTCCTCTTTTCCTAATTGAATACCCTTTATTTCCTTCTCCTGCCTGATTGCCCTGGCCAGAAGTTCCAACACTATGTTGAATAGGAGTGGTGAGAGAGGGCATCCCTGTCTTGTGCCGGTTTTCAAAGGGAATGCTTCCAGTTTTTGCTCATTCAGTATGATATTGGCTGTGGGTTTGTCATAAATAGCTCTTATTATTTTGAGATACGTCCCATCAATACCTAATTTATTGAGAGTTTTTAGCATGAAGGGTTGTTGAATTTTGTCAAAGGCCTTTTCTGCATCTATTGAGATAATAATGTGGTTTTTGTCATTGGTTCTGTTTATATGCTGGATTACGTTTATTGATTTGCGTATGTTGAACCAGCCTTGCATCCCATGGATGAAGCCCACTTGATCATGGTGGATAAGGTTTTTGATGTGCTGCTGGATTCGGTTTGCCAGTACTTTATTGAGGATTTTTGCTTCGATGTTCATCAGGGATATTGGTCTAAAATTCTCTTTTTTGGTTGTGTCTCTGCCAGGCTTTGGTATCAGGATGATGCTGGCCTCATAAAATGAGTTAGGGAGGATTCCCTCTTTTTCTATTGATTGGAATAGTTTCAGAAGGAATGGTACCAGCTCCTCCTTGTACCTCTGGTAGAATTCAGCTGTGAATCAGTCTGGTCCTGGACTTTTTTTGGTTGGTAAGCTGTTAATTATTGCCTCAATTTCAGAGCCTGTTATTGGTCTCTTCAGGGATTCAGCTTCCTCCTGGTTTAGTCTTGGGAGGGTGTATATGTCGAGGAATTTATCCAGTTCTTCTAGATTTTCTAGTTTATTTGTGTAGAGGTGTTTATAGTATTCTCTGATGGTAGTTTGTATTTCTGTGGGATCGGTGGTGATATCCCCTTTATCATTTTTTATTGCATCTATTTGATTCTTCTCTCTTTTCTTCTTTATTAGTCTTGCTAGCGGTCTATCAATTTTGTTGATCTTTTCAAAAAACCAGCTCCTGGATTCATGGATTTTTTGAAGGGTTTTGTGTGTCTCTATCTCCTTCAGTTCTGCTCTGATCTTAGTTATTTCTTGCCTTCTGCTAGCTTTTGAATGTGTTTGCTCTTGCTTCTATAGTTCTTTTAATTGTGATGTTAAGGTGTCAATTTTAGATCTTTCCTGCTTTCTCTTGTGGGCATTTAGCGCTATAAATTTCCCTCTACACACTGCTATAAATGTGTCCCAGAGATTCTGGTATGTTGTGTCTTTGTTCTCGTTTGTTTCAAAGAACATCTTTATTTCTGCCTTCATTTCGTTATGTACCCAGTAGTCATTCAGGAGCAGGTTGTTCAGTTTCCATGTCGTTGAGCGGTTTTGGGTGAGTTTCTTAATCCTGAGTTCTAGTTTGATTGCACTGTGGTCTGAGAGACAGTTTGTTATAATTTCTGATCTTCTACATTTGCTGAGGAGTGCTTTACTTCCAACTATGTGGTCAATTTTGGAATAGGTTTGGGGTCATGGTGAGCAGAATGTATATTCTGTTGATTTGGGGTGGAGAGTTCTGTAGGTGTCTATTAGGTCCCCTTGGTGCAGAGCTGACTTCAATTCCTGGATATCCTTGTTAACTTTCTGTCTTATTGATCTGTCTAATGTTGACAGTGGGGTGTTAAAGTCTCCCATTATTATTGTGTGGGAGTCTAAGTCTCTTTGTAGGTGTCTAAGGACTTGCTTTATGAATCTGGGTGCTCCTGTATTGGGTGCATATATATTTAGGATAGTTAGCTTTTCTTGTTGAATTGATCCCTTTACCATTATGTAACGGCCTTCTTTGTCTCTTTTGATCTTTGTTGGTTTCAAGTCTGTTTTATCAGAGACTAGGATTGCAACCCCTGCCTTTTTTTGTTTTCCGTTTGCTTGTTAGATCTTGCTCCATGCCTTTATTTTGAGCCTATGTGTCTCTGCACGTGAGATGGGTTTCCTGAGTACATCACACTGATGGGTCTTGACTCTTTATCCAATTTGCCAGTCTGTGTCTTTGAACTGGAGCATTTAGCCCATTTACATTTAAGGTTAATATTGTTATGTGTAATTTTATCCTGTCATTATGATGTTAGCTGCTTATTTTGCTCATTAGTTGATGCAGTTTCTTCCTAGCCTCGATGGTCTTTACAATTTGGCATGTTTTTGCAGTGGCCAGTACTGGTTTTTCCTTTCCGTGTTTAGTGCTTCCTTTAGGAGCTCTTTTAGGGCAGGCCTGGTGGTGACAAAATCTCTCAGCATTTGCTTGTCTGTAAAGTATTTTATTTCTCCTTCACTTATGAAGCTTAGTTTGGCTGGATATGAAATTCTGGCTTGAAAATTCTTTTCTTTAAGAATGTTGAATATTGGCCCCTACTCTCTTCTGGCTTGTAGAGTTTCCACTGAGAGATGAGCTGTTAGTCTGATGGGCTTGCCTTTGTGAGTAACCCAACCTTTCTCTCTGGCTGCCCTTAACATTTTTTCCTTCATTTCAACTTTGGTGAATCGGACAATTATGTGTCTTGGAGTTGCTCTTCTCGAGGAGTATCTTTGTGGCTTTCTCTGTATTTCCTGAATTTGAATGTTGGCCTGCCTTGCTAGATTGGGGAAGTTCTCCTGGATAATATCCTGCAGAGTGTTTTCCAACTTGGTTCCATTCTCCCCGTCACTTTCAGATACACCAATCAGACATAGATATGGTCTTTTCACATAGTCCCATATTTCTTGGTGGCTTTGTTCATTTCTTTTTACTCTTTTTTCTCTAAACTTCTCTTCTCACTTCATTTCATTCCTTTGGTCTTCCATCACTGATACCCTTTCTTCTGGTTGATTGAATTGGCTACTGAGGCTTATGCATTCGTCACGTAGTTCTCGTGCCGTGGTTTTCAGCTCCATCAGGTCCTTTAAGGACTCCTCTGCATTGGTTATTCTAGTTAGCCATTCGTCTAATCTTTTTTCAAGGTTTTTAAGTTCTTTGCCATGGGTTCGAATTTACTCCTTTAGCTCAGAGAGAAGTTTGATTGTCTGAAGTCTTCTTCTCTCAACTCATCAAAGTCATTCTCTGTCCAGCTTTGTTCTGTTGCTGGTGAGGAGCTGCATTCCTTTGGAGGAGGAGAGGCACTCTGATTTTTAGAATTTCCAGTTTTTCTGCTCTGTTTTTCCCCCATATTTGTGGTTTTATGTACCTTTGTTCTTTGATGATGGTGACGTACAGGTGGGGTTTTGGTGTGGATGTCCTTTCTGTTTGTTAGTTTTCCTTCTAACAGTCAGGACCCTCAGCTGCAGGTCTGTTGTAATTTGCTGGAGGTCCACTGCAGACCCTGTTTGCCTGGGTATCAGCAGCGGTGGCTGCAGAACAGCGAATATTGGTGAACAGCAAATGTTGCTGCCTGATCGTTCCTCTGGAAGTTTTGTCTCAGAGGAGTACCCAGCCGTGTGAGGTATCAGTCTGCCCCTACTGGGGGGTGCCTCTCACTTAGGCTACTCTGGGTTCAGGGACCCACTTGAGGAGGCAGTCTGTCCGTTCTCAGATCTCAAGCTGGGTGCTGGGAGAACCACTACTCTCTTCAAAGCTGTCAGACAGGGACTTTTAAGTCTGCAGAGGTTTCTGCTGCCTTTTGTTCAGCTATGCCCTGCCCCCAGAGGTGGAGTCTACAGAGGCAGGCAGGCCTCCTTGAGCTGTGGTGGGCTCCACCCAGTTCGAGCTTCCTGGCTGCTTTGTTTACCTACCCAAGGCTCAGCAGTGGCGGACGCCCCTCCCCCAGCCTTGCTGCCGCCTTGCAGTTTTATCTCAGGCTGCTGTGCTAGCAGTGAGCGGGGCTCCGTGGGCGTAGGACCCTCTGAGCCATGCGCGAGATATAATCTCCTGGTGTGCCATTTGCTAAGACCATCGGAAAAGCGCAGTATTAGGGTGGGAGTGACCCGATTTTCCAGGTGCCGTCTGTCACCCCTTTCCTTGGCAGGAAAGGGAATTCCCTGACTGCTTGCACTTCCCAGGTGAGGCGATGCCTTGCCCTTCTTCGGCTCACACTCAGTGCACTGCACCCACTGTCCTGCACCCACTGTCTGACAATCCCCAGTGAGATGAACCTGGTACCTCAGTTGGAAATGCAGAAATCACTCATCGTCTCCATTGCTCACCCTGGGAGCTGTAGACTGGAGCTGTTCCTATTCGGCCATCTTGGCTTGGGCCCACCATCTATGAGATTTCTAATACTTTACCTTTCAATACATAGCATTTGATTCGATTTCCTTGTTTTCAGTTGAACATCTCACCTCTCCCTCATCTGTGCCTTTGGTGCCTGAATCCAGAGCCCAAGTCCTGAGCCCAGTCTGAGGCCTGGCTTCTGCAGAAAAGCACAAAAACAAAAAACAAAAAACAAACAAACAAAAAAACTACCTGTCTCTGGCTGAGGCAGTGGGGTGAGGGTGGAATGCATAATCCAGCTCCATGGGTTTAGAAGGGGTATTTAACTCCATCTCATGTAAACTTTGAACCAACACTTCTATTTTTAGCCTCATCCCATACCCTGGCCTTCAGAAGTAACTAATGCTTCTAATTTTGGAAACTTTCTGGAGCTTTTTGCAGTGCCATTAGGCCTCCCTCTTGTCATCCCCCACAGGCTTTAGCTTTCCCAGGTCAGTTAGGTCACTATGTTACTTACATATCTTCTTTCCAGCTTCCAAAATGGTGTTGACGTCTTCCCTTTGCCGTATTTGTAGTCTGTTCCTCTCTATTATTTGTACATGTTGGATTATGCCTTTTAAAAAATTTTTATCACCATTTTATTGAGATTTTCAAGAGATATAAATGAGTGGTTTAATTAATATTCCATATTTAAAGAGAATGATCTCTCTCCCTCTCTCTGTCATTTTTAGTAAGAACTTTATTAAGATGTAATTCATATATCATACAATTCACCCATTTACAATGTACAATTGTTTTTAGTTTATTCACATAGGTGTGCAATCATCATCACAATTTTAGAACATTTTTGTCAACTCCAAAAGAAACCTGATTCATTTGCCATCATTGCCCATTTCCCCCAACTTTCTCCAGCCCTAGGCAACCACCAATCTACTTTCTGTCTCTGTGGACTTGCCTAGTCTGGGCATCTTATATAAATGGAATCATACAGTATGTATAATACGTGGTCCTTTATGGCTGGCTTTTCTCACTTAGCATAAACTTTTTAAGGTTCATCAGTGTTGTATCATGTATCACTATTCCATTTCTTTCCTTTTTTTTTTTTTTTTTTTAAGAGACAAGGCTTAGCTGTCACCTGGGCTGGAATGCAGTGGCACAATCATAGCTCACTGTAACTTTGAACTCCTGGGCTCAAGCAGTCCTCCCACATCATCCTCCCGAATATCTGGGATAGGATTCCTGCTGTTTTTGTTTTTTTTTTTTTGGATAGAGATGGGGTTTTGCAATATTGCCCAGGCTGGTCTCAAACTTCTGGCCTCAAGCAAGCCTCCTGCCTTGGCCTTCAAAAGTGCTGGGATTACATGTGTGAGCCACTGCACCGACTCCCGCATTTCTTTGATTAATAAATAATATTCCTCTATCTGGACATATTAGTATTTATTCATCCATTGATAGGTATTTGGGTTGCTTTTGCTTTTAGGTTACTATGAACAATGTTGCTATAAACATTTATGTACATGTTTGAGTGTGGACATATGCTTTCATTTCTTATGAGTATATACCTAGGACTGGAACTGCTGGGTAATTTTATATTTAATCTTTTCAGGAACTGCCAGACTGTTTTCCAAAGTGATATTTGATATTCTCAACAGCAGTGTATGAGGATTCCAGATACTCCACATCTTCACCAATGCTTGTTATTGTCTGTCTTTTTGATATAGCCATCCTAGTGGGTATGAAGAAATATCTTATTTGTGGTTTTCATTTGCATTTTCCTGGTTGATAATGATATTGAGCATTTTTTTACAAGCCTGTTGTGCATTTGTATGTCTTCTTTGGGAAAATAGCTATTCAAATTCTGTGCTCATTTTTGAATTGGCTTACTTATCTTTTTATTACAATTTGTAAATATTTTCTCCCATTCTGTGTGTTGTCTTTTCACTTTCTTAATGGTATCCTCTGCAACACAAAAGATTTCCAGTTTATTTTTTTATTGCTTCTGCTTTTGGTCTTGTAGAATAATTTGGAAAGTGTTCTCTTCTATTCTTTGGAAGAGTTAGTATTAATGCTTCAAATGTTTCATAGAATTCACCAGTGAAGACATCTGGTCTTGAACTTTTCTTTGTGGGTAGTTTTAAAATAACTAAGTCCATCTATTTATTTATTTATTATAATAGTCTATTCAGATTTTTTATTTCTTTTTGAGTCAATTTTAGTAGTTTGTGTTTTTCTGGGAATTTTTCCATTTCATCTTCCTCCATCTTCGTGTTTGATTTTTACTTGAACAAGAGTCGAAAAATCACATGTGAAGAAAATATGGTGGTGTGTCTGGGTTTCAGACTGCTATATGAGATTGTGCAAGTTGGAGTTTATTTGAACTGTGTTCCTCTGAGTTAAGAGGTACACAACCTATGCAGATAAGCATGGTGGTCTTAAATAGAAGTATTAAGTGTATTGATTTTGGAGCCAGACCGTCTGGGTTTGACTCCTACCTCCCCACTATCTAGAGGTGTGTCCTTGGTCAAGTTACTTAATCTCCTTAAACTTCATTTTCCATCTGTATAAGCCATAGTACCTTCTTCAGGGTTTTTCTTTTTCTTTCCGTTTTTGAGGATTAAATAGCATAATACACATATAGTACCTAATTCAATAAATGTTACCTCTTATTAGGTATCCTTGTGGCCTTACTATAAACTTCATGAGGTTAGAAATGGGCTTTTTTCCCCTTTTAAATTGTTGAATCCTTAGTACCTAACAAGTGTCCTGGTACTTAATAGGAGCCCAGAATTGTTTGTTTAATGTTTTCATGTGAAAAAACTAGATATGACGACAAACAGCTTGTTCAGGATACTGGGTCATAATGAATGTTAAATGGAACAGTTAGAGGTGTACTGAAGCTACTTTGGCCCTTGTTGGGTTTAACAGAGTCATAAATGGATTGAATAAGTCCATGGAGCCTACAACTATAAAATTCACTCTTGACATAAAGCTAAGGAGGGAGAACAAAATGTGGGTTTGTGTGTATACTAAAGTGTCTTCATATTCCTTCCTATACTTGGGTCCTAATATAACAACTGCATAAGTAAGTAACAGAAAGATGTGGATTAGCAGCAATATAAAAAAATCCTAGGAGTTCTAACCAACAATAAACTCATTCTGAGTAAGCAGTTTAGAAGCAATTAAAATCTGAAGCTACATTCATTATGTATAAAACAAAAGAGGGGGCAGGCACACACAACAGACGTGTTGTGGCTTCACTGCTTTTTAGCTTTTTTTTGGAATATGTTGCTTTCACTTTTTATAAACTGGATCTAGACCCTCAAGCAACAGGCAATAGACAGTGAAACCTTCTCTTTTGTGTGAATAATGTTTTATTATTATGAACTAAACATGCTCTCAGTAGATAGGTTGGTTTATCCTAGGTACAGTGCCTCATGATGACTGACATAAAGATATACTCTCTTACCACTGAAAGGGAGTGAGTGGCCTTCCTTATAAGCATGAGTATCAGTCAGGCTCCTCAGATTTCACACCTGGTTATCAATCCTGTTCCTTGCTCAATTTAACTGAAACATAGAATATGAGTACCTTTCAGTACTCATTTGTACCCAGTTACTTTCAAAACTGGAGTTGAGAAAAACAATATTAGCAAAAAACAACCAGAAGACTATGTAATCCAAACTTTTCTAACCCATGGTCCATGGACCACATGTGGCCTAGGATGGCTTTAAATGTAGCCCAACACAAATTCATAAACTTTCTTAAAACATTATGAGTTTTTTTGTGATTTTTTGGAAGCTCATCAGCTATTGTTAGTGTTAGTGTATTTTATGTGTGGCCCAAGACAATTCTTCCAGTGTGGCCCAGGGAAGCCAAAAGATTGGACACCCATGATAATCTATCCATCCACACTCTAAAATGCGTCCCTAAATTCATCCCATTGTAGAATCAGACTTGGAATGCATCATAGCCTGGCCCACATAGAAATGCTTTTATTGGAATAGTTGGACATGAGGGCATGGAATTATATTGAAGACTGTTCTAGAAAGCATCCTTATAAAATATGTCCTTGGTTTTACACTATTCAAACTATTTTCATTAAAACAGTTTCCTAGAATAATTGTTTGAATTAAGCTTCGAAGGGAAAGATCTTCCTAAGCAAAAATGGTAGAGGATGTGGGATTGGGGTGGGACAAGAAAGTTCAGAAGTAAAAAAGTACAGTGTATATTTGCAAAATGATGATTATCTCAGTTTACCTGGAATGAGGCATACAATTAGGACTGGATAATAGGATAGAGCCTGATTGTTGGGCCAAAGAAGAAATATTATTTGGGAATGAATGGAAGATCACTCATTCATAAAAATATGTTTTGAATGCTTACATTTGACAGGTGCTGAATGTGGAGAGGCAAATAAAATGGACACACAAGCCTTGACCTCTTGGAGTGATTATGATCAAGATTATGATCATTGTGACACACATTAATCCAGGAAGCAAACAAGTAAGTGTTTAATTTCTTCCTATGCATAAAAAGAACAGCGTGCTAGAAAAAGAATAGAGTGACAGCAGTCTTCTTGAGAAAGGGTAGACTTATCTCCAAGGAGGTGACATTGAAATGGAGATCTGAAGGATGAGAGTTGGTGACCAGATGAAGGTGGGTAGGGAAGAGCATTGCATGAAAAAAAGGACAGTAGTTGTAAGGCCCTGGAGGAAAAGGGTCTGATGCCTGAAGGAAATGAGAAAGACCAGTGAGGCTGGAGTATAGTGAGTTAGGAGGGACGCAATGCGAGAAGTTGAAGCCATCCAACCACCTACAGCCAGAGTACTGGGAATTTATTCTAAGTGCAGTGAGGAGCTTTTTACACTTTTTAAACAGGGTGTGCCTGTGTATGACTGATAAGCTTCACTGATAATTCAGAATAGAGTTTTGAGTAGGGAATATTTTAAAAAGTAGGGAGAACTGGAAAGAAGTTAAGGCTGGGTAGACTTATTGCAACAGTTTCAGACAGGTATTGGCAAACATTTTCCATAAAGGGCTGGATAGCCCATATTTTAGGCTTTGAGTGCCAAACAGTCTGGCTCAACCACTCAACTTTGCTGTTGTAGTGTGAAAGCAGCCATAAACAATACAGAAATGAATGAGTATGGTTGTGTTCCAGCAAAATTTTATTTCCCCAAAACAGGTGGTGGGTCATATTTGGCTCTCAGGTTGTAGTTTGCTAGTCCCCATTCTGGGTATTAAAGACATGCCAGTGCACGTGCATGTGAAAAAAGGTGAGGCCAAGAAGGACCTAGGGGGAAGAATTGCCAAGCTTTGGGACTACATGCAGGGCCTGAGAAAGAAGACATTAGGACAAGATTTGAAGTCTGGGTAACAGGGAGAACAGTGTATTTTTGAGAACTTTATAGAAGTTAGGAAGATAAGCTGGTTTGGGGGACAAATAATGCATTTGCTTTTAGTGTCTACATAGTTTATATCAAATTTTCAATTGGATTTGGCCAGTGTGGAAACATCCATAAGGCTGGCAGCTGGCAATGACATTCAAAGCTCATATAGGCTGTGAGAAATCTGGTCATGGGATCCCTCATCTCTATTTGAAGGCCAGGAGTGATTGATTTGATCTGCCCCAAAAGAGGACTCCAAGATGCCTGCTCCTTTCTCGTTTAATGAGCACCCTTCTAAGCTGCAGATTCAGCTGAGAAAGGCTCTTTTCTCCAAAAGACTTTGAAAGTTTCATTTTCTGTGCAGAGATGCATTTGTGTTTGAGAAAATGTGGTAAACCCTTGTGGATGCCACAGAAAGGTCAGTAACGCCTCCAGCTCTCTGCTGTGAACAACCATCACAAGATACCACACGTGATTTGAATGCCTGACTCCAGTGATGAAGACTGTCTCCTGGAGTGGATTTCTCATTTTTGGGTCACCTTTAGTTTCAGCACATGTATGTTTTAAAATATATTGCCATCCATCACACTGGATACATTTTGCATTTTTTATTATTCATATTCTAAAAAACTTACTAGTTTAATGAAAGATGAAAAGAATGCCTGAAAAATATCCTGAAACAAATACAGGAGAAGATGAGAATTGGAGCTTAGCTTTGCTTTGGATGGCAGCATGGTTCTTGCAGAATAGTTCTGTGCTTTGGATTTTATGGGTAGGTTTGGTAAATTAGGTGCAATTGTCCTTTAGTCTTCACTGCAGCCTTGGGGTTATGTGTCTGGAGTTGAGTAGGAGAAGGATGTGGTTTGGCTAACATCAGGCTTCCTGTGCCTCTTGGAATGGTAGTCTGGCACAGTGAGATCTAGTGTGGGAATCCTTTTGGAAATCTCTTGCCCCTCTTTTCCTCAAAAGTCCGTTCATGGTGCTCACTGTACCCTGTATTCCAATTCAGGCGGCCGACCACAGTGATTTCCCCTACTGGTCATATCTGAGCCAAGTTCTGTCTTTTCCTTCTTGCCCCTTCTATTGGGGGAAACTGCTATTCTCCCTCAATCCTATTCATAGGGTCTAAATGAGGACTATCGTCCTTTTACACTTTCCTAGTTTCCCGGACACAGTGATGGGGTCCAGAGATGGCCCATGAGCTCTTCCCTGTGAGTTTTTAAGCTAAGTTTGTGGTCATGGTACCATGTCCACATAGAATGAGGAACACCCCAGGAAGAACAGAATGAAGGTGGGGCAGAGAGCACCCAGAGGATGCACAAGTTCGCATTTCCCCTAAAATCTTCAGTGCTGCCCTCCCTGTCCTGCTCAAGGGTTGGGTGACAAACTCTTTCTTTGATTTTATGGAGCTACCCCAGAATCTCACCAACCAATCTTCCTTTTGCTTAAGTCAGTTTAGAGTTGGGGTTCTTTTATTTGTCATTTTATAAGGTGTGGAGTAAGAATGGCAACAGAGCGTCATAACAGAGCATTCTCCTGAAATCACACCACAGAAACAGTGGCTTGTTCTGCTTGCTCTGTATGAGCAGAGGAGCAGAAGCACCACCTTCATGCAGTTCCTCAGAGTTAGTATCAAGACTTGCAGAATTTTAGACAGGGGCTGCCCCTGAGGGCATAGATAATCAGAACGCTCAAGGAGTTGGGTGTCATGATGAGAAATCACTTTTCGTACCCTACCAATAGACAGCCAAGGGGGGACAAATGGGAAAAATTATCTGATCTCCCCATAAAGTGTCTTAGGTCTGGCTTTGTTCTGGGAAGGAGACTCCATTTAACTATCTTGGTTCTCCTTCAAATGGCCCCAGCCCGTTGGCCCATCTTTACTGTTCTCTACAGAGACAGGACTAATAAACCTTCCTTGGACATGACTTCTGTTTTTTTTTTGCCTCTGTCTTCAACCTCAGTGTCCCTCCTCCCCACACTTTAACAACTTTTGAAATACTACATCTACCTCAAGGCTTATTGAAGATGCTACTTCCTCACTGAGGCCTACCTTTATTGGCTCCAGCTAAAATTAAACTTTGTACCTGTCATTAAAATAGAGTTTTTATAATTCCCTTAGAATTTATGCACTACTTCTCCCAATGCTCACAGGTATATTCATTTTATTTTCATGCTAGCTTGTAAAACATCAGGTCAGGAGATTGGCCTATATAATTTCTAAACTCCCTTGTACTAATTCTGTAATTCTAACCCTAATATGAACTGTTTACAAATTTATAGCATAAATAAAGGCATATATTTTTATTTTTAAAATGACTGTCTTAGGACCTCTTACCCTTTTTTGACAGGAGTTTAGTATGTCCTTCTTTCTTGAGATCCTCTCTCTTCCTGAACTGCCCCACAACTCCAGGGAGGCACTGTCCAAAAGGACTTTGTGCCGTGATCATAGGCCCATGTGGCTGGTGAGCACTTAAAGTGTGGTTAGTGGCTAGGAACTGGGCTTTTAATTTTTTTTAATTTAGATTTAAATAGTCACGTGTGTATGTTTGGCTATGGCTACTGTATTGGATAGCACAGCCCTAGGAGCTTCCACAGTCCAAAAAAGAATTTGCTCCAACCTTTGCACCTTCTTGAAGCATCAGTGGGGTAAGTGACAACAATAGCTGATGCTTCCCATCACCAAAGGATATTGCTCATGGAAGTGCAGTGCTGGTCCCTTGCTGTGAAGGGAAGGTGATAGAATCCTGCTCTTCCTACTGCAACTCTTGGGGAGTATGATTTTACTCTCTTAGGTTAATCTTGGCCTTGCTGCTTACGCCTGGGCTCTGAGGCTGGAAGTCTTATTATTCATCTTTTTCCACACACAGTTACCACCCCAGACTTCTGCAGCAACTAAGAGTGGGGGTCAGAACTGATTCTACTCTCCACCATCTCATGGACCCAAAATCACTGCCTCCATTCTGTCTAGGTATCCATCAATAGGAGTCAGATGGGTTTTCCATCTGAACCCCCCAAAACACAAAAGATCTGCCTTTGTTTGAATTCCTCCAGAAATAGACCTCTAGGCAAGAATTAAACTGTAAGTAGTTTATTTGGGAGGTGATCCCAGGAAACATCAGCATGGGAGTTGAGAAGTAAAACAGAAAAGTGAAGGAAGCCAATAAAGGATAATGAGTCAAATGGGTTACTACTGTGCAGCTGAAGCTCAGCCCTCCTGGGGAACTCTAGGAGGGAGTATAGAACATGCTTTAGTATTACCCTATCTTAGAGGCAAATAAGATATGATCTATTCACCAAATCCCCATCTCTCATCATCTGAGGGCTTCTCCTGAAAGCGTTAAGACTCTAGCACTTTCAGCTTGCACTGGGGCAGTCAAGTATGCCCTCACTGGCAGAGGAAAGCCAGTAGGCAGAGTTACAGGTATTTGCAGCAAGAAGTCACTGGAGTAGAGAGGTGTGCCAGGGAGTGACAGTGCCTGCACAAGGGCCTGGACACTCATATATCCTTTTATAAAATCGGCTGCCTTAATTGGTTCTGGGGTTCTCACACCTCCCCATTCTAGGGACAGCATCCTTGGAAGTTTCTTATGAGTAGAATCTCCTACAGTTATTAAATCTGGGATGGGCATCCTTTTTGGTTAGCGTATTCAACTTGGTTTGTCTGTTTAGTCATATATTGGCCATCCAGTGTACCAAAGACATTAAATACAACTTCTATGTGATCTGAAAATCACAAAAAAATCAAATGGAAATCACCTCCTCCACAGGTCCTAACAGTAGCACCTTCTCTGTATAAAAAAGGTGGCTTGGGATATAAAGACATCTTAAAATTTTAGATTTTAAATACATACATTTTCATAAACTCTTGCTTCCCCCAGTATCAACAGAAATAAGCTGTATTATGTTGTTACAGATGAATAGAATATATGTGCACAGAGTGAGAAAACACATTTTTAAAGTAAAGGAAGTGAACAATGGACTCTGTTCTTAAATACAGTCAGGTGGATTTTAGCGATGTGGAAGTCTCTCTGTAGGTGAACTTGGTGTTCTTTCATGGTAAAAGCATTTGGCTTAGTTTGTATTTTAGAAAGATCTTTGGTGACAGTATCTCCTCTTCTTCTTGAGGCTTGAAATAGAAGGGATTTTTAACCTTACATTTAATCACAGACTTAATTTGGTCTATACGCAAAGATTTACAATCATTCCAGGTATGCAGAGTATCAATAATAGAGGAGCTACCCAGAAATGTGTTGTTTCTCATTGAATATTCAGTGCGTGATATGAAGATTTATCTTGTAAATATCACTGGGTATAGCCTTGTAAATTCAAAGATACCTTATCTATAGTTAAGCTTTGAATATGGAACAAATGACGGAAGAATGAGTTTTTAAATGAAAAGATCAAAAAGGATAATTAATATTTCATAATCTTAATTAACTTTTCCACTGCACACTGATTTTGTATGTTATTTGGGGTGTAAGATGTGATTCGTGCTTTCATAACCAAATCAGATAATCTGGTCACAGAGTTGAATGTTAAAGGTAATGTGAACATCTTGTTTGGCTTGAGAAAAGAGTCATCAAGTTCCTCAATTAGCTCTGTGCTTATTCTAGGGAAGTTGCTACACAAGTGAATAAGATTGTAAGCATTTAGAGTAAGAGGCAAGTTATTAAGCATGCTGGGTTGGTTTCTACTGGTGAGAGATGGGTGAGTTGCTGGATTTTTGAGAAAGGAGGAACCCCACACTAGGGAACATGGGTTAAATCAAGTTGTCCAGTATATTTACAAACATGATAGGATTTAACAGATCTCTTAGAGCAGTAGAGTTGGCTGGTGCTTTCATGTTGGTAGACACCTGGCTCTTGAAACCAGCCAGAGTTATGTCTGCATACCTACCTACTGGCCCCGGAGAGGTGAATGGTGCATATCAACCAGGGATAGATGAAATTGGCCAGGACCTTTGATCATGATTTACTTTCCCTTTGGCCTCATCTTTCCATCTTGAAGCCCTTGGCTCCAAGACTTTGACTAGGACCCTACTTCTGACTCTGGTTCTACTTCTGACCCTGGTTCTACTTCTGACCAGCCCCTTCAGAACTAGCACACTTACTCCTGATATCTAGGATGTCAACTCTTTCCCTTCTTTCACCTCCCTTGCTCCAGTGATTCTTCCTGCTCAGGATGAGAATTCCCAACTTTATTCTGTTGACTTGGTTAATCTCCAGCTGGCTCAATCTCTGACTTCCTTGAGGTTGAGGTAGCATTTGGGGGAGAAAAGGGAAGGAGAGATTCAGATAATTAACCCCTGGGAGGTGACTAGAACTTCAAGTTCTGTGCTTGCTCCAGAGCATGCTGGTCCCATAAAGGCAAAATGAGAGCCAATATAGGACCTTGGAGAGGTGGTCAAGAGCAAGAGACCCAGTCCTAATTTATAGGCAGAGATTGAATTTTGTATAAATTAGGATATGCTAGATTTTGCTATATTAACACACAGCCCCCAAATCAGTGTTATAACAAAATGAAAGTTTACTTCTTATACATACAAAGTATCCAATGTGGTATGGGGTGACAACCTGCTCCAGTGTCCCTCAGGGACCCATACTAACCAAGGCTACCATTTTAGTATTTGTATCATGTAGGTCATGTGCACTTAACACTCCACAACAGGAGAAATAAGATTGGAGAATCCAGCATGGGTTTTTCATTGCCTTGGTGCAAAGGTGATACACTTCTGGCCACATTTTACTGCCTAGAACTAGTCAGATGATCCTGTAACTTTAAGGGGTTTAAATGTAGGAGAGGAAGTACAATATTTGGGGGTAATTACTGCCCCTACAACAAAATCTGTGGGTAAGGATTCCACCTGAAAGAGAGGAACAGGGATGCTGACATACAGGCCAAGAGTTTGGGGAAGCAAGTCCAGGGGAACCCATCCCAAAGAGAGGTGGAGGAAGGAATCAGGAGAGCCCGGGTCTCGCGCAAAGGAGCTCCAGGGAGCCCACAGCTAGCTGAGTTCTCATTCCCAACCACTAGAATGGCCTGGAGCAGGGACTGACATGCTGAATCTGAAAGCCACCTTCAAGGATCATTGTTTCACATTATTATGAAGGGAGTTTAATGATAACAAATGCTTAAATATATAGAGAATGCATTTAAAAACCATATGATTCATGCGTAATGTTTTGAATTAGTCAGTCACCATCCCAGGAGGAAATGTGCCATGTTCTGTTTTCATCACCTTATTGGGAGAGTTACCTACACTTCTGAATCATATACTTTGTGTATAAAATGGAGCTAATCTTTGATAAATTGTGGCTGTTTATTACATTAAGTAGTTATATTCATGACATCATGTAATCTTCTCTATAAACCTAGAAGATTATTATTATTACTAGCAACCCCACTTTGCAAATGAGACTGCTGACTTCCAGAGAGGACAAGGTTGCATAGCTAGTAAGAGGCTGAGCTGGGATTTAAGACATAGGTCTCAGATGAATCCAATATCTCATATTTGATTGCTAGAACTAAATAGAATATATAACATATCTGGTATTTCCTAGGAGCTCAATAATGTTGATTCTTCTTCCTCTTCTTTTCTCTTTTTCTTTCTTTCTCTCATCTCTGGAACTCCAGCCAAATAACTCATCACCTGTTGGGGATTCCTTCAGGGATTTGAGAAGTGCTAGTAAACCACTCACACAATGATTTCTCCAGGTGAGCATGGGAGTGAGAGTTGGTGATGGAGAGACTGGACACGTGCTCTTACCAGTCTTGCTTCTGGCTCTGTGCCCACGTGGAGGCTGGCAGAGGCAGGGGAAAGAGGGGACCAAAAGGAGTCACATGCCTACTTACCTCCCCCAAAATAAGAAGAGGGCTAGCTTTCACCCACCTTTTTCCCCTTTTGCAATATTTCTGTCCTTAGTGCTGTTGCAGGTGTTTGTTAATATTTGGATAAAGTGAGTAACTTGGTCATACAAATGTTACTTTTTCTTCAGCAGGGAAAGCTCTACCAATTTCCAGCTCTTCTAAAAAACGAAGTCATTTTAATCCCCATTCTTAAAAATATGTGGGTTTTCACACAAAATAAACTCCTTCATCGGCCTGATTCTGTGTTTCTCCTATTCTGGAAACAAGGTGTCGTAGGGCAGTGGGGTTGAAGGTAAAGGGTATGGGAGGGAGGGTGTGATTGTTCATCTTGAAAACAAGACTTTGTGTGTATGTGTATGTGTGTACATGTGTTTTAATTTAGAGGAAAATAAGTGATCTCTCTTGATGACACCCAGCATGGTTTGAGAATGTTTATTTTATGTTATTCTATAAATAAACTGAATGACTGCCAAGGAAAAAATAATCTGAGACATGATTCCTAGTGTCTACTCTAGTGAACTACTCTGAAAACTCCGGTCTGCCACTTGGTGTGAGCTCCAGGTTCTTAAAGGATAGTTTGTCTTCATGCATGGGAAGCTTATGACTTTGGCTTCTTCATCTAGTTTCCACTTACAAAAAAACTTTTGACAGAATCTCAGAATGATTTAGAATCTGTCTGTAATCAAATGCTGATAAATATTTCCATTAATGAGATGTGCTGCTGATTTGCTTATTGCTTACCCTGTGATAGGTTATAGGCTATTTTATTGGTAATTTTAATGATAATGATGATTTACTACCACTAGTCCATCAAGGTCAAATTATTTCTTAGCTAAAAGTTTAAGTTCTACTCTCCTGACTTAACTGAGCAAGGCAGATGTAGCCCTAAGAGGTGCATATCTTGGGGTAGGAAACCCACCAATTTATTTCTTTTTAGACTTTTTGCCTCAAAGGTGGTTTTGAAGCCTCATGTTTTTTCTGTTGTAAAGTGTCGCCATTGGGGACAAAAACATTATAAATCAGAATGGTAAGACTTTGACTGCAAGATACTGAGTCACCAAAGGGAAGACAGTATGTCGCATCCCTGGCTTCTCAAGGATTTAGAAAATCATTCTCCTCTATGTGCTTTGCATATAATGGGGCAGGTCAGCATAGAGAGGATGCAACTCTTTGGCGAATATGCAATGATTGTCCCCATAGCTAATTTGATAGATCAACAGAAGATCATAGTGGACCTTGTTATAAGAAAATAGAGGAAGTAGCCAGGCAAGTTGGCTGACGCCTGTAACCCCAGCACTTTGGGAGGCCAAGGTGGGTGGATCACTTGAGGCCAGGAGTTTGAGACCAGCCTGGCCAACAAGGCGAAACCCCATCTCTACTAAAAATACAAAAATTAGCTGGGTGTGGTGGTGCACTCCTGTAATCCCAGCTACACAGGAGGCTGAGGCAGGAAAATTGGTTGAATCCAGGAGGTGGAGGCTGCAGTGAGCTGAGATAGCACCACTGCACTCCAGCCTGGGTGACAGAGCAAGACTCTGTCTCAAAAGTGAAAAAAAAAAAAAAAAAAAAAAAAAAAAAAGAAAAAGGAAAGAAAGAAATAGAGGAAGAATAGTTGAACTCTGCAGGAGTTGGTTCACCTACTGAATTTCCTTTTAGCTTTAAGGAAAAATCTTCCTTTCCTTCCTCCAAACACTTATGCCTTTATTGTCAAAACCATTCACTTGGCAGTGGCACTTGTCACACTCTGCTTGTATTGTGAGTAAAAGTTTTGTGTGTGAAAGTCTAATATCTCAACTAGATAAGAGAGTTCCTCAAGGCGAGAGGCCGGGCTTTCCACTTCTTTGTGTCCTTGAATCATCTAGCTTTGAAGTTAATACATAATGGTGCATAATCCACCATTTATTATTATAAATTATGAATTATTGTTATGAATTATTATTCAAACCATTGCTACAGCTCATTATTCATACTTGATGAAAATTCAGTCAAAGTTAAAAGTATGTTGCATTGTTTCTTATGTATTTGTATAGAATCAAAACAACTTTATGTTGACTCATGACCCAAAGTTCTTGTGTAGGGAACTTTCTTTGAACAAGATTTATACTCGAAATTCAGTTTGTTAAATTCAGTGAGTATTTACTGAGTTTCTATCATGTGAAGTGTTATAGAGTATAAAAAAAGAAAGATAGTATATAAGCACTCAATAAGCTTTTAGTCTAATACAGGAATTGGGAATGGATTTCAACTTAAATATCTCTATGAATTGTTAGTAGCTGCTTAGAATGCTGATAAGAATTATTAGATTCAGTATGAAAGAGCAGTATGATCAATTAGTAAAGTCTACCATTTGCTTAGGAGTGGAGAATGATAGCATGAGTGCCACAGATTTGAAGAATAAATTCAAAGTCTAGATAGTAGAAGATTATTTTTAGTAGAATCCAGTCAATTAATAACTTAATCAGATTTGTTTGGTACAAAGTAAGTACCAAATATATAAATTACATGAAATTATATATATACATATTACTATGCCCAGTCCACCATAACAAAATACCATTGACTGGATGGCTTAAACAACAGAAATTTATTTTCTCATAATTCTGGAGGCTAGAAGTCCAAGATCAAGGTTCCAGCTGATTTGGTTTTTGGTGAGGGCTCTTTTTCTGGCTTGTTGGCAGCTGCCTTCTTGCTGTGTGTTTACATGACCTCTTTTATTTGTGCATGTGGAAGTAGTCAGTTCTGTGGTATCTTTTCTTATAATGTCACTAATCCTATTGGATCCCACCCCTATGACCTCATTTAACCTTAATTTCTTAGAGGTCCTATCTCCAAATACAACCACGTTGGGGGTTAGGGCTTCAACATATGGATTTGGGAGGACATAAACATTCATTTCATAGAAATGTGTGATACAAAGGATAGCTTCATGTAGTCTCCTATTTGAATAAGGGGATATCATAGAAGTTATAGATCCAGATAGGGTTATCATTTTTTAAAAAGCAAGACATCAGAATTGATCATTAATTTTTAAAATAACAGCTGCATTTAAAGACATCTGGTCTTACACGTTGTTCATTGTAGATCAAGTAATCTACATAATGTGTTTTTAAAAATTAGATCTTATGGGCTTTAAAAGTGATCTGAAATTCCTTGTGGAACAGAGTTTCATCAAAGCCACTCCAAAAGGCCTATGTAAAAATAACCATTCTTGCTGCACTCCATGCAAATAATCAGGCCAAGTATAAGACTAAAGTTTATTCATAATTAGCTTTTAGAAAAATGAGGACTGGAGAAAAAAATTTTGCTCCAAAGCTTATCATACATTTATCATTAAATCCTAGTCTCATTAATCATTTTTAAGCTTTTTGCCTACATTTTAGACTAACCCTGCTTATTCCTGTGAATCAAGTGGTAATCTTCTGCAGCTTGGGGAAAAAAAAAAAGGGATGGGTAACGTAAAAATGTGAATCAATATGCTAGTTCTGGGCAATTATCTTGCAAATTCTGCCTGGTAATGAAAGTGAGTAAGGTGCCCATAACCCGGAGGTTTCTTTGTTTGGGAAAATAAAACCAAGGAACTTCATAGACCCTCAGAGGGGAATTCTGTATCTTGGCAAGTAAAATTTCAGATGGAAATTACCTACCACACCACACTTGTGGGAACTGCTGTCCTCACTCTTCTATTTGCAATAGGGTTATCCATGGTATCACCTTCTAACTTAAATATTGGACAGAGAGTTTCCATTGCTGTCATGTTTTGCTTAATTAGTATCTTTATGGTAGGGATAATATTTACTGACAAAAAGGAAGCATGAAAGTTTTACTGTCACTGAGTCTGCTAGGACTTTTTATTGGGTTTAGTGATGAAGTTTTAAATGAAACATGCTGCTTTTGGATTAACACCTCTAATAAAGTAGAGGAAAATCTACAGGTACTTAAAAATCAAATAAAAATTATTAACAGGCTCAGAGAAAATGCTGGCTTCAGCCCCGGGTGGCTACAATCCCTCTTTAATGAATTCTGGTCTTTATGGAATTGGTTAACCCCTTTATTAAGCCCTCTCTTACTTATATGTCTTGTATTGATATTTGGACCCTTTATACTCAATACTGTAACTCGAATTGTTTCTTCTTGCCTAGAAGCAATCAAATGCCAAATGGTGCTGTAAACTGAACCACACATGGACATGCCATTCTTCCAAGGACCCTTAGATCAACCCCAGGAGGAGCCCTAGCTGCTGTTCCCCATTCAACGCCCCTTTTTTGCAGGAAGTAGCCAGAAAGAGTCGTCGTCCCAAACCCCCTGACAGCAGTTACTGTGGCATCTTCACAGTGGGGGCTGTTGTAAGAGTTATTAAGAAATTATTTTAGGCAGATAGAGAGGACAAGGGGTCCTTGGGAAGTTTTCATTTTTTAAAGCATCTCCAGAAATGTTTTCTTGTGAAGTTCCGGCTCTTAGAGCCAGGCTGGCAACCTTTGATATGCAAATGCCAACCATTAGAAACTGGGTCTACCCAAACATGGAGATTCCCTCAGCCTTCTTGCCCTTTTCCCACATGTTCCCGGCAGCATGGCCCCCACCTATCCCCACGTGTGTAGAACATCATGGTGCATTGTATTTGCATATTAAAAGGCTAGGGTGGGAGGGCCAGCTTTTTTGCAAGCTACATGAATGACATGCCTAGTCAAACCAATCCCCTGAGCCCTGTGCAAATCAGACATCGCCTCCTCCAGCCTCTGCATATATACCTGGCTGGTGTCCACCGTACTTGGGGACCTCCTCTTTTGGCTTTGGAGCACCCCCTCCCCATCTCTGTATGGGGGAGCCTCTTCCTTCTGTCTTCTCTCTTTAATTTTTAAAACAAAATTTAAAATTTTTCTTTCTTGCCTATTAAACTCTCTGCTCCTTAAAACAAAACAAAACAAAACAAAATTAGATCAGGCTAGGTGCTGTGGCTCATGCTTATAATCCCAGCACTTTGGGAGGCTGAGACAGGTGGATTGCTTGAGCTCAGGAGTTTCAGACCAGCCTAAGGCAATATGGTGAAACCCCATCTCTACAAAAGATACAAAAATTAGCTGGGCATGGTGGTGTGTGCCTGTGGTCCCAGCTACTTGGGAGGTTGAGTCGGGAGGATGGCTTGACTCTGGGGGCAGAGGTTACAGTAACTCTAGATCACACCACTGCACTCCCGCCTGGGCAACAGAGCCAGACTCTGTTTCAAAAAAAAAATTACATCAAGCCAGTGGTTCAAAATAATGAGTGTCAGATGCATACTCAACCAAAAAAGTATACTTTCCTAAATCTTAGTGACACCTTAAAATAATAATGATACATTAAAAAATACTATCCTCCAAGTGATATTAACTGCAAACTTTTGGCCTTGGAATTCTTGTCTTACATGTACTGATTAAAGAATATACCATCTTTACTTACCAACATGCCTCATTATTATATTGATGTGTGTTTAATAGACTGAAAATTTCACATTTGTTCTCATGGCTACATCTATTACAGTGATTTAAAAATATGATTTCTTAAGATAACATTTGCTCTTGGTGAAATTTAAATCTGGAGCCAGGCTAGATTTTGTTTTTTTGTGTTAGATTTTTTAATTTTTCCCTAAGAAAATCTATTTATTAAAGTGATAAGATACTAGAGCTATTACCCCTAGAAAAATACAAAATATATCAGTGCTTGCATTTCAAACTTATCCAGCTCTTGTTTATCTCGCCAGACCTCCAGGGTTTTATATTTCAGAGTGAAAAAATTAAATAATATTTATTTTTTATTATTAAAGTAAAAGCCAACCTGGGCTTTAACATAACTCTTAGCTTTAAATGGCTCATAATATCTTGTCATTTCTCTTTTATTCTGACATGACTGAACTATAGAACACCCATGTTGATGATAAAATAGAATCCCTTGATTTTAATAACAAACAATCTTTATAAGATGTTCAGTGAACTCTTGGTTAAGGTCTAGAAAATTATAGAGAATATTTGTTAATCCTATTTCTACCTCAAAATGACTTTCTCTTTACTTTTTTACCATGGGGATGATGCAGTGGCTAAAAGTGACACAGTAAAGTGTGACTGGGTAATGACTGAAATGTATACATGAAAAAGATTTGAGAATTCTGTAAACAGGGAAGCATATCATTTCAAGAATTTAGCATGGAGGCTGGTGTGGCGGCTCATGCCTGTAATCCCAATAATTTAGGAGGTCGATGTGGGAGAATCACTTGAGGCCAGGAGTTCACGACCAGCCTGGGCAACATAGCAAGACCCCATTTCTTTTTTGTTTTGAGTTTTTTTTTTTATTATACTTTAAGTTTTAGGGTACATGTGCACAACATGCAGGTTTGTTACATATGTATACATGTGCCATGTTGGTGTGCTGCACCTATTAGCTCGTCATTTAACATCAGGTATATCCCCTAATGCTATCCCTCCCCACTCCCCAACCCCACAACAGGCCCCGGCATGTGATGTTCCCCTTCCTGTGTCCATGTGTTCTCATTGTTCAATTCCCACCTATGAGTGAGAACATCCGGTGTTTGGTTTTTTGTCCTTGCGATCGTTTGCTGAGAATGATGGTTTCCAGCTTCATCCATGTCCCTATAAAGGACATGAACTCATCATTTTTTATGGATACATAGTATTCCATGGTGTATATGTGCCACATTTTCTTAATCCAGTCTATCATTGTTGGACATTTGGGTTGGTTCCAAGTCTTTGCTATTGTGAATAGCTCCGCAATAAACATACGTGTGCATGTGTCTTTATAGCAGCATGATTTATAATCCTTTGGGTATATACCCAGTAATGGGATGGCTTGGTCAAATGGTATTTCTAGTTCTAGATCCCTGAGGAATGGCCACACTGACTTCCACAATGGTTGAACTAGTTTACAGTCCCACCAACAATGTAAAAGTGTTCCTATTTCTCCACATCCTCTCCAGCACTTGTTGTTTCCCAACTTTTTAAGGATTGCCATTCTAACTGGTGTGAGATGGTATCTCATTGTGGTTTTGATTTGAATTTCTCTGATGGCCAGTGATGATGAGCATTTTTTCATGTGTCTGTTGGCTGCATAAATGTCTTCTTTTGAGATGTGTCTGTTCATATCCTTCACCCACTTCTTGATGGGGTTGTTTTTTTCTTGTAAATTTGTTTGAGTTCATTGTAGATTCTGGATATTAGCCCTTTGTCAGATGAGTAGATTGCAAAAATTTTCTCCCATTCTGTAGGTTGCCTGTTCACTCTGATGGTAGTTTCTTTTGCTGTGCAGAAGCTCTTTAGCTTAATTAAATCCCATTTGTCAATTTTGGCTTTTCTTGCCATTGCTTTTGGTGTTTTAGACATGAAGTCCTTGCCCATGCCTATGTCCTGAATGGTATTGCCTAGGTTTTCTTCTAGGATTTTTATGGTTTTAGGTCTAACATGTAAGTCTTTAATCCATCTTGAATTAATTTTTGTATAAGGTGTAAGGAAGGGATCCAGTTTCAGCTTTCTACATATGGCTAGCCAGTTTTCCCAGCACCATTTATTATATAGGGAATCCTTTCCCCATTGCTTGTTTTTGTCAGGTTTGTCAAAGATCAGATAGTTGTAGATATGTGACATTATTTCTGAGGGCTCTGTTCTGTTCCATTGGTCTATATCTCTGTTTTGGTACCAGTACCATGCTGTTTTTGTTACTGTAGCCTTGTAGTCTAGTTTGAAGTCAGGTAGCGTGATGCCCCATCTTTGTTCTTTTGGCTTAGGATTGACTTGGGAATGCGGGCTTTTTTTTGGTTCCATATGAACTTTAAAGTAGTTTTTTCCAATTCTGTGAAGAAAGTCATTGGTAGCTTGATGGGGATGGCATTGAATCTATAAATTACCTTGGGAAGTATGGCCATTTTCATGACATTGATTCTTCCTACCGATGAGCATGGAATGTTCTTCCATTTGTTTGTATCCTCTTTTACTTCATTGAGCAGTGGTTTGTAGTTCTCCTTGAAGAGGTCCTTCACATCCCTTGTAAGTTGGATTCCTAGGTATTTTATTCTCTTTGAAGCAATTGTGAATGGAAATTCACTCATGATTTGGCTCTCTGTCTGTTATTGGTGTATAAGAATGCTCGTGACTTTTGCACATTGATTTTGTATCCTGAGACTTTGCTGAAGTTGCTTATCAGCTTAAGGAGATTTTGGGCTGGGATGATGGGATTTTCAAGATACACAATCATGTCATCTGCAAACAGGGCAATTTGACTTCCTCTTTTCCTAATTGAATACCCTTTATTTCCTTCTCCTGCCTGATTGCCCTGGCCAGAACTTTCAACACTGTGTTGAATAGGAGTGGTGAGAGAGGGCATCCCTGTCTTGTGCCAGTTTTCAAAGGGAATGCTTCCAGTTTTTGCCCATTCAGTATGATATTGGCTGCGGGTTTGTCATAGATAGCTCTTATTATTTTGAGATGCATCCCATCAATACCTAATTTATTGAGAGTTTTTAGCATGAAGGGTTGTTGAATTTTGTCAAAGGCCTTTTCTGCATCTATGGAGATAATCATGTGTTTTTTGTCGTTGGTTCTGTTTATATGCTGGATTACATTTATTGATTTGCGTATGTTGAACCAGCCTTGCATCCCATGGATGAAGCCCACTTGATCATGGTGGATAAGCTTTTTGATGTGCTGCTGGATTCGGTTTGTCAGTATTTTATTGAGGATTTTTGCATCGATGTTCATCAGGGATATTGGTCTAAAATTCTCTTTTTTGGTTGTGTCTCTGCCAGGCTTTGGTATCAGGATGATGCTGGCCTCATAAAATGAGTTAGGGAGGGTTCCCTGTTTTTCTATTGATTGGAATAGTTTCAGAAGGAATGGTACCAGCTCCTCCTTGTACCTCTGGTAGAATTCGGCTGTGAATCCACCTGGGCAAGACCCCATGTCTAGTAAAAAGAAAGATAAGTTAGCCAGGTATGGTGGCATGTACCTTAGTACTTGCTAATCAGGAGGCTCAGCTGGGAGCTCAGCTTGAGCCCAGGAGGCTGAGGTTCAGTGAGCTAGGATTGTGCCACTGCACTCCAGCCTAGGTGACAGAGTGAGACCCTGTCTCCAAAAAATAAAGAAATTAAAAAAATTAGCATGAAAATAATTTTTTTCATGCCTTGGAGACATAATATAATAGATAGAATTATAATCTGTAATATTTACTAATGTTTTTGTTATAATATTTTTCTAATTAAGTACATATCAACAATAGATCACTTATATTTATAGCATATATTAACTTAGAGATAACTATTATTAACATTTTAGTTATATCTTTCCTGTCATCAAAATTAGGATTATATGGCATATTTTAAAATGCTATATTTGTGTAGTAATATATCATAAACATTTAATTTTACTATTATGTATTAATGAAATAAATTCTATCCTGTAGATATACCATACTTTAACAAATCCTTATTAGATTTATGTTACTTGCAATTATGTTGCAAATGTTATGAACATTTATGTTACTTGCAATTTTCTGTTATGTCAAATAATATTGCCTCAAACCATTTGATATATGTGATTGTAAATAAATTATTTTTCTTATGATAAATTCCTAAGACTGGAAGTCCTGGGTTAAAGGCTATAATATTTTTGTGAATCTTAATAAACATTGCTTTTCAGAAAGTTGTGCTATTTTATATTCCTATCCATTTGAATGTGCTTCTTTCTTCATACCTTTGCTAACACAAGAGTGTTACAATTTTTTATGCTTGTCAATTTGATAGAAAAAATATTATATTTTATTGTTGACTATTTATAGACTTAGCTTTGGGCTTAGATATCAGAACATAGTATATAGAAGGAATTCTTCCCAAACTGTCTTATTGTTCTAAAGGCTAGTTTTATTTTATTTTATCTTTGAGATGGAATCTTGTTCTGTCACCCAGGATGGAGTGCAGTGGTGTGATCTTGGTTCACTGCAACCTCCGCCTCCCGGGTTCAAGCGATTCTCCTGTCTCAGCCTCCCAAGTAGGTGGGATTACAGATGCCTGCCACCATGCCTGGCTATTTTTTTTTTTTTTTTGTATTTTAGTAGAGATGGGGTCTCACCATGTTGGCCAGGCTGGTCTCGAACTCCTGACCGCAGATGATCCTCCTGCCTCGGCCTCCCAAAGTGTTGGGATTACAGGCGTGAGTTACCACACCTGATCTAAAGGCTAATTTTAAATTGATGTCTTTTCATTAATCCATTCCAAATGTTTTTGGAGTGCTTCCTCAAAAAACAAAAAGAATTTAGAATGTAAAATTGTGTATTTGCTAAGTTAGTAATATTCCTCAGTAGATACCACATTAGCACTATATTCTGTGTGAGGATTCTCTTGTACGTTATTATTTCCCCTTCTTTCTTTCTGATTCTCACTCCTTTTCCCTTCTCTTCCCATAAGCAGCTATTCTAGTGTGTTTAACATATACATTTGAATATGCATGCTTCCTTCAACAATAGTGTTTTGTGTTTTTATCTTACATACGTTGTATCACAAGGGCAGAAAACCAAACACCGCATGTTCTTACTCATAGGTGGGAATTGAACAATGAGATCACTTGGACACAGGGCAGGGAACATGACACACCGGGACCTGTCAGTGGGTAGGGAGCTAGGGGAGGGATAGCATTAGGAGAAATGCCTAATGTAAATGATGAGTTGACGGGTGCAGCAAACCAGCATGGCAACATGTATACCTATGCATCAAACCTGCATGTTTTGCACATATACCCTAGAACTTTAATAAAATAAATACATAAATAAATGTAATCACAAATTGTTTTGGGCCACATTCAAAGCCATCCTCAGCTGCATGTGGCCCATGGGCCATGGGTTGGACAAGCATGTTTTAGAGCAGTAAGATGGGATGATAGAGATTCCAGTTACCCAAGAAGTGAAGTATTTCAGAAGAAACAGCTGTTCATGGTACAGAATTCATTCATGTTTGCTTCTCCTTTCCTTCCTGAACATTTGGAATACTACACTTGCTAGCTCTTTTGCAATTACATGAAACTGACTAGTTGAAGCCAATGAAATAGGCATGGAGCTGATATGTGTCATTTTCATGTCCAGGCATTTAAGAGCTAGTATGCCACCTCCAAGCTCTGTTTCCCTTTTTTCTGGCTGGGAAGTCACATGTTCCAGATTGTGCAGCTATAGGATGGCAGAACCTTAGATAGACTTCCACCCTGGGACTATTGGGAGGAACCACCCCTCTCCCTCTCTCTGCCAATCTGTATTGGGGCAAGGTTGGGAAGTACTGGCGAGGGTATTACATTTCAAGAAACATGACCAGGGAAGCCTTTAGGGAAATGTTTAAGTTGAGACCTTAAAAGCTGAAGGAAGTGACGAGGTAAGATACCTGGGGCAGGAGTATTCTAAGCAGAGGAAGCAGTAAGTACTGTCCCAGCAGTGAGACCTGAGGAAGGACTAAGCTTGTTATGTCAAAAGGGACAAAGTCAATGTGTTTGAGGCAGAGTGAACAAGGGAGAAGGTAACAGAGATAAGGACAGGCAGGTACTGGAGGTATGGGAGAAGAGATAGTGCAAAGCCTTTTAGGTCATTATGTGAACTTTAGCTTTCATTTTGAGTGAGATGGAGGACACTATCGAGTTTTGCATATTGGAATGATATAATCTGATTTATATTTTACCTATGCTGAGAATAGGCTGGTGGGTGGCAAAGATGCAGGGTGTGTAGCTAGGAGGCTACAGTAATCATCCAGGAAAAAGACTGTGGTGGCTTGCATCAGGGTGATACCAGTAGAAGGGGTATGAAGCAATCAAAACCTGGATGTACTTTGAAGGTAGAGACAATAGAATTACAGATGACATGATGAGGGGTATAAGAGAAAGAGTCAAGGGTGACTTCATGGTGTTTGGTCTGTGCAACTGGGAAAATGTAGTTGCTATTTGCTGAGATGGACAAGACAGTAGGGAGAACAAGTTTGGGAGACTATTTAGGAGCCCAGGTTTGGGTGGGTTAGGTTTGAGATGCACACTGGACATGCAAGTATGTTGATGAAGGGGGATTATGCTTAGGTTACTTTGGCAAGGAAACTGGACTGGTGAGAATAACAGGGGTAACGGCATGCCTTATTTGGATACTGAGGTCCAGGTTCTCTAAGTGGAGACTGAAATACTAAGGTGTTTGGGAGCTTTGTCCACAATTTCTGTTGGACAAGCTGGCCTGAAATTGGGTTTCCCAATCACTATGGTTAAGCTGAGTTTCTACAAGGCTAGCTGTTGATTTGGCAGGAAAAACATCTGCCTATGACAGCTATCCTATCCATCTGGCAGTCAAAAGGCCAGAATTCCAAACTCTTTGTGTGAAAAATCACCTAACACCACCAATCTCAAAGCTTCTGCCTCCTTGGGTCTGTGATTCATTTCCAGGTTTTCAGATCTCAGGGATGAGCACTGAAAGTATGTATTTTAAGGCAAAGCAATTTATGCTTATTTTTCTAGCATAAAAATTGCATTTCCACATTAGAGTCATGTTTGGTTTCTAAACATGTTACCATGGCAAGAGCTCTATTCCCCCAGATTTCCCTGGCTGCATTGTTTGTATTTCTTAGCCAACAACATCTGAGCCTTTTTTTTTTACCCACTTGGAACTGCCATTTATTCCAACCCTTCATTTCGTGAAACATTTGTACATTGTACATGTGAAACTTATATGGGAAATTTTATATGCCTCCCTTCCACCTCTCCTTTTTTTGGAGTGATAATAAAAGTAGGTCTTGTTTGCTCTCTGATGCCAGACCTATACCACTCATCTCCAGGCACTGCGCATTCCACTCCTAATTGCTGAACTTGAGAGCACCCTGTCTGTGGCTGGTAAACAGTGATTCATTCTGTGTGCTACACTTCTGCACAAGTGTCATTTCTGGGAAGCAGTGCTCACTAAATGCTTTCTCAGTTGTTATTTCTGTTTATCTCCCTGTTCATTTACATCATTCCTTGCACTGTGGACTCATTTTATTTTGTCTTTTCCCTGATGTTTTTTCCTTTTTGATTTTCTTCGTTCTCTTATTCTTCACTCAGAGGAAACTGAATGTGTTGCACAGACCCACTGGTCCAGGGAAATATGTGCTGCTTCCACTGAAAGGAAGGGTTCAGTATTATACCCCTTACCTATGTAAGTCCCTTAAATCAGATGCTTGTCTGGGGAGCCACAGGTAAAAAATTAAAAGGTAGCTGCATTCTAACAATTTGTAAAGTGAAATAACATTTGTTGGGAGTAGCTCTAGGTAGTATATGGAGCCCAAAACCATGATCAGTCCAGAATCTCCGATGGGATTTAGGGAGGATATAATGAATTGAATGAGCCACAAAGGCTGGGAGAGAGGAGAGGAGGCCATTTTTTAGAGCAGTTTCCAATGTAGATAGTAGGCAGGGCCACTGTGTGTGCTTGTGTAGATTGAGCTCTACACTAGGGTATCTAGCCAAGGGACAGGTTGGGGCTGGAGTACAGCTGTGGCTCTCCAAGCATCCTACTTATGATGGTTAATTTTTTATGTTAACTTGACTGGGCTACAGTAAATGCCCAGATACTTGGTTAAATAAAAAAGGGTGTTTCTGAATAAGATTAACATTTCAAGGTTGAGTAAAGCAGGTTGTCCTCCTTAAAGTGGGTATGCCTCATCCTATCCATTGAAGACCTGACTAGAACAAAAAAAGGCAGTGGAAGGGAGAATTTGTGGTCTGAGTGTCCCCAAATTGGGATACTGGTCTTCTGCTTTTGTATTTGGGCTGGAACTTACACCGTTGACTCTTCTGGTTCTCAGGTCTTAAGATTCAGACTAGAATTATACCTTTGACTTTCTCGATCTTCAGCTTGCTGACTGCAAATTTTGGGTCTTCTCAGCCTCTGTAACTGCATGAGTCAATTCTTCATAATAAATCTCTCTCTGTCTCTCTCTCTGTCTGTCTGTCTCTCCCTGTCTCTCTGTGTGTGTATCCCATTGCTTGTGTTTCTCAGGAGAACTCAGACTAATACAGTACTTGAGACACCACCTGAGGAAGAGGTGCTTTTTGCCAATTCACACAAAGGTTCCCTATGGACTACCTAAGCCTGAAGCAGTAATTGGTGTGCAGAGATGGGGAAGGGGGCCAGTGACTACACCTTAAAATATTATGTCCCTCTTTACTCCCATGTAGTCTAGGGTTCGGCTGTGGTTTAAAGTTCTAGGTCTTAGCATGAGTCATGTAAGATGGGTGATTCTTGGAATTTCAGAGCGACAGAAGCAATCAAAGGCTTTAGTCCCTCTGTTAGATTAGTGGTGAATCCTTGGAATACCTTTGCTGGTTGGAGAAAGACATAGCAAAATAGGGATGAGTGACATCTGTAAAGAAATACTCACATGTTGCATTTCGGTGTGGCAATTTGTACTTTTCAAAACATGTTCCTTTTACTGTTTTGACACAAAGAGTTATGACTGACACTTGTTATCCTTCTCATTTTAAAGGTGTGAAAACAGAGCTGCAGAGGTGACACTTGGATGCCCCCTGGCCAGGTGGTGACTAGAGGTCAGATCTCTTCTCTAGTTGAGTGGTAGTCCAGGTTCCTGGGCTCTTTCCGCCCTGACCTACAGGCCTGACAGAGCCGTCAAAACATGAGAGCCCTCTTTCTAATCATCTCACTTCTTGGAAAAAATAGAATGGTAAGCTCTGGAGCATACTTCCTTACAGAAGAATCACTGGAGGTCCTGGCTGGTATAGATTTTATTTTTTTTCCTGAGAAAATGGGCATGTAATTACATATTTTGAGCGGGTGTTTTACTCTACCTGTCCAAGACCTTTTCTCTTCTAATTGCTATAATGGCAAGAATCCACACATTAAAAATGTACACACACACATCTCTGGATAAACACAGGCACACTAATAACTATGAACACATATGGACCATTTTGTTCATCAATTTTCTTAAAAACCACTCAAACTGCACAAACTCAGGGCATTGTGATATCACACAGATTCCTGTAATAGAGGCTAAATGTGAGGTAACGTTTTCAGTACATGACATATGGCCCCTCACTAAGAATTATCATTGGTATTCATCCACAACGGGTGGTGAAGGAGCAGCACTGATGTTATGAGGCGCTTGAGAATTCTTTTTGCCCTAGGGAGAAGATGAAAGTCAATGAACCAGAGAAGCAATGTTTTGTTTTTGTTGTGCTTTCAGCTGCTATCCAAATTGGTTTCACAATTTCTTGCACTTTTACGTAACCTTCCCTGTGGGGCACTTAACGCAGATTAAAGTAACATAGCCACACTTCCAACTCTGGAAATACCACCACTGAGGAATGGTACATTATACTTAGGAGCATTAATAACAGGATCCTAAACCATTTTCTAAAGTTTTGTGATCTTCATATTCACACACCATCTTAGGAGGGTTGGCTGAAGTTCTAGGCAAAGAATGTTTAAGAAAAAATGGCAGAAGCAAATTTCAGTCAACTCTTCAGGTTTATCTTTACTTGACCTGTCACTGCTTACCAACTTTCCAGTTCTAATTCACAGGGCTGCAGTCTGTGAGAACAAGAAGTTTAAGGAAAACTCACTCACTCCGGTGAGCTTATACTCTCCTTGAGGAGCTGAGATGCTCAGGAATGAGAGAGTGGTTTGTTTCCCCAGTCAAATTACCCTTGCATGTGACTGAGGTTTGGATAAGTTCCTAGCAGAATTTTCCCCAAGCTAAGAAATTTCTTAAATTTTAAGGGATTTTTCTCTAGTTCCCCATGTCTCTATGGCACTGGCTTAGGTCAGTGCTTGCTAAACTCTGATGTGCTTACAAATCATCTGGAGATCTTGTCAAAAGGCAGATTCCATTCAGTAGCTCCAGCGTGGGGACAGAGACTCTGAATTTATAACATGTCTTTAGTGAAGCTGATGCTGCTCGTCCACGGAACACAGGCTGCATAGTTAGGACCCAGAGTAAAGATCGCTTCTCAGGTACTCCATTTCTTTCCTGCTCTTTTATTTGATGCTACCTCCATGTGGCTAGAGTCCCTGCTCCCTACTGCTGCCATTTCTAGCTTCATTCTCCAACTATTGATAAAATGGGTTTTAAAGTTGGTTTCCTCTCACTCAAGCCTGTGTCTAGTTCATTTAGCCAACCATAGGTGGTCTAGCTTCTGAGAGAATGAGTTCTTTTGTAAACTTCTAGAGGATGTGTGTTGCTTTTAGGTTCTAAGGAACTTAGAATGAGTCTTCTAGAAAGCTAAAGTCCTTGGATACCCTGACTATTCCCCTCAAAGATTGTGGTGGCCTTTGTCTCTCCTTCTTCCTCAGGAGTGTTTACTCACAGTGTATAGGAGGTAACAGTAGCCCTAAAATCTCATTCATGGATTCTGATGGGTAGACAAATGGCATAAATGCAAACAGGATTCAAAGGATACTCCCAGGGACCCCAAAGACCCAGAAATGAATGTGTGAATTATTGTTGCTGCCATGACTCCCACTGCAAAGAGAACAAATAAAGATTGTGTGAGGGAGGCAGGTACAGGGGTCCCACATGTTCTACTGACTGCATCAGAAGCAGCCTTCAGTTACACTTTTCCAGGGTCTCACTCCTGACCAATGGAATCAGAGTTCCCGAGGGGAATTCATACTGGGATAAAGCACAGCATGGCCAGGGGCTCACTATGTGCTGATCAGCAAATACTCAAAACCTGCAATCCATCTATTCAATAAAAGAGTTACTGAGGACCTAGTACAGGTCAGGCATAACACAAACAAAGCTCTTCCCCTCATGCCTTCCACAGCTGAAAGTAGAATATGAACAAACAAAATAGAAAATAACTGCAAATGATAAGCGGTATGAAGGAAATAGACAAGGTGATGAACTCAAGATAAAGTAGGTACTTTAGATAAGTCAGTCAGTGATAGTATATCTGGGGCAATGCCCTTAAGGCTGAGACGTGAAGATGTAGGAATTATCCAGCAGCACAGTGGTGCTTAGGCACAGAGCATTGTATGTGAACATCCCCGAGTGGGAAAGAGCATGTTTTGGGAACTTCCGTAGATGTGACCAGAGAAACCGGAATCGAGTTATGACTCCCTTCTATGAAAATTATCCTACAATTAGGACTCCTTTCCCAGGTGACAAAAACACAGTGACTCCTTTTCTTTTTTATTATTATTATTATTATTATACTTTAAGTTTTAGGGTACATGTGCACAATGTGCAGGTTAGTTACATATGTATACATGTGCCATGCTGGTGTGCTGCACCCATTAACTCGTCATCTAGCATTAGGTGTATCTCCCAGTGCTATCCCTCCCCCCTCCCCCCACCCCACAACACTCCCCAGAGTGTGATGTCCCCTTCCTGTGTCCATGTGTTCTCATTGCTCAATTCCCACCTATGAGTGAGAATATGCGGTGTTTGGTTTTTTGTTCTTGCGATAGTTTACTGAGAATGATGATTTCCAATTTCATCCATGTCCCTACAAAGGACATGAACTCATCATTTTTTATGGCTGCATAGTATTCCATGGTGTATATGTGCCACATTTTCTTAATCCAGTCTATCATTGTTGGACATTTGGGTTGGTTCCAAGTCTTTGCTATTGTGAATAATGCCACAATAAACATGCGTGTGCATGTGTCTTTATAGCAGCATGATTTATAGTCCTTTGGGTATATACCCAGTAATGGGATGGCTGGGTCAAATGGTATTTCTAGTTCTAGATCCCTGAGGAATCGCCACACTGACTTCCACAATGGTTGAACTAGTTTACAGTCCCACCAACAGTGTAAAAGTGTTCCTATTTCTCCACATCCTCTCCAGCACCTGTTGTTTCCTGACTTTTTAATGATTGCCATTCTAACTGGTGTGAGATGATATCTCATTGTGGTTTTGATTTGCATTTCTCTGATGGCCAGTGATGGTGAGCATTTTTTCATGTGTTTTTTGGCTGCATAAATGTCTTCTTTTGAAAAGTGTCTGTTCATGTCCTTCACCCACTTTTTGGTGGGGTTGTTTGTTTTTTTCTTGTAAATTTGTTTGAGTTCATTGTAGATTCTGGATATTAGCCCTTTGTCAGATGAGTAGGTTGCGAAAATTTTCTCCCATTTTGTAGGTTGCCTGTTCACTCTGATGGTAGTTTCTTTTGCTGTGCAGAGGCTCTTTAGCTTAATTAGATCCCGTTTGTCAATTTTGGCTTTTGTTGCCACTGCTTTTGGTGTTTTAGACATGAAGTCCTTGCCTATGCCTATGTCCTGAATGGTAATGCCTAGGTTTTCTTCTAGGGTTTTTATGGTTTTAGGTCTAACGTTTAAGTCTTTAATCCATCTTGAATTGATTTTTGTATAAGGTGTAAGGAAGGGATCCAGTTTCAGCTTTCTACATATGGCTAGCCAGTTTTCCCAGCACCATTTATTAAATAGGGAATCCTTTCCCCATTGCTTGTTTTTGTCAGGTTTGTCAAAGATCAGATAATTGTAGATATGCGGTGTTATTTCTGAGGGCTCTGTTCTGTTCCATTGATCTATATCTCTGTTTTGGTACCAGTACCATGCTGTTTTGGTTACTGTAGCCTTGTAGTATAGTTTGAAGTCAGGTAGTGTGATGCCTCCAGCTTTGTTCTTTTGGCTTAGGATGGACTTGGTGATATTCCAATCAATAGAAAAAGAGGGAATACTCCCTAACTCATTTTATGAGGCCAGCATCATCCTGATACCAAAGCCGGGCAGAGATACAACCAAAAAAGAGAATTTTCGACCAATATCCCTGATGAACATTGATGCAAAAATCCTCAATAAAATACTGGCAAACCGAATCCAGCAGCACATCAAAAAGCTTATCCACCATGATCAAGTGGGCTTCATCCCTGGGATGCAAGGCTGGTTCAATATACACAAATCAATAAATGTAATCCAGCATATAAACAGAACCAAAGACAAAAACCACATGATTATCTCAATAGATGCAGAAAAGGCCTTTGACAAAATTCAACAACGCTTCATGCTAAAAACTCTCAATAAATTAGGTATTGATGGGACGTATGTCAAAATAATAAGAGCTATCTATGACAAACCCACAGCCAATATCATACTGAATGGGCAAAAACTGGAAGCATTCCCTGTGAAAACTGGCACAAGACAGGGATGTCCTCTTTCACCACTCCTATTCAACATAGTGTTGGAAGTTCTGGCCAGGGCAATTAGGCAGGACAAGGAAATAAAGGGTATTCAATTAGGAAAAGAGGAAGTCAAATTGTCCCTGTTTGCAGATGACATGATTGTATATCTAGAAAACCCCATTGTCTCAGCCCAAAATCTCCTTAAGCTGATAAGCAACTTCAGCAAAGTCTCAGGATACAAAATCAATGTACAAAAATCACAAGCATTCTTATACACTAACAACAGACAAACAGAGAGCCAAATCATGAGTGAACTCCCATTCACAATTGCTTCAAAGAGAATAAAATACCTAGGAATCCAACTTACAAGGGATGTGAAGAACCTCTTCAAGGATAACTACAAACCACTGCTCAAGGAAATAAAAGAGGATACAAACAAATGGAAGAACATTCCATGCTCATGGGTAGGAAGAATCAATATCATGAAAATGGCCATACTGTCCAAGGTAATTTATAGATTCAATGCCATCCCCATCAAGCTACCAATGACTTTCTTCACAGAACTGGGAAAAAACTACCTTAAAGTTCATATGGAACCAAAAAAGTGACTCCTTTTCTGTCACTTTCAGAACCTGTTCTCATTCGTGGCTTGCTCTACTCCGAATGCCTAAAACTTGGATCTCACTGCATATGCCACTGTGGACCCCCTTTGCCACTCCTTGATGGCTGCCGTGGAGGTCAGGGTTCTGAGAGCCACCTACAGTCCTCAGAGCACTCCTTCCTTTTGTGATGAAGGTGATCATCAGGATGCCACTCAACGTTAGCTGCATCTGTCTGGCCTGAGCCTCAGATTCCTCTTCCGCAAAATGGAATAATAATATCTGTTCCATAGATGGTTCCAAAAGATGATGTGCCTCATCCATGATAGTTCTTGTCCAGTCACAATATGATCATGGCCCCTTGGAAGGTTTCATTCTGAAAGGCAATGAGTGTACCTCAACTTTTGGTTTATCATTTATAAGTTTTGATTATATGGGGGGCATTTGAAGCAAATACCTTAGGGGTGACACTGATTCTGTCAGGGCCTGAACCGTTTGAGAAATAGGCAAGAGCAGACTCCCTAATCAAACTTGCACATCCTCAAGGCAGCTGATTTCTGTGTTAGGAGAAAAGCAATCTTCTTGAGCAAATGTGTGAAGAGGAATTTTCACTTCTGAGGCTCTTCATTAAGTCTATTTCAGGAATCTTAGCAAAGGGACTGAAAAATTCCAGATCCTATGGGGGTGGGATTGCACTGGGACAAGCAGAAGCTGGCCAGGCCTGCCAGGAGTTTGCCTTGCAAGTCAGACCTGTTAGGCAGCCCCTGCTTTTTGGCATTTTCTTCCCTTCGCTATTCTTGGAGTTATGGCTTCTCAGAAACACAAGTGACCAGGCAAGCAGGCGTTACAATGGCTGTGTGGGTTGTTTGTGATCTGCAGCTCTTCCATATGGAGATCTCTTCAGGAAGCAGCCTTCCCTTTGTCCTTTCCCTGTATGCACACAAGAATATGGGCACCACAGAGACTGAGCTTCAGATCCATTTGAACAAACTTTACTGCACTCCTATGGCAAACACTTTAGTTCCCAGGTGCAGCAGAGTATTCACTCATGAATAAGACAGATCCCTGCCCTCTAAAAAGAAAATCAATAGGTATCCACCAGGTATAAAGTAAGAAAGACGGTGATAACTATACTAATACAGATAAAAACATAGTGCTTTGTTATAAATGGTGCTATATTATTATTGTGGTCACAAACTTTGTGGCTTAAAACAACAGAAATTTATTCTCTCATACGCAGCCTAAAGTCTGAAATGAGTCTTATAAGGCAACAATCAAGGAGTCAGAAGGGCTAGGTTTTCTCTGGAGTCTCCAGGGAGAGTCCATTCCTTGACTCTTCCAGTATCTAGTGGCAGCTAGATACTGCCTGACTTGCAGCCACATCTCTCCAATCTTTGCCTCTGTGGTTCTTGCCTTCTCCTTTTCTTTGTGAAATCTCCTGCTTATAAAGAAATATGCAATTGCATTTTGGTCCCACCTGGATAAGAAAACATGCAATTGAATTTTGAGCCTATCTGGATAAGCTAAGGGAATCTTACCATTTTAAGATACCTAAAGCAATCACACCTACTAAGTCCTTTTTTGCTATACATGAGAACAATCACAGGTTCTAAGGATGAGGTGGTGGTGGATACCTTTTGGATGGAGGGCATTATTCAGTCCACTACAGGTGCCACCCTCATTTTGCTGCTCACCCCCCACATAGTCTGTAGCTATGCTGTCCAATATGGCAGCCACTAGTCACATGTAGCTACTGAGCACTTGAAATGTGGCTGGTCTGAATTGAAAAGTGTTGTAAGTATAAACTACACAATCCATTTTGAAGTGTTAATAAAAAAGTATAAATTTCTCAATAATGTTTATGTTGATTACATGTTGAAATAACATTTTAGATATATTAGGTTAAAGAAAATATATTATTAAAATTATCACTTTTTTAACTTTTTAAATGCAACTACTAGACAATCTAAAATTACATGTGTGGCTTGTATTATATTTCTACAGGGTGGTGTTCTATACTATCAACAACAGTAATTCTCAAATTGCTGCATATCAGAATCATGTGGACAGTTTTGAAATACCTAGTGTCCAGACTGCACCCCAGACAAACTAAATCTAGTGAGGGGCCATCTGAAACTCCCCAGGTAATTCCAGTATGCAGCCAAGATTGACAATCCATGCAGTAGAGACCTGGAGGAAAGTTAATAATACAGATAGCATTACTGGTCCAGGGATTATTACACAGAGATATGCCAATTTTCTTTACAAACAACAGGAGATACAGGCTCCTAAAGTACCCTCTGCTTTATGCTTTTCTCTCTGGAATGCATGCTTCAACTTACCCATAGAGTGTAGCTGTGAGTCTAGGGTTCGGGAGGGGGCAGAACAGCTGTTTCCATGAGCCAAAAGACACCTGGCATCTTAACAATCTGAGAGGCAGGCTGGCTGGACCTCTCTTCTTTGCGTACTCCTGGTGGTTAGATAAACCCTTCCCTGGCCATTTCTGCCATAGTACCTGGGGGAACAAAATAGGATAAAAGGCAGCAAGCTCCTAAATGTTCAGTTTGTAGGGCTAGATAAGGCAAAGCACTTTGGGAGTAGCTCACAGTGGAAGTATCTCTGGGGCCATCCATCAATAACATTACCACCAGAGGTTTCTGTTATTTTAGGGGAATTCCCAGCTACTTACTAGTTCCACACAATGACGGTGTTCTCTGCATCTCAACTCAGAATTAGGTAACAAAGCTAAAATTGAATGTACTTCTGTAGAGTTTTGAGGTATTGCCTGGGAAATTGGTTCTTGATGGAGCAAGACAGGGCGTTTTAGTGGCTGCCTGTGTTATTTGTTGCAACACAGAAAAATGAGATAAACCTCAGCCTTGTTTGTATATATGATATTTATGTCTGGCATCAACATAAAATAAGCTCATTGCCTGAAGTGCATTTTTTGCAGAGATTTGAGGCTAACTTGTTAAAGCATCATATTATCCAACACTTAAACAATTTTGAAATATTAAAAAAATTTCCGAACTACGTATCACTCTTCTGACTTCCAAATATACTAAACAGTAATGATATTTTCAAAAGGAAGAGATCTTGTGTATGTGTTTGGGTGGTGACCCAACCCAAACAAGAAAGATATTTTAAAAAATCAGAATGAAGGCCCTTGGAAAACTTGTTCTCTCCTCCCTTCCCCCTTCTTTCTTTCCTCCTTCCCTCCTGTATTTATTGAATACTAACTCTGTGTTAGGAAATAGACCTTGTCTTCGGGAGCTTAGGAGCTAAAAGAGGAAAAAGACATTGTCTTAGTCCATTTATTCTGCTATAAGAAAATACCTTAGACTAGGTACTTTATAAATATTAGAAATGTATGTCTCATATTTCTGGGGGCTGGGAAGTCCAAGATCAAGAGTCCAGTAGATTCAGTGTCTGGTGAAGGCTCACTCTCTGCTTCACAGACGGCCCCTCTTACTGTGTCCTCACATGGTGGAAAGGCAAAAGGGGCAAAAAGGGACAAATGCTGTTTCCCCATCCGGTAGAAGAGAAGGGTGGGCAAAAAGGGACAAACTTGCTCTCTCAAGTCCTTTTATAAGGGCACTAATCCCATCCATGAGGGCAGAGCCCTCACAGCCTAATCACCTTCCCAAGGCCCCCTCTTAATGCCATTACCTTAAGGTTTAAGTTTCAACATATGAATATCGGAGGGACACATGTTCAAGCCAAAGCAGATACCAAAGTAAATGAGAGACAGAAAACATTATAGGGTCTATAATTGAAGATGAGACCCTTCTCCCCCTCCCTCCCTCCCTTCCTCTCTTTTCTGCCTTACTAAAAATGCCAGCAGTAACTTGCAAAGATACATACACATAAGGTTAAAAAGAAGAAACTGTGAGGGAGAAATTTGAAAGTGAGAAAATGATGGAAGTCAGGTTAGTCAACAGATTACATTCCTTAAGTTTTCTCTAAATTATTGAAGGTGGGCCACAAATTTAGATCTAACTTCCTAGAAGCCAGCACAAAGAGGAATACATAACCAATTGCAAAATTCAGTGTCCATAGGATGAAAATTATGTAGTTCCCCCAAAGAACCACAGGGATTAGGTGCAGTTTTTATAAGGTATTATGGGATGTCGTGAGCAATGTCCTCAGTAACATCCCTAATGGCACCAAGGAGTTTTGTAGAGCATGACAAAAATTTGTATGGTTTGGAGAAAGCAGAAAAGAGATAATATTAAATCCTGGCCGGAGCTAAACCCTTTTGTTGGGATTGGACTGGATTAGTTTGAGCCTCTGCTTATATTTTCCTGTAATTCAGCATTCTATTTTAGGTACTGCACTAGGGGTATGCACTGGAGGTTATGGGAGTGGAGAGGGACACTCACCTTTGCCTCTGCCAGGGAAATGTGGGCTGATGCCAGCACTCTGGATAAGATGATGCCTTTTGAAGGATCTGGTTGGAAGTTATTCAGAAGGATAAGGCAAGGAAGGCATTTCATGCATGAGAAAAGAGCATCAGTGTGGTACGGAGGTATATTGAATGCTGACAGGGAGCTACAAGGCAGTTTAGAACTGAAAAAGTATGAAATATGAGGCAGGCAAAGTATGGTAGGAGTTGGAGCTGAAAAAGTAAGCAAGCATCAGACTGTGTCCATCTTACATGCTCTGCTAAGAAATGTAGCTTCACTCCACAGAAAGGTGCTGAGATGCCCCCAAAGGGATTTAGGCAGGGGAGTTGTATCTGCTAACTATTGCATTAGTAATGCTGCACAATAAATCTCCCCAAAAGTCGGTAGCTTAAACAACAGTCTTGTTTTCTCACACACAGATCTGTGAGTCTGTGAGCATAGCTCTGCTTCATGCTGCAGATCTTCAGGTTGGCTGGGGTGGCTGAGTGTGTGGCTCAGACTGAAGGAACAGCAGCTACCCAAGGTTAGCTCTTCTCCTGGTGAAGCGTGGAAAGAACAGACGGGTGAGTGGGCAGACAGACGCCTTTTGAGACCTCTTCAGAGAAGGGGTACACTGTCAGGTGCACACACATGCGTTAGTACAGCAAGTCATATGCTTGCAATATGATTTTCAATACCAGTAGGGAGGGGAGAAAAACTGCCCCCTGTAGGGGAGGTGCTACAACATCACATGGTGGAAGGTGATGTTAATTTTTTTTTTTTTTTTTTTTTGAGACAGAGTCTCGCTATGCCGTCAGGCTGGAGTGCAGTGGTGCTATCTTGGCTCACTGCAAGCTCCGCCTCCTGGGTTCACGCCATTCTCCCACCTCAGCCTCCCGAGTAGCTGGGACTACAGGTACCCGACACCACGCCCGGCTAATATTTTGTATTTTTAGTAGAGACGGGGTTTCACCGTGTTATCCAGGGTGGTCTAGATCTCCTGATCTCGTGATCCACCCGCCTTGGCCTCCCAAAGAGCTGGGATTACAGGCGTGAGCCACCACACCTGGCCGATGTTAATTAATTTTGTAGGGAGGTTGTGAAAAATTATCAGCAATAATTCAATCTGTCTCAGGGGTAAAGTAGCTAGACTTGACTTTTTGAGATGATTCACTTGGGAAGTTGTGTGGAAAGCAGATTCGAGAGAGGTGATGCAGTAGTCAGAGGGACCAGTGAGAAGGGCCAGGTGAGACTTAGTGAGAACCTAGGCTGAGTAACAGTGAGCTGGGGGGAAATAGAGTTGACTGAAGAAAATTATATGATATAAAACCATCAGGACTAAAGACGTAGGGTCATTTATGGCTGGTTTTCAGAAATCTCCATTTAATATACCCAACTTAAAACACTGTCCTAGCTTCCCTTGCAGCTGGGAGGTGATTATATGGTAAGCTCTGCCTATTAGAACATAAACAAAATTCACTGGGTCAATTACCAGGATTTTTTTTTTTTTTTTTGAGACAGGGTCTCACTCTTTCGACCAGAGTGGAGTGCAGTGGCACGATCCTGGCTCACCACAACCTCCGCGTCCCAGGCTCAAGCGATTCTCCTGCCTCAGCCTCCCGATAGCTGGGATTATAGGCACGCACCACCATGCCCAGCTAATTTTTGTATTTTTAGTAAAGATGGGGTTTCACCATATTGGCCAGGCTGGTCTTGAATTCCTGACCTCAAATGATCCACCTGCATCGGACGCCCAAAGTGCTGGGATTACAGTTATGAGCCACCGCCCCCGGCCACCAGGAAAAGTTTTTAAAGGGGCATGTGCCCCTTTGCAGTTGTTATTACCTTCTTCCTGCCTTACACGTAGCTGGATGGCTAGAGTTCCACCAACCATGTTATGGACACGAGGCAATCATCCCAAAGGGGACTGAGCTGAGAGAAGGAGCCTAAGATTTTGACGACCTCATGAAGATACCATACCAGCCCTCAGCTGCCTCTCTTTAGAATACCAGGTAGGTGAGAAAAAATAAATGACTTTTTTAAAGTGACTGTTTTTTGAGTTTCTGTTTTTAGCAGTCAAATGAAGCTCCTGACACCATACATGACCTTAGCAACATGAAGCAACATTATTCATTCATGCAGATAATTATTATTCTGAATCAATGACCAAAATTAGAAACATGAAAACCTTAAGGTGATCTAGCTCAACTGTAATCCACTGCTAGTGTATATAATTTGTGGAGACTTTTTTTTTTTTTTTGGCTTTCCTTCTTCCTTGTCTTCCCAACACAAGTCTAATTTTTCCTCTCAGCCATCTCTCTGATTTCTCATATCTATTTGGTGTTAACTGATCAGAGGGAGTTAGCAGAGAAGGGGGCTGGCTGTTTCATTTTAGAATACGACTCTTGAAGAACCCGTGATGGAGGAATAAACAGAAGTCCTGGTTCCTATTTCTAGACAAGAGGCTGCCCAATGTAATATGTAATATCAGTAATAGTAAGGTTGCATTTCTGTAGGGTGGCTCGATCAAGCGCTTCTTGTATACCATATCATTAGCTGCCCGAGGGCCAGTAAGGTCGGATGGTTTGTTCAAGGACAAGAACTAACAAGTAACAGAGATAGGACTTATCTTTTTCTGACCTTCACTTTCCCTTTCTGTGACAAAACTGGTCTTAGGAACTGTGTTGAGCAGAGCCTTCTGTGGGCGTGAGAGCGGCTTGGAGGTGTCAAAGAAAAATTGCATCCGATATAGTTAAACAGACAAGGGGGAATTATTCAAGGCTATTGCAATAGGGAAGAGAGAGAGGGAGGGAGAGGGGAACTAGTAGAAGACTAGTGGAGGAGATTAGGATGGGAAGTTGGTCAGTGTAATGAGGCCATTTGTGTTTCCTAATTGGAACTTATTAAAGTTAGGCTCCTCCTCTCCACAAACACTAGGAGATAGGGACCCTTTTTTCCTTGATGATTACATTTCAAAGGGATGCCTCACAGATCCCTGAGAAAGATCCCCAGGCTGTAAAACCCAGCAAGAGGCGGAGAGATTTACATGTCAAAGGGTCAGAGGAAACATTCACCAATGGAAGTTGGCTAAAGTAAATGCTCTGAGAAAAGGAAGGTCTGGGGCCTACAGTTAGGAAGAAACCTGTCTAAAGTTTAGTTAAGCTGAGGGGAATGTTAAGGCCATTTGGTCACCGTAAGCAGTACCACATTTCCTTGCCTCTCCCGGGAGCCAGGTCTCAGTGTCCCCAATAGGGGACACGCACTGACCGGCGGGTGAAGGGACTGATTTTGATTATCATCCTACCAGATAGAGATTATTCCCTCTGCACCCGGGTTAACTGAAACCCGGTGGGGGTAGATCCTTGCCATTTTCCGGCCCTGTACCCCACTGGAAATAACATGCGGTGGTCAAGGGCATCCACCTCTTTAGGCAAAAGCATGTTTTCAGCCCAGAGACGATTCCACCCAACTTTACAAGAGGATAGCCCAAAGATAGAAGCCAGGGACTCAGACTTCCTCCTTCCAGAAATAACCATCATAAAAAAGCCGACCCAGTAAACGCCTGGCAGCCTGCGGCATAGAAGAAAATGGAAATCTCCTTGGCTGGCATTTCAGCTTGCCTGAGGGGGCTTGCTTTGCTCCGAGGGGAGGTGACTGTGCTGACCTTAAAATCCAGGTTTCAGGAAGCAGGAGATGAAGGTATTTTATTTTCGCCTAAAGGCTTTGATATTTTTCAAATAAAAATTTAAAAGATCCAGTACCTTCTCCCGAAGCTTCTTCATAGAGTAGTGGATTTTTAGAAAACACAAAGGCCTAGGGGTGGGGCGAGAGTGGGGGGTGGGGATGGGTAGCCCCATAAGAGCAGTGCCCTGACGCCTCTTTTCGCCCTTTTCAGACCATTTGGATTTTCTTAAGCTGCCCCTTTCCCCAACCCCCGTTTTTGCCATTTGCCTCTCCTCCCATTCTCCAAAGTGCAAATAACTGGTTATCCCTCAGGTCCTGCTACCCCATCTTTCCTGATCCCCGATCCCTCCAAATACGAAGCACCTCGCATTTGGGTCAGCAGCTGTTTCCCCTGCCTGGTGACAAGGCCGGTGTGCAGAGGGCAGAGGAGGGAGCTTCTTCCGCCACACGGTGGCGCGCGCGAGCCTCCCAAAGACCGGGCGGCCACAGCTCCTCACCTTCTCCCCATTCCAGCCCCACCCGCCCGGGCGCAGAAAGAGCCGCGCCCCCAGCCCTCCCGGGCAGGACAGCCGGGAGCGCACCTCGAGGGCCCGGGCAGCGGTCGAGTGGCAGCTGCGTCCAGCCCATGCGGGAGCTGCTGCGGGTTACGGGTGGCCCCAGCTCCAGGCTCCTCCTCCAGCCGGTCCCCCACCCTCCACCCCTTCTCGACTCCGCTCTGCAAATCGAAGGCTTTCCGGAGCAGCCTAGGAGCGGCCGCGGGCGCAGCGAAGGCGGCAGGAGGAGCGCAGCAGCCTTCGGGCAGCCGCGGCGGCGTCGCTAGAGCAGCCGGGGAGGCGCCGCGGTGCCCGGCGCGCCCTCCAAGCTAGGAGAGGGGAGAAGCCGGGGGCTGCAGCTGGGCAAGGGGGAGGAAAGTGCGTGTGCGTGCACGCCTGTGTGCAGGGCAGAGAGTGCGGGGGGCGACAGTCTCGGCTTAGGGCGGAGGAGAGGGCAGGGGAACGGCGGTGCAGCTCCCCCGCTGTCCCCGAGGATTTCCCGCGGCAGCCCCGGGCTCCCCAGTGCCCCTCACCATGGACTTGCGCGGAGTTGGGACGGGCCTCGGCAGCAGCAAGCGGCTGGCTGCCGGGCCCTGGGGGAGCGCGGGCGCGCGCGCGGGGATGGCGAGGTAGGATGGCCACCCAGCGCGACCCCCGCCGCCCCAACCCAGCGGCCCCTGGGCGGTGCCGCTGACTCGCCGGAGCGCACAGGGGTGTGGGCGGAGGCGGCCTCGCCGCGCCCGCGCCTTCGGGAGTCGCCTCGCCTCTTCCACCCACTTGCACCTGCCACCCCGCGGATACCATGTCGAAGGCGGCCGGAGGCGCGGCGGCGGCTGCGGCGGCGGCGGAAAGTTGTTCCCCAGCCCCGGCCGGCTCGTCCGCGGCCCCGCCCGCGCCGGTGGAGGACCTGTCCAAAGTGTCGGACGAGGAGCTGCTGCAGTGGAGCAAGGAGGAGCTGATCCGCAGCCTGCGGCGCGCCGAGGCGGAGAAGGTGAGCGCGATGCTGGACCACAGCAACCTCATCCGCGAGGTGAACCGCCGCCTGCAGCTGCACCTCGGCGAGATCCGCGGCCTCAAGGTGAGCGCGGGCCAGGTGGGGAGGCGCGGCGCGGCTGGGAGCGGGGTGCCCCGAGGAGGAGGCGGGGCCAGGCAAACTTTCCCTCCCTCCCTCAACAGGTGACCCTCCCCTTCTCCCGGTCGGCACCCCCTACCCCCAGTCCCCAGCCCCTGTGTAACTTTTCCAAACTTCGGAGGCGTCTGCTCCCCTCCTCTCCCCAACACGGGGCGCTCCACTGTCTGGCTGTTCGGGGAGGCGCTGAGGACGCTGGAAAGCAGGGAGGGAGGTGAAGGGCACGCGAACCTTTCATTTCTTAGGGAGGCTGGAAAATCTGTGCCTGGGGAGCCGGGTTTCAGTCAGTTAGGCGGAAAGGCCAGTGAGGGGGTGAATCCAGGGGATCTTCGCCTTGGAGGGTCGGGAATGCGGCTGCTCTGGGCCAGCAGCTCTTGGGCGGGCAGAGGGCGAGGAAAGGGCGCCACTGCCAGGGAGAGCGGCTGGCGGGGCGCCCGGGAGAAGCAGCGGGCGCCACCCTCAGAGCAGTCTTGTGTCACCGGGTACATAGGAGTTCAAGCTCTGCCTTCACGTCTTCTCCCAATTCCTGTGCTTTCCCTCTCCCGGAGTTTGGAAGGCATCCCCTGGAGTTGCCTTACTCCCCTTCCCACTTAACCCCAGGTTGACTGGGGGAAAGAGGAGGAGCAAAGAGACTCAGTATGGAAGGAGCAGCATTTTGACAGAGTACCCCAAGTGTTGGTCAGTGATGGTTTCTTTCTGAGCCAGCCCCCCTGCCACCCTCTTCTAGGAAAAGAAGGGAAACGTACCCCAAGCCCACTAACTTTCTTTTCTCCTTGGAGAGCGCCGGGTCTGCGAGGAGTGTGCCTGCCCAGCTGCAGTACACTAGTGGCCGGGAACCGCCCTGCTGGCGAGCACCACAAACTTCCTCTCCTTCCAGCTAGCGCTGGTGCCTCCTGGTATTCCTTCCTCTCATTGTTCTGCTTTGTTTGTAGGAAGCCAGACACAAACGAAATCACTGCAGGGACTTCAGGGAGCAAATTCCCGAAGGCACAAGCTGTTCTTTTCCCCTTTCCACTCCTATCCCCACATATCAGACAGTAGATGCTGTTCCGGAATTGCCTCAGTGCTCCAGCTCTGGGATTCTGGGGCAAGAAAGAGTGGGAAGAGTGGAATGCTCAAGGCTCACCTATGTGCTGGGCCCAGTTCAGGTGGAGATGGCCGTCTCCCGAGGCCGAAAGTCATTGTCATATAGTCCCTAGAGTGGGTGCAGGTAGGAAGATTCCTCCAGTCAGAAAAATGCCAAGGCTTACTCTCTCCTGTGGTTGAATTCATTACTAACAGAGTGTTTATTAAGTGCCAGTCTCTTTGGGGAATAGAGGCAGGCTAGTGTAGTAGGAAGATGATCTCAGAGGTGGGTTTGAATTCTAGAAACCTCATTTGCCAGGAGGGTGAGCTTGGGTAATTACTTTCTCAGATCCTCCTTTTATTCACCAATACAATGCAATGATAATAACTTTCTGAGGGTGTTATGGCAATAAGTTATGATTATGTAGGGGAAGGTTTAATACTTGACTATAAAATGGTAGTTACTGTCATCAGGAAAGGACTTACAAATCTATGGCTGTGTGTCCCCAAGATTTTGGTTTCTTAGGCAGAGCTGGACAAGGGGGCATTAGTTTGTCATCCTCTAATTTGAGTTTCTTCCATGGTCTGAACAATAGTGTGATTTAGAAGAGTTGGAAGAGTTATTATTAAATGTTTTAATAGTATGGAGCATCAAAATAATAGCTCAGAAACACTTGAAAGTTCCTTTAGGTTATGTGGATTGACTGTGTGTGATGTCTGTGTGTGGGTAGGGGAGGGGAATGGTAGAGTGGGTTGGTAGAGTGCCTGGGCTTCATTCCAGTAGCTTCATGTAGAGAAGTAGCTATTAGGTCAGCTAAAGGCCCGTACACCCAAGTAAGAAAGTCTCCTTGTGATCTAGATTCATGACCTGGCATTAAAAGACTTGCCAGTCTACTTCCTTATCAAGTTCAGAAATGATGGGGGCAGGTTGCTTTCTGATGCAGCTTCTACTCTTCTCATGTCATCCCTGGGCTGCTGCAAGGAGCGGACTCCCAGGCTTCTGGCCCACCCTGGGTGTGCTGTGGTTTTACTCTTTGGAGAGGCCAGCCTTCTCCCTTCTCTTTTTTATTTTGGCTCAGAGCTTCCTTGGACACCATAGTAATCCATAAATGTGGTTGATTGAATAAATGATGGGTACATATATTTATTTTGGCTTAACTGGAAGAAAAGAAGTATTTTTTTTTGTTAAGGGCGTGGGGGAGCGTCTGAGGGCTTGGCATTCTCAGTTGAGAACTATAAATGTAGGGGAATTAAGACCATAATACATTTTCTTTTTTATGCCTCTTTCTATGAGCTGACTTTGAAATTGCATCTAAATATTTGTAAGGCTACCAGGTGTTATTGTAGCTGTGGACACAGGAGATGGCAGCATCAGTTCTTTACTTTTCAGGGGCCTGTGGCCGGGTCCTAGCACTGATTGACTTGTTTGTGTTTAGATATTTGGGAGGCAGGGCAGTGCAGGGGCCCTGAGAAGTGGAAAGATAAAGAATTTGGATTCTGATAATTTGGGCAGCTTTGGCCAATTGTTAAACTCTCTGTCTCTCGGTTTTCTCATCTGCTCATGGGGATTTTAATTCCACATGAGGTTTTATGAGGATGAAATATACCATAGATGAAGAAACCCCAGTGAAGTTAGATAGTTTTCTCAAGGTCACACAGACATAAAGTGTTCAAAATCGGCCTGCTTTCCTTTTCTTTTGGCTAGTTGACATTCTTTGCTTAGAATGTGTGGTCCTGGAAGGGGTGGATGAGGGAGATTCTAGTTAGGGTTATGTTGTAAGGAACTGGATTCCTGAGAACCATGTCTTTGGACTGCTGAGCATATACCAACACTTCAGGCTGCTCTGACCCAGTATCCCAGTTGGGGGCTGATTCGGGATGAATCTCTGTAGATTTGTTTTCTTCATTGCATTAATTTCCCTCCTTGGTTCCTAACCCAACCACCGACCCGCCCACCACCCTGCTCTGCAGTGAAGCAAAATAACAAATTAAAACAATTATTTAACTGTAGATACAGTACTTGATAGTCTTCAGGCATAAGATTGAAATTTTGGTTGGTGTGCTACGAAGTGGACTTAACCTTTTAAAAGTCCACTTAGACACTTGGATAATTTCTGGTGGCCGGTGGCAATGTTAAAAGGACACCTAGTGTTTTGCAAAAGAAAGCCCAAGTCTTAGTGAGGCAGATTTGAAGAAGCTGGATCACAAGGTTATTATCAAGCTGGCTGCTTAGCTGTTCATCAGAAGGCAAAGGAAATAGCTCAGAACTGAATAGTAAATAATATTCTCAAGAAAACTAATAATAGAAAGAGGGAACTGTGATATAGAAATGGGAGTGGGCCAATACTCACTCCTATCTACTCCATCTGGAGTGCTGAGAAGTGTATGTTTCACTCCTTTTGGAAAAGGCATTAGCTCCGTGAAGCCGAGGGTAGCACCAGTCCTGTTTACTTTCCAGCTCTAGAGAAATCAGAAGTAGCTGTAGCATAGTCAAAGGGAAGTATTTTCCTATGAAAATTTGTTTAGATGAAAGAGAACATGACTTGAGCTTTCTATCAAATGCCAGGATTAAACTAAATGTTGAATAATTTTTGGAGCTTAGAAAGATTAATTTTCTTTGTTATTGTTTTCTCCAAATATCCACAGCTTCTGATTTCCTGTAAAGCATCAGTATCAAGGGATAGTTTATTTTCTTACTACTGTAGGCTCTGACATAGCTAGTGCTTGCTGAAAACAATAAGAAATTCTTCTCAGTAGCTATAGCTGTAGCCTGTTTTGGCCAGAGGCCTGGAGCTTTATATGGTTGATCAGTCCATAAACACATATTGAGTGTCCACTGTATGCAAGGCACCATGCCAGATATGTTGCATATTCAAAGAAAGACTTTTGGAATAGACCCTGCTCTCCAGAAGCTAAGATGTCCACATTAGAAAGGAGAAAAAATTGATGTCTAGTGATTGTTCTAGCTAGAGTGTGATACAGGCCTTAAACAGTGAGTGGGAAAGTTACTTCATTCATTCATTCATGGGTACTTTTCTGTGCCGGGGGAAACTTCTCAGAGGAATCTCTCCTCTTAGGTTCATATGGGGTAGAAGATGATATTTTCTAGTTGGAATGCACAGACGTAATCATAGCTCATAATTAGCTGGCAACTAAAGGTGGAAAGGCAAGGGACAGCCTTTCAGGCCTGGCTGAGGGTCTTATTCATTTTCCCTGGCAAAGGAAAGGTGATGGGGATTGATAAACAGGAGAGGCAAAACATGCACGGGGTATTTTTGGTGTTTTTTTTTTTTTTTGAGACAAGGTCTCACTCTGTTGCCCAGGCTGTAGTGTATCGTGATCTTGGCTCACTGCAGCCTCCTCCTCCCTGGTTCAAGCAATTCTCCTGCCTCAGGTTCCTGGGTACCTGGGATTACAGGCACGTGTCACCATGCTTGGCTAATTTTTGTATTTTTAGTAGAGACAGGTTTCACCACGTTGGCCAGACTGGTCTTGAACTCCTGACCTCAAGTGATCTGCCCACCTCGGCCTCCCAAAGTGTTGGGATTACAGATATGAGCCATTGAACCCAGGTGTTGTTGTTTTTTGTTTATTTTAAATTTCAACTTTTATTTTAGATTCGGAGAGTACACTGTGTGATGCTGAGGTTTTGGGTATGATTAATCCCATCTTCCAGGTACTGAGCATAGTATCCGATAGTTTTTTAACCCTTACCTCCCTTCCTACCCCACTAAGAGCCCCCAGTTTCTGTTGTTGCCATCTTTATGTCATGAATAGCAGGGAGTATTTTTGAAGGTCTGATTGAGGAGTGCTTGTGTTCTAGTGGGTGAGGGGAAGGAGTGGATGGTGCAAACAAAGGCAGGGAGGCTGCCTGGGAGGCTGTTGGCAAAGGTCAGGCCTGAAAACAGAAAGTGGCAACGAGAAGCAAAAAGGAGAGGTGGGAATTAGAAGCAAAGGAACAGAGTTGTTGGTGATGCCAAGAATTAGAACTGGAGTTAGAAACTAAGCTGCATAAGCTTCTTCCTAATACCCACAAATTCACTCCCATGACTTTAGGAAGTGGAGGATGTGGTTGACAGGTGTTTTATAATTTGTTTTTTAGTCTATGTTAAGGGCAGTGTTGAAATCAGCCTGAGTGTAAGTGAATTCAGCCCCCTTTCTGAGTACCTCTAGTTCTGGATCGGTTCGCAAGACCAAAGATTTTTCAGGCTTTTTGAAGCAGTGAAATCTTAGGTAGCAGCCCTGTAGCTGCCCCTGTTTCATCCTTACCAAACTACAGTGCCTCAAGGAACTGCTGGCTCCTTGACTGTATGCATAAATGGAGAATAGGTGGGAACTCTACTAGTCATCTTAAAAATTCCTTGGCTTCAGGTATTTGCGCAGGGAGTGCTGTGTTCTCCATACACAGAAGTACATAGATGAGGTCTCTGTTCTTGTGACTCTAGAGAAGATGTAGTCTAGAATGAATGGTCATACTCACACATTTCTTCTTACAAATTGCAGTAAGTCTGAGGGATGATGGTAGACCATAGATTGGGGGTGGACCTTCTATAGAATGGTGTCTATGGGGAAGTGACTTATAAAATGAGACCTGATGGTTGTCTAGAAGGCTGGGGAGAGCATTCCAGGTGAGAGGGAAAGGCCTTGCCCTTTGAGGACCTGAAACACAGCCTCAGTGTGTGATGAGGAGGGGTGTTCCCACCTTCTCCACTGCTACCACACGTCCAAGCCACCATCATCTCCCTCTACCTGGACCAGCCCAGGAGCCTACTTGTTAATCTTGCAGCTTCCACTTTATCCTGACCCTCCCTTCTTTCCTCCCCTACCCCAGTCAGTCTGTTTTCCACACAACTATGGAGATTCTTTGCAAAAGGAATCATGTAATGTCACTCCTCTATCCTCAGCTCCCTAACAACCCAAAGCCTTTCCCGTCGCTGACCATGCCATGCATATTCTAGGCCCTGATGCCTCTCAGACCCCCTTTCCCATGTCCGTTGACTTGCTCTCTGTTCTTTAGACATGCTCACCTCGCTGTACTTGAGCTCTTGCTCTCATGCTGGTCTTAGGGCTTTTTACTTGCCCTCTCCCTGCCTGGGATCATCTTCACTCAAATGTTGGCTCCTTCATTCCACCCAGGTGCCTGCTCAAATGTTTCCCTTCTCTGTAGCGGTATCTTCTCTTGAAAAAGAGTATTCTTTAACCTGCTTCAATTTTCCTTCCAGAACTTCTCACTGCATGACGTTATGCTCTATACGTGTTTTTTGCCAGTCTTTCCCACCACAATAAAAGCTGTACCATGTCAGGGTCTTTGCTGTGTCCACTGATATATCCCTACCACCTGGACTGGTACCTGGTACAGTAATAGATGTTTACTGAGTATTTGTGAACAAGCAAGTGAATCATCACTCATGCAGGAGAAGTAGGCAGAATCAATGTACCTGGAGCCTTGTGTGACTTAAAGGATTTTGCATTGTATCCTAAGGGCCATGAGATTAAAGGATTTCAAACATGGGAATGACAAGATGAGCTAAATTTTGGAAGTAGAGCTCCAAAGCCTTGTTTGGTTTTGAAATGGAAGGTTGAAGGAGAAGGAGATGCCAGGGATGACCCCAGGTTCATATAAAGAACAGTGGAACAGAAAGAGGGGGCATTTGCTGAGAGGTGCAGTTTGGGGAGAGAGGTCTCTTAATTTAAGGCTCAGGTTGCTTGAGATAAGTGAGAGATGCCTGGGAGATGTTCAGGTGGGTGTGGCAAGTAGGGGTTGGATGTGCAGGGCTGAAATGCCACTAGAGGGCAATTGTGCCTTTCCCTACCAGGGGAATTGGGGCTGCATATTCCATGTCAGGGCTGAAGATCTAAGCAGTGCTTGCTGTTTACTCTGTTGAAAGGTCTGTTGTCTCAGGGCTTTTAAGCATTTCACAGGTCACAAGCAGTTATTTTTCTTTCTTGAGGGTGAGGCAGGGGAGCCTTGTTTTTATCTAGTGACTGATTTCTTGATAATGAACTGGTTGCTCCCTAACTACTGACCAGATGAACTTGGACAAGTGAAGCTTTGTGAGGTCCGATTTCCTCTTCTGTATAAGAGCCATAATAATTATTATCCCCTAAATGTTTGGGTAAAAATTGGATGACATAATGCAAGTAAAGTATTGTGCAGGGATAGAACTGATACTTAAGTTAGTTTAATTTTTATGGCCATACTAATTATTATCCCCTAAATGTTTGGGTAAAAATTAGATGACATAATGCAAGTAAAGTATTGTGCAGGGATAGAACTGATACTTAAGTTAGTTTAATTTTTATGGACAGCTACAAATCTTCAGCTTCCTCCTACTCCCTCACCTCCTCCCCTAACCTCACAGGTAATTCACCAGTTACAGGCTCTCCCTTTCCAGGAAGTCTGAGCCTGCTGACACCTCAGATGTGTACTTCCCTTGAATGGTTGTGTCTCTCTTTTCAGGATATCAACCAGAAACTCCAGGAAGACAACCAGGAACTGAGGGACCTCTGCTGTTTCCTGGATGATGACCGGCAGAAAGGCAAGAGGGTGTCTCGGGAGTGGCAGAGACTGGGTCGCTACACTGCCGGGGTGATGCACAAGGAAGTGGCCTTATACCTGCAGAAGCTGAAAGACCTGGAGGTGAAGCAGGAGGAAGTGGTGAAGGAGAACATGGAGCTCAAGGAGCTCTGTGTGCTACTAGATGAGGAGAAGGGTGCAGGCTGCGCAGGCAGCCGCTGCTCCATCGACAGCCAGGCCAGCCTGTGCCAACTCACAGCCTCCACCGCACCCTACGTGCGGGATGTGGGTGACGGCAGCAGCACCTCCAGCACTGGCAGCACTGACAGCCCGGACCACCACAAGCACCACGCGAGCAGTGGCAGCCCGGAGCACCTGCAGAAGCCCCGGAGCGAGGGCAGCCCGGAGCACTCCAAGCACAGGAGCGCCAGCCCCGAGCATCCACAGAAACCCAGAGCCTGTGGAACCCCAGATCGCCCCAAAGCACTCAAAGGACCTAGCCCGGAGCACCACAAACCCTTGTGCAAGGGCAGCCCCGAACAGCAAAGGCACCCGCATCCAGGGAGCAGCCCCGAAACGCTGCCCAAGCACGTGCTGAGTGGGAGCCCGGAACACTTCCAGAAGCACCGGTCAGGGAGCAGCCCTGAACACGCCAGGCACAGTGGAGGGAGCCCGGAGCATCTTCAGAAACACGCTCTTGGGGGGAGCCTAGAGCATCTCCCCAGAGCCAGGGGCACCAGCCCGGAGCACCTCAAACAACATTATGGAGGGAGCCCTGATCACAAACACGGAGGAGGCAGTGGAGGAAGTGGAGGCAGCGGCGGAGGCAGCAGGGAGGGCACCCTCAGACGGCAGGCACAGGAGGACGGGTCACCCCATCACCGGAATGTCTACAGTGGCATGAACGGTGGGTCAGTATGTGCTGGGGTGCTGCTTGGGCTGGGGAACTCAGTAGAGAGTTACGAATGATGATGGACTTTCCAGCCATGTAAGAAAGTGCAGGCGCTAGCTAGGGAGTGGGTTTGGGGAAGGAGCAAATGTTGGACCCAAAATCATGATATGGGGTTCTTCTCCTCCATCTGTTTTTATTCTAAACAGTTATCAGTCAGTGTGAAGAAGTTTGGGGATGAGGGTTTATGGGAGGGAGAGGAACAGTAATTCCTTAGGACCTTGAGTTGTCAAAGGGAAATCTTTGGGTATTGGTGATAAAAAATAGAACCATTCTAAGAGTCTTTCATCTTAAACCTGAGCATTTTCTTAGTGGTGTGTGCTGTTTCCTACCAGAGCTTGTTTGTGGAATGGTTGCCAAAAGGATTTTGAATCCAGTTAATAGGTTATATACAAGAAGATATGAATATTTCTATGAAAAACCAATAACATTAAAAAAGAAGTATGATGTTCCTAAACAGGCTTGATGCTGGTCTGCCCAAATGGCTATAAATATGCCTGACTTTACCTTAAGGATTTTTTTTCCATTGTGTTGGAGGCCTGAATCTGTGACATTTCTTTGCATCTAAAACGCATCAGCTGATTCCCTTTCTACTCACTCAAAATCCACCAACACTGTCATCAAACTCCCTTATACATATTCCAAATAATATGCTGTCTTACACTGCAAGAGACATCTTTCCTGGTTGTTTGAAAGTACCTTTTTAAAATGTACAGATGTGTTTGGACACTCTTTTGGTTTCTAAAGCATAACGTCCACTACATTTGCTGAGGCAGTGCTAAACCTGAGCTTTTAAACCTTTTCGAAGAGGTTTAATTTTCTGCATCTTGGATCTGAAACCACTTTGCACTTGAGAGAGAAAAAATCATTTCTTAAAGAATAAAAAACAAAAAAACTCCACAATCCTTTTATGTTACCTATGGTTGAGTTGGATCTAAAACGATTGATTTTATATACTGTGGGGTTTTGTTTTCATTGAAAATATCTGAGGGTTTTTGCTTTATTTGGAAGGTGCTCTGGAGTCTGCAGCCAGCTCCAAGCAGTAGTGGAGGAGGCTGCCAGTTTTAGCAGTGACAAGAAGGGGTAAATTTCAATATTGTATTTGGGGATTTACCTGTTGGATTCCATTTTATCCTAATCCTTTTCTCATAGTGCTGAAAATTGCCTCCAGAAACTTGACTTCAAATGCATGCAATGTTCTTTTAAGCACAAGTGGAAATAAAAAGGTTGGGAAAGATGAGAGGCTACTGCTTTCTCTGTCGTTGGGAGGTGGAGGCCCAGAGAAGCCAGTTTACCTGTTGTCTTGAGGCGTCCTGGCTGGTGCCTTTCCAAGGTTGAACCTTCACTCACTCTTCCCAAGAGCCGTGGAGATGCTGCCCCCACCCCCACCCCATTGCTGTGGGCAGTCTTGGCTGCCCAATTCTGTACAAGAGATGCAAGTCATTTAAAAAGAAAGTTTGGTTGTGTTACTATCATGAGATTGGTCATTGGACATGAAGCTTGTCTTTGAAGAGGGGATAGTGGAGTAATGGGAAGGTAAAGTTAATGATTTTTCCATTTCTTGATTACTTTTTAATGAGCTTGAGAAGTAAATATGTGCACCATTAAAAGGAAACTTTGTCTCTGAAACTAAAAGAAAATATTAGGGACAAGTGGATCACTTAAAAAACACTTTCTCTTTACAAAAGGGCTTCTTTATATAAAGAACTCTAGTTTAATCACTGTATGATTTGACTTCTAAGAAAAGTTTTTAGATGCAGCTTTTAAACAATGCCTTGCATTGTAGGTAAGGTGCATCTCCTAGTAAAGATGACATTACCTCATAGCTTATTGCCTGGATACAGAGAAACTTAGTGGGGCAGGTAAATGTTTCTTAAAATTTAACACTATAATTTAGTTAAAACTGATGTAATAGAATGATAGTGAAGTTCAAATCTTATGTCTACTTCAAGTTTTCTCATTCTTAAGTGACCAATCTTATGCTGAGAGTTGATATCCTCAGAGTATATTTGCAGTGCATTTGCATTGTATTTTAATTTCAGTAATTAATTGGAAAATGAAGTGGCACAATGAGATGTTTATGGATCATCAGCCTATAAACATGGGCATTGGTAACTTGTATTTATCCTGCTGTTACAAATTAACTTTTGATATGGATGGTAAGACATGCTTTTTCATATTTTTAAATCCTCACACAATTTGTTTGAATCATTTGTGTGTAAATAGATAGGAAGCAGTATCAAGGTTAATTCAGAATTGCAGATTTGCTGACTCATTTCCAGAGTCATTCTGCTTGGGGTTGGTGTGAAATATGAGTGTTTTGGATGAGCACTTGCATGTTTTTATGTGAACAAAAAGCATGTGAAAACAAATGGGAAGTGTGTGTGCATTATGGCAGACTGAAACAGAAATGAAATATACATTGGCAGGATATTGTCCTACCTGTAAAGATATGCATTCCCTCCCAAAACACACACATATGCACACTGAGAGGACATCAGTGAAAAAGATGACTGTTTTCGTTGACTGTGCCTTGAGCATTTATAAATCTTCTTGTGCTTATAATTACAAACTCAGTGGATGAAATATTGAACTCATTCAAGAGTTTCTTTTGGGAATGCAAAGATAAATTTTAGCTATTTTTTCTCTCTTAAAAACATCTTAAGTCTCTATAATAATTTCTTAATTAGTAGGTGTTTAGAAAACAACAAAAGCAAAAGCAAAAGAAATATTTAAACAAATCTCCAAACTAAACAAAATTCTCAAAAATGCATTTAACTCTTTAGAAGTTACTGTTCAATGATTTCTTTCTAGTTTGTGTAGAGTTCCGTTTTCAAATAGGAAGTAGATTCAACACTTACCACATCTAGGCATTCAGGCATTTGTCCATTCATTCAAATTGCTTGCTTATTTCATATTTGTAAATTAAGTAATTGAATAACCATTGTCATTTATAAATGTTCATAAAGTGACAGCCTCAACTATTGAGAATGGGGGTTTCACTTACTTGATTCCATTGACATCCAAGGTTGAATGGAATTTTCTTAGGCAAAAATGTTTCCTTCCACAACAAAATGAAAGAGTTGTGCTTCCAGATACTAGCTGGCAGGCCTTTGCTTTTAAACAGGTAACTATTTAGCTCAGGTCATGGATGTCTTGGATGATTTAGGCTCTTCTAGCAATAGCTGTATTTGTTATTGGCCTTCAAGACAAAGAAGATTCTGATGATCACAGATCCTTACAAGTAGCTCACCCACTGGACATAATGAATGCAGAAGAAAAAATAGTAAAAATAGTTTGATATTAATTCTAGAAGCACATATTGCTGGTGACTGGCAAATGAGAAGGAATAAATAGACGAAGAAATGGTACTCTTCATTATCTTCTTTCTTCTTCGTCTTCAAAAAAAAAAAAAAAAAAGGAATTGTTTAATTATCCTGGTGGGTCTGATTCCCTTTGCCTTGTTAGAGCAAGTTTCAGTGAGCAGTAACATTGTGCTCTCCTTAAACATCACTCCAGCCAATGAGAGCAAGCATGAGGAAATCATTCACCTGCATTAAACAAGGTCCATTTAGAACTACTTTGGTCTTGCTGAATGGAGTGTCAGGGTTGTAAGTCTTCCTCCTGAAAGCTTCCTATTGATTCTTTTCTTGTTTTGTGAGGGTATCTCTCGAGATGGAAAGAGCAGGCTGTTTCTCCCAATGAACTCTTCTAGTTCACGGTTTCTTTACAGCTACACTGTTATTATTTTGGACCAGATAATTCTTTGTTGTGAGATGCTGCCTTATGCATTTAAGGAGGTTCAGTAGCATCCCTGGGCTTTACCTCTGAGCATCCCCCTAGTTGTGGTAATAAAAAATGTCTCTAGACACTGCCAGACGTTCCAGGGTTGCGGGGGGTTGTAGGGAAAATTGCCCCTGGTTCAAAACCATTGCTTTAGAGCAGTGGTTTTCAATCTAGCTGCAGATTAAAATCACTATGATAGCTTTGAAAAAATACTGGTGGCTGAGCCTTACACTGCACTCTGAGATGCAAATTGAATTGATCTGGCACTGGACTTGGGCACTTTGCAAAAAGAGCTCTCAGGTGATTCTAATGAGTGGACCAGTTGGAAACCATTGCCCTCAGTGAGTCATTTTGCTTAAGATGGGTTGGTGTGAGTGAAGGTTTCAAACACTCAGGCTTCCTGGGAAGAAGAAAACTTCTCCTTTTCCTTTGCTTAACTCCAGGACTGGGAAGGACTGATCCCAGCTGTTACCGTAAAACTTCACTCCATTCTAGACTAAAGTTGTCTAATAACATACTATCTGGGGATATGGGTTGAAAATTTGTGTTTTTGATGGGTGGAATTGTTAGGCTAATTTGAAGGCAACTCTGACATATGAGTAGGCTCATGACTGCTTTACTTTTTAAAGCCTTTACATCCAGATAGAAAAAGAAGCACATGAGTTTCTAACCTATTTACGGCGGATGTCGGTGACGCCTGCACTGCCGGCAATGCTAATGGGTATTTCCCACAAGAGAATATTGCATTTCAAATCTCCCACTTTGTGGTTTCACCCAGAGTTTTAAGACTGCTCCTTATTCTCTGTTGAGGTTATTAATGAGTAAACGAAAAATGTTGATAACACAAAGTGGCCTTGTCTATGAGGGGTCAGATAACCTGTATGTGGAAGACCCCAGCAGTGTTTCTCTGAAGCGGGATTGTCTGTGAATTAAGTAGTGTGCACTATAGCATGAATAATTACTCTCATAAATCTTTCATTTTGTTTAAAAAAGTCAGCACATCACTTGTGAATGAATTTGGACAATAGAAATTGAATGTCTCCTGGGAGAAAAATTTTAACAGTTACAGTTATGGAACACCAGAACTGATTTTAATTCAGGCCCTCTGTGTGTATTTCTGTTGTGTGAACTGACAGATGGTTAAAGAAATAATAATGGTTTTTGTTCTTCAAACTTCAATACTGTAATTTGGTAACCTTATGCACACTTTGATAAGACATCAACTTAAGTTTTTGATAAAATTGATTTATTGTACCATACTTGTATATGCAAAGCATATTACATTTATCATAAGGATACATTTTGACTTAATGACATAGAAAGCTTAATATTGAAAATATAGTTTGTTTAAGAAAATTGCAATATATATCAGAGGAAAACTATTGGAAAACCTAGATGGCTTAGAAAGGTATTTTCTAGTACAGTGTAAGGTTTTCAACTCCACTGACAATGATAGCACAATGCTATAAATGTAATTTAAATCTGGAGGGTCATTTTCATCTTTTTCCTATGGAGATTGCCTATCAACTTTGTATATATATGTGTATACATATGTTTATATACATTTCAGTGACTTTAATATTGCGTCTGCACAATGCCAAACATTCAACTGTTTTCTAGTTGGTCAAGCTAATGTTCAAATGTGTCTGGCATCCTGTCACATAAGCTAGTTGCTGCCATAAAGTAAACCAAGAATCTCTTTCAACTGATTATAATCCTGTCCTTTAGACTCAGTTGAAACCAGTGAAATGTTTATATCTTCTGGCTTGTTGCAACTTTTCAGAAGATATGATAGAAAAAAAATGTGACCATTGAATTAGTGATGCATGTATCATTTCATTTTACCTGAAATTGGTTAGAACAAAGGTTGGGGAAGTGAAAAGCTATGGTGAGTTATTCCATTTCATCAGGTCACAGCTTTTCACAAGGGTCAAATGAATCAGACACGTGAATACAAATGCATAAGTACATGAATAAATGAATGCAATACAAATACAGAATGTGTAGGGCTATACAGTTAAGTTGTAGTAATGATAGATTATTCTGGAGGCAGGGATGTAGGGATGTTAGTCGATCTCCACTTTACACTCAGAAATAAGAGTGTAAAGTCAAAGTTTGCCAAAGCTTTAAGAAAATAAATAATTATAATGTTTTACTTGTGTAGCAACTTTGGGCCAGTGTATCTGTGATTGGAGTAAGTTTTCCAGGCTGAAATTTATCACCTTAGGCTCTACGACTTACTTTTGATGGTTAGAGATAGAACTGTGGATTCCTTCATTAAATGGCCCTGTATGAGTATTCTTTTTTTTTTAATCTCCTAAAAATAGATTTCCAATCACTTCTAGTACTGCCATGATGTCAGCTGCACTCCTTGCTGACCTCAGCAGGCCTGACTTTAACTCATTTTCTCATTGTTTCTAAATTCTTTTCTGCTGTTCCCAATGGCTGGTCATAGCTTGGGAATGCAGATAACTGCCCTGCTTAGAAATGTGTTTAAAATAAATAACCATGAGGTGTCCTTCTAAGAGTAAACTGCATGAGCTTCAGTGCATAGTCCATATGCCATAAGTATTTTAGCTTTTCAAGGTTCAGTTTTGCTTTTTATTTTTATTTTTATTTGAGATGGAGTCTCGCTCTGTTGCCAGGCTGCAGTGCGGTGGCGCAGTCTTGGCTCACTGCAACCTCCGACTCCCTGGTTCAAACGATTCTCCTGCCTCAGCTTCCTGAGTAGCTGGGATTACAGGCGCACACCACCACGCCTAGCTAATTTTTGTACTTTTAGTAGAGATGGAGTTTCACCATGTTAGCCAGGATGGTCTCCATCTCCGGACCTGCTGATCTACCTGCCTCTGCCTCCCAAAGTGCTGGAATTACAGGCGTGAGCCAACACACCCAGCCCGTTTTTGCTTGTTGGCTGAGTCTTGACTACAGATAAGTGAGGCACTATGTTTCTATAATATTATCAACTCAAATATTTGCTTCTTGGATACTTTGGTATAACCAAGTTGCCCTTGATAGTACTTTAATACATAATATTTATGGTGAGCATTGAGCATATTTGGAAAATATATTTATTTTGAATTTGATTTTGGGACCTATTAAGAATCGTTCCATGTTCTGAAATGGGCTGATTTGCAAGAGAGCTGGGAAATTTGAGATTCGATATCAAGAGTAGACTACGGGACACTTGAGGATACAGACATAAAGTCTCAGCTCTAATTTATAAGTCTCTAATCTGCAAAAGAGTGAGGTTCAAGTTACTGCTGCTCCTGACATAAATTGCTTTCTCTTTAGAGTGCCGTTCAAGTGTTTCCAATAGAAAGAACCTCTGCTCTTTCTTAGATAGAGGATCCTTTAGCAGCAGAGAGGCAGGAGAGGTGTTTTTGAAAAGGGAAAATGGCAGAGGAGTAGCAGGTTACATTGTCATTCTTATAAAGGCAATACTGGTTTGTTGTTCCAAAGATAAAAGACAATAACTGGGTTATTCACAGATGGCTGTTCATTTACCATTTTTACATAGTAAAATTTATGTGTATTATGGAATTTTTGTCTCAAATCATTATGGAAGAATACAAGAAGTCTTGGGACTTCATCCTGGCTCCTGATCAAAATTAGGCACATATTCAATTACCGGATAAATGAAACTTCAGGAATTATATCCAATAGTTTTTTTTTTTATTTAAAAATTTATCAGAATCTTAGTTATTTAGGCCTTCTGTAGGCTTTTCCATGAGACAGGAGATATCTAAGGGAAAAAGAGTGGATTTGGTAATTGCTCAAAAACTATTTCAATTATTTCATCTCTCTCCACACACACACACACACACACACACACACACACACACACACACACACACGTACATACACACAGCATTTAGTGTTCTTGTATGTATATTTAAAAATGTTAAATGCATTACGTTTAAAGATATTGAATGGTTTTTTTTATACCTCCTTCACCTTCATTTTCAGCCGTATGAAGGAAAGTAAGTCCTTTAAAAATTTTAAAACCTGGCAAACAAAATATTTTTAGCACCAGTTTTGCCTGCTGGTATGGTTGAGGGATAGAACGTTTAGATTAACTTTGGAAGACTAGGCATTTGAAAGTGGTCTCTGATACTCCCTGGTGAGTTGGCTTTTCTAGTGAGATCTAGTTACATATAGTCGTTGTTGCATTAAACTCAGAATTTTGCCTTCTGGTCTTGATTATAAAGAAAAGTGAAAAGTCTTCTCATCTTTCTCCTAATTATTGAGGGACTTTTTGGCTTTTAGGGAAACCCCTGATCTAGGCTGTATGTAGCTATAACTTCCTAAGTGTCCATAATTGCTAGTTCTTAAAAAATGTTAAAAAGCATGAATTGCTTTTGGGGGCATGGTTTGTGTTTTCTTACCAGTAAGAAAGAAACCCAATTGGTAGTGAATATGTACATGCATATTTATATATGCATATATTGATGCATATAGTTTTTAATTCAGTTAAATGAGAATAGATGTATATATTAATGCTAAAGAATAGGAAGAAATGAGGGCAATATAGCTGTATTTAGTTTAGAACATCATAGAATCATAGAACTTAAAGCCATAAAGTATACTTTATGTTAGAGCTGTGACGTACTCAACCCGCCCATGTTCTGAATGAAATGATTGACTTCCAAAGAAGGTTAGTGAATTGTCCAAGGCCAGATGTCAGCTAGTAGAGGACTAGAAAGAATCAAGCTGACTCCCAGGGCACAGGGTCAGTGTCTAAAGAAGACATTTATTCTTCTAGACATAGAGGCCACTTGAGGTAGAGGTAATGTTAATGATAAAGACCCTAAATGGAATAAGGAACCAGTTTTTCTCAATTCTTATTGGAAATCCCAGAAAATTAGACACATGCAGTGATGAGAGTGTGAGATAAGATAAGTATCACTAGCCTCTGGCTTAGAAAAGTATCAGAGAAGACCTGGTGATCTATTTATTAGGTGAGCTCAGAGCTATTGCCTGGAAACCTGTGATTCAGCCAGATGGGACACACAGTTCACAGCTGGATGGACAACTACCAAAATGCATTTTTAATAGAAGGAGTATTCCTATTCCTAACCTGGGAGTTCAACAACCTTAGTATCCTTTTTCCTCCCACACAGACTCTCCTTACCCCAAGGCCATATTCCTTCCAGATAAACATTCTTGAGAAGATGGTCTGACCTTAGTCTGGTCCTTACATAGCCACTTGCATTCACAGCCAAAGTGCTGTGTCCAGGGAAGTGTTGGTTTCTGGAATGCAAGAAACAGAAGGGAAAGAGACCAGGAGCAAAAGGATGGGCCAGATGGCAACACCAAATGCTCTCAAGGAGTTGCGTTTTTTAATAACTCAGCTAACTGCAAACAAAACTAATTAAGCCAGTTATTCTGATTTATGCTACTATAGGCAGAAGTAAAGTACACTTACATTCCTCTTTTGATGACATTTAAAAGGTCAGAATACCTGAGTTGCAGATTTTTGTTCATAGCAGCCTGGGCTGTTGAACCACTCTTGAGAATTCAAATTAACCAAGCTCATTAATTCAGCATCTCTTCTGTTTCCCTAGACAGCAAATGCCAATTCACCCATCCACCCAAACAGAATAATAAGACCCTGAAAGGCAAGTCATTAGTCATATCTGCGGATGATGGATTAGATGTGATTTAACAGGAAAGTGAGGTAAGAGTCAACTTATAGTAAGGAAGAGAGAGTGAAAATAACAGACGAAGGCAATTGTGAGACATCAGTTTTTGAGGGGGATGCTGTGAAGAATTTAAAGGAATCTGTTTGGTTGTGTGTGTTGTTAATGGTCTTATGTTGATTGGCAGGGCAGTCCTCTTCACTGTTACAAAAGCTGACCAGAATTGCTCTGGTTATGGAGTCATGGGAGAAAGTGGCTGAATTTAGCTGCTTATTTTACATATGAGGACACTTATGAAGAGAGTACATTTATAATTATGATCAATTTGAGGTCTAGGAATAAACGTTATCCAGGTGGTTTGCCATGAATAGCTCCCCCAGTATAGTGACTTTCATGAGAAACAGTTTGGAATCAAGCTTTTCAAAATCTGTGGAAGAACAGGCTTGAAAATTGTGTTTTTTTTTTTTCTGTATCTCTTTAGCACTTAAATGGACATCAAGTTCAAGTCTTCAGTCCCTTATTCTAAAACTATATGCCATGTGGTTTTCATCTTTAATTTCTTTGGCTTTTTTCCTGTTGCAGTCTCAAAATTGCCCACTTTGGGGCTTATTGGCCTAGCACATAAATCTATCTTCAGTGGAACCATTTTTGCCAGAGTCTGCACAGCCAGGTATACAAAAGACATTGATTTGAAAAAGGGAGCTAAGCTGGTTTGATTATTTCTATTCGCAAGGCATATGTAGTTATTTTTACATTTCGAGTATCCCTGTGGACTTTCACCCATATGTTAAGGTAATATGTGGTTACCTTAAACTGACATGTGGCATCTAAGCTTTATTTACAGCTTTACGGCAATGAAAAACAATTTTATAAACCCCCTTTAGATAAATTCTATTTTAATTATGAATAAAAATGACATTTATTTAAAATGTGTTTAAAACACTTTAAAATAATTGACTTAAATTCCCATGGAGTTTAAAAAGAGTGATGTGATACACCAACTTCCTAAAGGGCTGGATAACGGCATGCCTACCCAGCTGGAGTAGATTCGGGACTGGCTTTGCCACTTTCTTGCTGTGTAGCCTTTAGTACACCATCAACCTCTGTGGGCAAAATAATTTATCCATCAAGCAAGGGGCTTAGAATAGAAATTTTTCTGAGTCAGTAGTACCAGAATTTAGATTTCACAGGTAAATAAAACCTGAGAGTAAACCTGGAATTGCCAACTTTTTACTTCATTAGGTGTAGATGGTAAAATAATCATCTGTTAACATCATAATTTCATAGAAGAAGATCCTTTAAACACAGTGAAAAATTACATACATTTACTAAAGGGCAATCTTTTTCTCCAAAGACATACCGATAACATTGTATTCTTAAATGTCTATTCACTGTTTTGGAATAATAACGACATATAATGAAGTGTTCAGATTCAACAATGCAACAAAGTTCATTTATAGTGCTGAACATGTTTTAAGACCTTATTTTTTAAATCTCATCCATCATAGAAAGTCTGATTTCACACAGGTTTGTATGTTGATAAACATAAAAGCCACAGTGTTAACTCAGTTTTATTTAGGCAGGTTTTGGGTGAGGAAGCCGGAAACCACAGTCCATGCTGCCTCCAGCTTCTTGCCCTTCCTCTTCCAAGGAAAGGAAGAAAGGAGATTAATCTACCTGTATGTCTAATTGGCTTGGACTGGCAGCTTTTCTCCCTACCTGCCACTCACCTGACTTCCTCCAGGAGTTGTGCATCTGGGCCTGGACTTCTGACATGGAGCAATGAGGATATGTTTGTTCGGACAGGAATTCTGTGTGTAGGTGGAAAGTTCACCATGCATGGCATGACCTATAAAGAACCATTGTTCTACCTTCTCTCTGCACTCCTGTGCCTGGTCAGAAGCCTGTCAGGATTGCAGCAATTCATCTAGCAATATCAGAATAAACCACATCCTCTTTGAAGCACCACAGTGATGAGTCTGAACACCTCTCGGCAAACGGGGAGCTAAACAGGCTATAGTAGAGGTGACTTGGGATTTGTAATTTGTATACTTCCAAAATCTGTGGATAGTAGCTTTCTTTTGCTTGGTCAGGTCTCAGATGGCAGACAACAAATGGACTGGCCATGTGTATAGCATGTGCATTCTATGTCTAGTCTCTTACATAGTTCTCCACGTTGCTTAGTAAGATGGTGCTCTGGAAAAGAGAGAAGGATTTCCCTTTCCACTCCATTGTAGATCTGATTTTCTCAGGCCTCTTTACTGTCTTTGTACTAGATGGGAGAGTGTGGCTTATCAACTAAAGTTTGGAAGAGAGTAATCTAATGATGAAACAGTGGCACCAGGCTCTTCGTATGTTTTAGTTATGTCCCATTTAAATGGGTTTTGATGATTTTTTCCTGGAAAAGACCAGACATTTTCTCCTTTCTTTGGCACTTTACTTCTATTACTTTACAGCTGACATTTGAACTAGTTTGGAGTAAGGCTCTTCAGAGAAATGGAGAAGGTAGCATTAACTGAAGGGAAGGGCAAAATCTATGGCAATTTCATTATAAATCATTGCCTTGACTAATTAGGAAGCCATGCATGCTAAATAATGTCAGGGATAATAGAGATTTATTACAACAAATTAAAGGCTAGTCAGAGTGTGTCCTGAGATAAACAACATGGTAAAAGAAACATAAATGGCAGTAAGGGGAAGCATGAACTGATAAGACTCATGGATGTGAGTAGTAGTAGGAAACCAAATTATGTTCGTATTTCATTTGCTTTGTATAAATCTCTGCACTGTTCCATGTGTGGATGAGAGATTGAGAATAAACACATACTCATTTATTCAACAAATATTTATTGTGTATTCCATGTGGGTACAGCATGGTAGTAGGTATTATGTGAGGTGTTCATGGTCTGACATGTCCATGGAAGGAGGTAAGTAACAATAAAGATGTATGGTTAAGCAAGAAAATGGAAAGAATTAGCAATTGGTGCTGTGAGCCTGGGAGATGGGTCATTGGCTGCCGTTGTCAGGGATGGCTTCTCAAAGGTTGGTTGTGAGGTTGATTGTTAAGGAATGGTTGAATTTAGATAGGCTGGCAGGAGGGGTGAGGAAGTCTGAGAGAGAAAGTGTAGAGGTGGAAATGAGAAAATTATGTTAAAGGAACAGTGAGGAGATGAGTAGGTCTATGCTTAGGTATTTGTTAGGTGGTGGCAGATAATTTTGGAAAGTGAGTCAAGGCCAGATTACCTAGGGAATGAAATACAATCCAAGAATGTTTTCTAATAGCAACATTAGTTTCTCACACACATAGGAATATAAAATGTTCATCATTCTTTAAACCTTGTGATTAAGTGGACAAGGAAGGCTATTAGCATTAAAAAAATCTTGTTGGGATTTTAAATTGAACTCCAAGTTGAATAGTTTGTTTTTATTTTAAAATTTCTTTTCAATGTGTTAGTTCATTTTGTGTTGCTATTCCAGAATACCACAGACTGGATAATTAATAATGAACAGACGTTTATTTGGCTCATGATTCTGGAGGCTGGTAAGTCCATGAGCATGACATCTATCCAGGGCCTTTGTGCTGCATCATCCCATGGTGGGAGGCAAGAGGGCAAGAGGGCACAAGACAGCAAGCAAGCAAGAGGGGGCCAAACTTGCTTTTATAACAGGCCCACTATCTTGATAACTAACCCACTCCCATGATAACAATATTAATCCATTCATGAAGGCAGAACCCTCATGACCTAATCATCTCTTATTAGGCCTCATCTCCCAACACTGCTGCATTGAGGATTACGTTTCTAATATGTAAACTTTGGGGAACACATTCAAACCACAGCATTAAGGGTTCCTGAACAAAGAGGTTTTACAATGATCAGTGCTTGAGGGCTTTATATACCCAGGTTTGTACCGTGATTTAATCCCTTTTCACTTATTTTATTTTTCTTGTAAAGGTTATGCTGAATTACTGGAGAGTTTTTGCAATGAAGGAGTCATCAGTTAAGAAAATCTATCTTCTGACTAATATCTTCTGAGTCAATGATGAAGGTGTACTGTTTTTTTGGGGAAAATAGGACCTAGTTGCCTGGGAGGCAGAAATATTCTAAATATTCTGCTAAGTGAAAATCAATAAACTAATTCTGTTTAAACAATAAAGGTAGACAAATAATCTTGCAACCTTGTGGACCCTTTGGCTTGTCTAGTGCAGTAAAATTAATTTAGCTTTTACATTTCACTTACTTTGATGTTTTTCCACTTTAGTATTTTGACCTCATTTTAGCTTGTTATGTTCTATCTAAATCTCAGATTGTTTTCAAACTGTGCTCCTTTGAGCCCTGGAAGGTCTGTGGAGCCTCCCTGGGGCTGTTAGGAGTGCATAGGGAAGAGTAGGCAGGCTCTGCCACCCCATTTATCCCTAGCACAGCTCCAGCTTCAACTGGAGCATACTCTACATTTGACTGGTTTGTTTGTTCCCATTTCTGCTTAAGCTCTTAATTGAACAAAGCTGACTTTACAAAGCTGACTTGAAAACCTCTAGTGTTACCCAGTGACACCAAAAGAAGCAAACATTTTGGACACATCAGGCATATTTCTAGTCCAGTAAATGGATGGTCCCACATAACATTATTTTTTGATTCTCCTTTTCACCTGATTTCAGCTGCAATTATAGGTGTGTTGTGAAAAACATACAGTCAAGTTAATTTACAGGCATAGGGCTTTTGTTTTTCAGAGACAGATACGTAAATTGGTGTATCTTTGAAAACTTTCACCTTCAGTTTCTCCTCCTTCATGTCCACCATCTGTTCTTTATTTCATCATGCCTTATGGGACTGTAAAGGAAACAAAATATAAATTCTTTAAAGGAAACCAAGCTTTTGCTGTTTTCTACTTATAGCTGCTGAGGTGCTGATAATATTGAATGATCACTATAAGAAACAATAAACTTTTACTAAGAAACATAATATTTATATTTGAATCCACCAACTCAGCCTTTTCCTCCATTATTCACTCTGGAACTCTTTGGACATAATTCATGTTTTATTGGCTTAATTAGATAAAGGTGACTTTAATTGTGACATCAGTAGATTGCCATTCAAAAACGGTGAGTTCAAGTTTAGGTTTCTTAGTCACATGTCTGCTTTCAATTCTGAGTTCTTATAAAAATATGTTATATTGTTTCTTAAGGATTGATTTTTACAGTATTCAAGATACCAAATTTCATTAGCCCAGAAGAAACTAAACTAAATTTCTAATTTTATCCATACAATGAGGTCACATGTCTGCTTTCAATTCTGAGTTCTTATAAGAATATGTTATATTGTTTCTTAAGGACTGGTTTTTACAGTATTCAGGATACCAAATTTCATTAGCCCAGAAGAAACTAAACTAAATTTCTAATTTTATCCATACAATGAAGTTTTATCCATACAATGAAGCACAATCTCCCACTATTACCCCATTGCACACACATCCAGATATACACATCAACCGACATTGACTTTGGTAACTCACTGAAGATATAGTTCCACTGCAGCAGAGTATTTTGAAGTAGTGGTATAGGTTACAACACATATTTTATTCCCTGTAGTCTCATCTCCTGGAATCCTGTGTTGATGTAAATCAAGAAGTGCCTGGTTTGGTGAGCAGGATCTTGGGATAATTTATTGGGCACATGGTGAACCACTTGCCTGCCATAGGGTCAAGAAATGTCTTAAACCCAGGTTGATTCAGAGAGAGAAGCTTTCACAGTGATTTTATAGGCTTCAGGCTAATGTTTTTCAAGCTTTCCCTTCCTTTTCCTCCTCTAGGCTCACCCAACACATATGATAAAGGGCAGGCACAGCAAAAGGAACATTATTAGAAGAGCTGGCAGCCTGGGATTTGTCTCAGGATGTTTCATCTCATCTTCTTGTAAATTCTTAACATATCATGGTCTTTAGCATTCATTTATAAATACCATATAAAACAAAATTTCCTTGGTACCCCACAGCAGACCTCAAAAACTCTTCATTTATAATCCAGCTAAGGGGAAGCAGACAATCTTCATCTTTCTCAAGGATATCTTCATGTATACTGGCCCAGGGTCTGGTCTAACTCAAGCAGCCCAAAAGGAAAGGAAGAAATCTTTTGGTCATGGTGTCAAATCTGGCCATTGTGAGCCACCCTGCTCTGAAGGCCTGGTGGTAGATTTGAATTTGCTGCCTGAGTACGTATCCAAGTCTTTTTTAATATTCAGTCTCGATATGATAATTTGTATCATAGCTCACTAGTACAGATGGCTATGGTACAGTGATTTCACAGAAAGTAAATAGAATGCTAATTTGTTGAACGCGACCTATTTGAAAGTAAACACTCTTCCCGAGTCTCATGTGACTTCTTTTCTGTGCTCCTTATAAAGAAAATTAAAACAAACAGACAAACAAATAGAACCCTAGTCACTTACAAGAAGATTAATTTAGGCCTGGATGATATTTGGGGAAAATTGCAGACATGCAAATAGAAGTCTGTTCCTTTTTTTTTTTTTTTCTCCTTTTTCTTTTAGCACTAAATGTTGACTTGTATGCAAAACTTCTGCTGAATTATTGACAGAGAATGGCCTTTTTTGTTGATTGTTTAATACTTTGGGGCAAAGGTTTTAATCTATAGTGGACTATAATGAGCTAGTTGTATGGATAGGTCTGCATTGGTAGTAGGAACTTCTGAGAATTTGTAATTTCTGTTTTACAGAGTTAAAAATTTCCATTAGTTTAAGACTGAAGGGGACCTAAGTTAGGTTGCGATTTTGACTTTGTGGAGGTGCCAAAATACAGTGTAAGGGAAGGTAAGATCAATCATTTGTTGAGATGGTTATTTCTTCATTCATTTATTTATATATTTATATTTTGTTGAGTTATTGTTATGTATGAGGTTCACTTTTTATTCAACAGTGGAATTCCTGCTTTATAGGTCATAGATTCCAGGCATGCCACTTGAGCTTATATGTATGACTTCCAAACTTACTGGCCCTTGATGTCTGTTGCCATCGTCATGACTTTAAGGTGTTAGCAAATGGACCTTAAAACCCATTAGAGATACAGAACTAGAGCACATCCTGGAATGTTTTTGGAGATATCTCAGTCCTCACTAGAGATGATTCTTGCCTGACATTATCTAAAGAAAAACAACAACAAAAGCCTGTGTGGTGCAGAGTAGTAATGGCTAGGTGGTCTGAACCACTGACTGTATGCTCGTTGGAAGTAGCTGTCTGTGAAGGCACATATCTGCCTCCATGTAATCTATGTACTACATGAGGAGTTGCAGCTGTGGTCCAAGGGCCAAATACCGTCACAGTCATGTTTTATTTGTCCCAAATGGTGTTTTGACAATTGGAAAATTCATATACAAATCTAAGTGTCTGTTTTCTCTTGGTAAACTGGAAGGTCACCTAACACTGACTGCACATTGCCACATGACTGCAGTCAGTGGAAACAGTACAGTGGCTGCCTCTTTAGTGGAGGTGTTCTGGTTTTCTATTGCCATGTGACAAACCACCTCAACACTTAGTGTTGTGAAACATCAGCCTTTCATTATGTTCATAGATTAGGTGGCTCAGGAATTTGGACAAGGCATAGTAGGGATGGTTTGTTTCTACTCCACAATGTCTGGGGCTTCTGCTGAGGAGACTTACATTCTGAAGGCTGGGACCATCTGGAGGTAACTTTACTCACGTATCATATGCCTGGGCTGGGATGGCTTGGAGTTCCTTGAGCATCCCCCGAATTTCGGTGCAGATTCCAGAATTTCCATGTGTTCTTTTCATGTGTCTTCTGCAACATGGTGCCTCAGGATAGTCAGGGCTCCTACAGTGTGGCTCGGTGATCCAAGGGCAAGTGTCCTAGCAGAACAAGGCAAAAGCCACCTGGCATTTTGTGACCTAGTCTTAGAAGTCATACTGTGCTACTGTCTTGTACTGTATTGGTTGAAGTAGTCATAAGCCGATCAAGATGCAAGCAGAGTGGTCACAGAAACCTCTTCTTGATGAGCTAAGTGACAAGGAGTTGCAACTATGTTTTAAAACCACTGACATAGGGGACAAGCATGTTTTCATTTGCTGTAGTCTTCACCACTCCCTATTACATTGCATCCAGGCTGCTTTACCAACTTATGTTATCTGACCATTGTCAAGAGCATTTGAGTTAGAGATCACTGTTCTTCCTTGGTTCTTCCAAATTTAGATAAACTCTAAATTCTAGTTAGGGTTTGTTTTTGTCAGTGTTCATAGGAGGGTAAATCTGAATGTTCCCTTTGGGGAAAAGAGTGGGAGGCAGCATGGACTTACAGTGCAAACTTCCTGTAGGAAACTGAATATGATTTTTGGCTGAAGAAGGTAGATCCACTGAAGTATGAGTCATGCTCATTTTGGTCCTTTCTTGTATTTGCACTTGCAGAAATATATTCTCCTATTCATATATTTATTTCTTTATTTCTTATTCTTGGTTATGTGCATTTCCTCCTGCATTTTTTTATTCTGGGGAGTATGGGCAAAGCCATTTGCTTGCTATTATTTTTAAAACATCCTGTGGGTGTTATCACTATCATTGTAACTAATGGAATCTTATTTAGTAGTGCTATACTACTAGGAATGTTAGAAATAAAGCAATCAGAGTTTTTTTTTAATTAAGGAAAAATAACTAAAACTAAAGATATTCCTTTTCCTTTTTACCAAACTCTGTTCTTTGGGAGAAGGCATCACAATTTCCCTGGTTGGAATACTGCATGCTATCCCAGACTCTTCCTTATCCATCATCCTAGAATGTCAACAAATTTGGGCAACTTATTTTCCAAAATACTCCTTCTATGTGTCCCCTATCCCCTGTTACTCAGACGCACACAATTAGCCTAGACCCACATAATTTTTCACTTGGGACTTCCAGTATTAGGGCATCTACCTTGATGTTCTCCTCATCTCTAATATCTCCCATATTCCAAACGGTTCTCTGTTTTAGAGCAACCTTCCTAAAACCTCCCAGTTCATGCTAATTCTCTGGTAACAAGCCAGCAGTGCCATCTCTGTGCCTCTGCATAAAACTCATTGTCTTTTTGTACATTACACAGGAGGGCCTGTAATATCTGGACTCAGCTCAGCTCATAGACCTTATATCCAAATTACTCCCATATCCTCTAACACACTCACACCCCAAGTTGGTCTGGTCATAACTGGCTGCTTGCTTCTGAGTACTTGCCAGCTATGCTTGGCCAAATTCTGCACTGGAAGCCTCTGCTGGTATTCCGTCATTTTCATTGTGTGGTAAAGTCCTCATCTTTGAGTTTTTGTGGCATTCCATAGTATTTATCCCAGTATAATAGTTTGTTTACTGTGTATCTTCCCAATTCTAATTCAGATTTTTTGAGAGTAGAAGCCATCTTTTGTCTACATATCCCAATGCTTGGCTTGGCATAAGTAGGGCTCTTGGTAAATGTTTATGGAATGGCCAACTGATTGAAGCCCATGAACCCATTCCAAAATTACTGTTGTCGAATGGCAGTGTTCAGAGTATTCATAATGGGAGAGAGGACCCTTTGGCTTTGTAGTTGACAGGGAGAATGCATCACTTCCTGTGCTTTCCACACTGAAAGAGAAAACATAAATACATATTTGGGAGGAAAACTATGAAAGAGCTTTATCTAAAATTTATGTATCTTGATTATATATTTGTGTGTATTTCAAAAGTAGAAAGTCTTAAATACAATCCTCATTGGTATATGTCAAGAAAAACCTTCCTTTGTGTGTACCCGCACTGGTGACACATTTCTTAGTGCCCTCAGTGTGCAGGCAGAATTTTCACAAAAATCCTATCAGAAATCACCTGGTATAGTGAGAGAGACATGAGCTTTGGAGCCACGCACACCCTGTACAGATCTTGCTTCCAGTTTCTTCCTAAGCTTCATGTCACTGGGGACAACATATGTCACTTCTCAAAGCCTCACCTTATTTATAAAGTGTAGGTAGCAGTTAATAGTGGCTGTTGATAAGTGTTAGGTCCCTTACTCCCTCCAAAGAGGAAATAATAGTCTGCCTAATTTATATTTGTTTGACAATTAGATAGCCATCTCATTTATCTCTTGGCTCCCTATTTTTGCACTGAAATCTCAGCAACTTAGAAGTGAATAAAGCTCATATGCAAGGTAATTATTATTAACTATGTGTAGAGGAGATATAATATCCCAGAATCAAAGAAACGAGAAGTGAAGAGCTCTCAACTGACTCTAGTCTTGGTTAGGGCTCCATACTTTTGTGTCAGCTCTGACAGCTTTCAAATGGATCACCTTGGTCACTATTATTTATAAAAGAAGAAATATGCACTTAAACAAGCTTTCAGTGTGTCCAGAATTTTACAATTTCAAGCTCACTTAGTCCTTGGACCCCTTTTGCCTGCTATTAGAGTGTTAGGTCAATACCTCAAATTAATCTGTATTATCTCACACCTTATAAATACAGGTTCAGAATGGTTTGGGTGGCAAGGTGGTACTGCAGCTATTGTGATCCACAATCTTGTTTTACGAAGAGTTCAGATTTGTGTGTAACTTGGAGCAGGTTCTTTACCAAGTCAAAGATAAAATTACCTATGTTTCAAACAAAAACAGTTGTTCTAAGAGGTTGTTCTGCATCTTTCTAGGAGGTTAGGGGAAAAGGGGAGATAAATGACTTTTGCTTGAATCCCCGGGCTCTAGGATCTAGGCCAAACAGAGATTGAACTGCCTCTTAAAATTTTTATTATTATGCACTCTAGGAACCCCTCGAACAGAGACTAATGAACTTTTAATGACTGGATATTAAAGAATATTTATTTCAAGTATAAAAATTTGCTGTTTAAGTGATTTTCTTTTCTCCCTTGCCTCAACTCAGGCATAGAAGGAGCAAAGTCTAATAACTGAAAATAGAACAACCAAAAATACCCGCCTCTCATAAATATGACATGATTATAGGTGGCACAGTTTTGATAGGATAACCCTGTATAGTGAATTGTAATTTGGGGAAGGAAGGTATACAGTCAACAGCACGATATGACAGGTGAGTAGAGGGCCAAGATATGGCAGCAGACGTGTTCAGTGAGGCTGGAGAGACATTGGGGACCAGGTTTGGCTGATAGTAGGTGGTGATCTTGAACATTTTACTGAGACAAGACTACACGGATAAGTACAGCCTTCTAAGGAAAAAGATGACATTAGTATATATAATATGTTAAGAGTATGAGATCTGGGGCCAGACAAGGTTTGAATCCTAGCTTATCCACTTGCTACTGTATGACATTGGACAAGTTATATAACCTCTTTGGGCCTCATTTCTCTCATTTGTAAGAAGAGGATGGTAATAATTCCTACCTCATAGGGATATTAAGTGAGTATGAAGAGAGTCAATAGTCAATGTGTGTAAAGCATTTAGATTGATACCTGTGCACAGTAAGTGCTGCATAAAAAATGTCTACTTTGAGTTATCAGGATTTTCCATTGATTACCCCACCACTTGGACACTGTAGATGAAGATCAGTGGTCACGTATTTGAAAGACTTTGCCAGGATGCTAATAATCTAGTGAGTGATTTTGCAGTGTACGTTTAGGTATCTCATTAATTTCTTGAGTTAATTTTTGTAAAAGATATAAGGTCAGTATCTACAATAATTGTGTGTTTTTTTTGGAGGGGGGAGCGGTACAGATGGGCATCCAATTATCCCAGTACCATTTGTTGAAAGGACTTTATTGAATTGACTTTACTTCTTTGTTAAAGATCAATGGACTGTATTTGTGTGGGTCTGTTTCTGAGCTCTGTGTCCTATTTCACTGACATATGTGTTTGTTCTTTCACTAATTCCACACTGTCTTGATTACTGTAGTTTGAAGTAATTACAGAAATTGGGTTGTGTGATTTCTCCAAATTTGTTCTTCTGTATTGTGTTGGCTATTCTGGATCTTTCATCTTCCTACTTAAACTTTAGAATCAGTTTGTTGATATCTATAAAACAGTTTGCTGGGATTTTGGTTGGAATTCCATTGAACCTACAGATCAAGTTGGGAAGAATTGATACTTTAACAGTATTGAGTCTTCCAATCCATGAACACAGAATGTCTCATCTCTGTTTATTTAGGTCATCTTTGATTTCTTTCATCAGAGTTTTGTAGTTTAGCACATATAGACCAATTTTATTGGGTTTATACCTAAGTATTTTATGGCTTCTTTGGTGCTATCATAAATGATACTTTTTCTTACATTTCAAATTCCAGTTGTTTGTTGCTGGTATATAGGAAGGCAATAGACTTGTGTGTTAACCTTGTATCCTCTGACCTATACTTGCTTACTAGTTTCAGTTCCAAAAGGTTTTCTTGTTGTTGGCGGCTTGTTTTTTGTCATTTCTTTGAGATTTTCTACATAGGTAGTCACAGCATCTGCCAGTAAAGATAGTGTTATTTCTTGCTTTCCAGTTTCATACTATTTATTTGCTTTTTTAGTCTTCTTGTACTAGTAAGACTTTAAATACGGGATTGAAAAGGAATGGTGGGAGAGGACATTTTTGTCTTGTTCTGAATGTTAGGGGGAAGGCATCCAGTTTTTCACTGTTAAATGTGATGTTAACTGTAGATTTTTAAAAAATCAAGTTGAGGAAGTTCCCTTCTATTCCTAGTTTGCTGATAGTTTTTTTTTTTTTTTTTAAATCAAACTGGATGTGGATTTTGTTAAATGCTTTTTCTATGTCAGTTGATATCATGGTTTTTCTTCTTTAGACTATATTCTCTTTGAACTTCATCACTTTTTAAAATAACCCAATCTTGTGTTTGAAGGTACATTAATCTTGAGCAGATAGTTGTGCTTTGTATATTTTTGTATTGCTTTATAGCTTGGGTCGGTAAATTATGGCCAGTAGGCCACATTTAGCCTGTTGCCTGTTTTTACATGACTTGTAAGCTGAGAATGGTTTTTACATTTTTAAGTGGTTGGAAAAGATCTAAAGAAAAATAATATTTTATGACAAGAAAATTATGACATTTAAACTTCATTGTCCATAAATAAAGTGTAATTGGAACACAGCCATGTGCATTGATTTATTTATTCACTGTTGCTACATTTGCACTACAGTGGCAGAGTTGAATATTTGCAACAGAGATCACAGACTTTCAAAGCCTAAAATACTTATTTACTGTCTGGCTCTTTATGGCAAAAATTTGCTGACCTCTGCTATATAGTATCCCATTGGATGAATATTCCACAAAATGTGTAGTTTTGGCAATTGCGAACAAAGCTATCATAAGATTTTCCTATGTGCATACTTGTGCATCTAAGCATGTATACCTTGAAGTGGCATTGCAGGGTCATAGCAATGTGTCCATCTTCAGCTTTACTAGATAATGCCACATGTTCCGGAGTGGATATTCCAGATTACATTCTCACTAGCTGTGGCTGAAGCTCCTTATTGTTCTATGTCCTTACCAACAACGACTATATATATTAAGTAGACTATCGTACTACTTAAAATTTTTTGCCAGTATGATGGGTGTAATCTAGTATTTCATTTAAGTTTTAATTTGTTCCTTCCTGACTGCCAATGAAGCCTTTTATATATTTGAATGTTTATCGACATTAATTCTTTTTCTTCTAAAATACCGATTATCTATGTTTGTTGTCTTTTTTTCCTTAACCTCCCATATTGATGACTGTATCCTGTCTACCTTGTTTTTGATTTTGAGTTCAGTTGTATTCATTTCATTTATTTCTCCTTCTAATATGTTTTTCATTTCAGTAATATTTTCATTTTTCTATTTTATTTTTTATTTGAACTTTGCCACATTATTTTTATCTTTTTTTTTTTTTGAGACTTATTTCTCCTTTTATGAGCTCTTCTAGCTAAAATTTATCTGTGGTCATGGAGAACTATTTGCCTGAAATTTTTTCCTGTTTCATTGTGTTTTTCTTTTTGCTATGTTCTTCATCTTTTGCTCATGGGGCCAAGGGAATGTGAACTTGGGCAATCTGAAGTTTCAGTTTTGACTTTAGTTCAAGGCAACCAAATCGTTGCATTTTCTTTGCCCTGTGGGTTTGTGTTGCCTTAGCATTTAGCCTTTAACAGTTGATGTCATGCACAGCAAAGTTGCCAATGTCAAAGGCTGACTTTGTAATCTCATGGTCTTGCTGCTTTTCCTCTGTCAGACTCACCTCTCAAAGGTTAGGTTAGAGGTAATACAAATGAGGATGTAAAAAAAGGTTTAAGTTTTATCTATCTCTCCCATGATATTCTGTGACTTTTTCTGTGTCTTTTTATTGCTACCAAATGATCACAGTCCCTGTGATTATCACCTAGTCCTCTTGTCCCCAGATATACACCTCTTCGTCTCCCTAATCATTGAGTGGGCCTCCCCCTGGAGGCCTAATCTGTGTTGAGCTTTTAGGAACAGCTATTTCCTCTGATGTTGGAGGAGGAGCACCTTGCATTGTTTAGGTGTGCTTCACAGTTTGCATTTTGTGGTTGTCACTGTGTAAGTTTCTTCTATCTTTAATTTTTTGGTTTATTTTTTATTGGTTTTGAAGGAGGGGAGGAATTCCTTTGTATAGCCATTTTTAACTGGAAGTCATGACATACTTTTTTTGGTGCTTTAAAATGAATGTTGTGTTAGGAAGACAAAATAAGTAGACAATTGTTTTATTTCACTTTTTTATCCATATATGTTGATGTCATGTAAAAAGAGCCAGCATTGGTAAGGTGCTTTTTTTTCTAAAGGCATAAATATCTGGAATGGAAGGGAAATTCTTTTTCTATATGCAATAAAAGCAAAGTGCCCAAAATGTTGATTTTCCTTCTAAAAGCTTGATGTAGTGTGTCTTAATTATGTAGGAATTAAAGCATATGATGTAGTTATTATATTAATTGTACATGAAAATCATGGCAAACATTCAAATATACATCTCTGAATGTGATTTGCCAGCTTTTTTGTTAGTCATAATTATCTCTTTCTTAATTAGGTTTGCCTGATTATTGGTTTCTTAAAATATGTGCATATTTTAATGATCATAGGGAAGTCAGTTTATGGAAAAGCATCATTGAATTGGTTTTACAGACTCTGAGTTGCTCCTGCTGAGGTTTGGCGACATATGGTACCTTGTCTGATACAACATCTTGTGTGAAAAATCATGCTCAGAAACCAAAACAAAAACAACAGGAAATAAGAATAAACTACAGCAACATAAAATTTTCCTCAGTGAAAATGCTCTTAAGTAATTTCAGCAAATCTATCATACCTTGTGACTGCAGATAAACAGTGCTAAATATCCTCTTTTTATTTATGAGAAAGAAGAGTTTAAAAGAAACTGGACACTGTAATCTCCAATATTTTAAAGCAGAACTATATATGTAAAAGAAAGAATAAGTTTTGTAGTTCTCTAATTTTTTTAAATAAAAAATAACCTTTTAATTTTGCCAATAGTAATAGGTATACATTGTAGCAAATTAGAAAAAACGCTTAAAATTCAAGAAGATGAAAACACCATCTTCCAGCCACACAAACATAACCATTGTTAGTAGCCTATTGTACATTTTTCATATTCATTTCTATATACATATGTTTTATAAACCAAAGTAAAATGATACTCAACATGCTGTTTTGTAGTCTACTTTTAAGGTAATAATCACCAACTTTATAATATCACCACCATGTCAATAAATTTACATCTTACTTATTACCTGGTCCATATTTAAAATTTAACATTTGTCCCCCAAATATCCTTTAGAGCTTGTTTGACCAGTCAGGATTCTATCCCAGACTACCCTATCATCATCTAGTGATGATGTCCCCGAAATTTCTTTCATCTGGTACAATTCCTACATTTTTCCCTATGGCACCAACTTGTTGAAGAGGCTGGGCAAGGAGAGATTGGGCAAAATTTACAGATTTTTGACATTAAATTTTTCTAAGGTAGTATTTAACCTCTTGGGCAATGAAAGACTCACATCTTAAAAGGTTTAGACATAAAATATATTACTGAAATGAGAAAATCATTTTATTCATCTATAAAGATATGCTAATTATTCATTACTTACGTGTTTAGTCTATGAGATGTCTTACAAACTGTGAAGCTCTGAATTCTCCAAGCTCTTCCTCTATTTTTTTTGAATGAACTGAAATGATCATGGGTATTAGAGATTGGTTGTTGAATTTTGTATATACTATTTTTTGTCTTCACACTGACATGCATCCATGCATGCACACACACACTTCCTTTTCCTGGGCGCCTTAAGCCCACTACCAAAAGTAGTAGTATAGAGTGCCTGCAGTGTGCTATGTGTTGCATTAGATGCCATACGAGATGCGAAGATGAATAATACAGTATTTTCCTTCAGGAACCCCTGCAGTATAATCATGGAGAAACAGTCTACCAGAAATATGAAGAAATAAATGCCAACTTAGAGGACGTTCTTCGAACAATAAACAAGACAGCATTAAAAATAGTCCATGATCTTGCATTTTAAAGTCAGTTGTATTGAGTTACCGTTGACATATAATGAAAATTGCAACCATTTTAAGTGTCTAGGCTCATTTTGAACCCCTATTCTGCTGCAATGACAAACTGCTTGTAAAGTTTCCTACAAATCCCATCTTTCCTTTGCGTTCCAACTATTCAATATATTATGTGCTTGCCTATTTCCTCTGTCTAGAATGCCCTCCTTCCCACTTGCTTTGCAAGTTTCACCCCTGGATGCTTACCCTCCCCCATGCTTTTAGAGATCTATGTGTATAATACCTTTTACCAAAGAAAGTGAGTGTACAATGTTCTTCCACTTCACTTGAATAATATCTTAACTTCACTTTGTCCCCTATTACCAAACATTTTCATTTTTCTTTTTCTATTTCATCCATTTTATAATATGGTTTTCCATTGACCATTATATATCAGGCTTGCTGCCAGACCCTGGAGCAGATAAAACTTAGACCTTGTCCTTGCTTTCATGACACTAAAATATAGTAGAAACGACAGAGCCAGAAACAATGACAATACAATGTGGTAAATGTAATAGAGATAAGTGCAGTGATCTATGGGAACAAAGAGTAGGAGGTGACCAACCATATGGGGAAGAGGGAGAGCTTCACTAAGGTGACAACTGAGTTAAATCTAGAGACAAATGTGATTTGCCAGGTAGAGAAGACAAGGTCATTGGTGTAGAGGGAACAGTATGCATGCATGGTGGTCAGAAGTCAAGCTCTATTTCGGGAATTCTGAGATGTTAGTGTTCTTGGAACATCCTTTCGTGCATATATTTGTCAGTACAGGCACAAATACTCCCTTCCATAATCCCTTTTGATTTTACTTTCTACTTAATCTTAAACTCCTTCACTCCAGTGCACTATTATATTCTTTCTTTAAAAGGCTGTTAAATCAGGTATACTACACATGCTGAATAGATATTTTAGGATTTTTTTTAAATGAAGTCATGCTTGTGTTATATAAGGATAAAATACTAAACTATTAACATCAGAGAACAAGATGTGATTATTTATAGAAATTCAGTAAGCTGTCATTAAGGTTTTGAAAACAGTTTACCTTTATAATAATGATTCTGAAGAAAGACAATTGTACTTTCAACGAATGAGGGCAGAAAACCACAGACAGGGAGTGGTTCTTTGTTCTCCAGAAACTTTATCACTCAGTATTCCGTAAATTGCAGACAGTTTAGCAGGTCAGACATTTCTGAGAAAGGAAGCTTTGTACTTCATTATTTCTTCTCAGTAGTGAAATGACGTTCCGGAAGATCAGACATCAGAAATGTCAGTGTGCTTAATGACAGGACAAAGCCACAAATGCATTGTCTAAAAGCTAAGTAAGGTCGGCTTAACCTACAAAATACTGATAAAAGTTAATCTCCATTGATATCCCCTTTGATACATTCTCTTTTGTCTCCTCATTACCAAGAATAGCACGCAATAAAATGTTCCATAAATCTAGAGGAAAAAGTATGCAGGTGGTCAAGGATGTAGGGTCTCTTGATTGGCTCTTAAATGGTCTCTCCATTTGCATGAAATTCCCAGAGCCTCCAGCCCTGCTCCCCGTCAGTACCACATTTGGCCCACTGGATTGGACAACATGCTTTTTTTGAAACAAATTCCAATTTTGTAAAAAAGTCTGTGTTGAAGGTCCTAATTTTCTTGGTGTTTTCTGATTTCATTTCCTAGTATACCAATGGCAAACACTAGCTTATGAATAAGAGATTAGCCACGTAGAACTGTCTTAAGTGGGTTTGGGTTCATAGATGGCTACTCAAGAATAGAATCAGCCTGTGTACAAGGTTCTCTTGGAATTTAAAATCATCAACTGCCAATGCATTTTGGTCTCATCATGAAGTTTTATACCATATATACACTTACTATGTAGTAGATGTGCACTTAACCAGGTTCCATTTAACCGACTTAACAGATTAACTGAGATTAACTGATACTTTCTATTTTTTTTTTTCTGTAAAACATACTGACTGATGCCCATAGAACTCATAATACTTGCAGCTAGAAGGAGATACTCTCTGTTATGTTTGCACACTTGTCTCCTGAGTTGAATTTTGCTTACTAAGAGTTAACTGTATGTATTCCCAAACCTATTTATATCAGTTGCAGTTGTTATTGTAATTTTGTAATATAATGAAATAATACATAGCTGATGAACTATAATTGTAACACAAGAGTTATTTTTCTGTGAAAAGTAAATCAAATGCTAAGGAAAGATTCAGTAAAGGTAATTCATTTCATGATAATTGCTATCAAATTAGAGATATGAAAGAAAATAGTAAAATATTTGAAAACAGAATCATAAAAATCTAGAATGAATTTGTTAGGTTATAAATTTCTCACCCCACATTTAAATTTTTAAGTGTTTTTAATTTCTTACTACATGTGTTATCTTGTTTTCTGCTGCTATAATAGAATACCACAACAAAAATTTATTTCTTACACTTCTGGAGGCTGGGAAGTCCAAGAGCGTGGCACTGGTATCTGGCAAGGGTCATTCCATGGTATAAGGATAGAAGGGTGGAAAGTGGAAGCAAGTGCACAAGACAGAGGAAATTGGGCCAAACTGCCTCCTTTTATAATTAACCCACTCTCGTGATAATATTCTTAATCCATTCATGAGGACAGTGCCCTCAAAAATCTAACCATCTCTTAAAAGCCCCATCTCTTTACACTGTTGCTTCGGGGGTTAAGTTCCCAACACATGAACTATGGGGGACATATTCTAACCATATCACTATGCTTTAAAGAATAAAGCAAAACTAGAAAATCTAGGTGATGCATTTTGCATTGGTTTATGTGAGTATTACAGTGTAGACACTGAGAAAAAGTGTTTGCTTTTATATATCATTTAAAAAATGATTCCCAATTTAAAAATTTTTAATTGACATTGTACATATTTAAGGTATATAGCATAATGTTTTGATATACATTAAAAATGACTTCCAACTTTTAAAATTAATGGAGTAACCCATTATGCCATATCTTAGACCAAAGACGTGGAATGCATCTGAAATACAAAAGCTTCCTATTTTTATGTGCAGTCATGCAAAGAGGAATATTCCCTGTTAGACCCACTGGGCTGGAATTTTTCACTTTTATAGAAGAATGAATTTCTGGACCTAGTCAGAGAAGGAGATGTACAGGCCCTCCAGCTATTAGGGAACCCATCATGGGTAATCGAGCCATGGAGAGTTAATGTCTTTGTAAATCTGTTTTCTTGGCACAGAATATTCATGGGCATATCAGACACGTTTTCCCACCCGTTGATAACAAATATGTTCTAAGTCTCCAATATGAGATGTGACTGGGAAGTAAAGAGACAGATGTAACCAATATTCCAGAATTTATATATCCAAATGAACTTTCTTTTTCAAAATAATGACAGTAGGAGGTTCAGTAATTATTCCAAAGATGCTATCTCTACTCAAAATCATTTTTGGAACTCATTTGAAATTGCTTTCAAAAACAATTTGCATGCTTCATGGGAAAGCCAGCTGAATTGCTTCAGATACATTCCTGATTTTAAACCAATGATAGTTTTACCTATCTTGATTTATCATGTTGATTCCAAATAACTACCTACCTACGCGTAAGTGCCAAGGTTTTCTATTGGTAGGATATGAAAAAGCATGTATTTAAGACCTTAAAGACAGTAGTCCACAAAGGGAATTTCAGACAAGCCTTGAGCAATGGCAGCATCACTGAAATAAATATAAACTATTTAATGAGGTGAATGCTTTGAAGAGAAGAGTTTTCATTTGGATGCATAAATTTTTATTTGTTAAAAAGCTGAATCAGTCATATTTTTCTAGAGAGAGGGGTTAGCAAACATTTTCTGTAAAGGGCCGGATAGTTAATATTTTAGACTTTCTGTGCTGTGTATGTCTCTGTCACAACTCTTCAACTCTGCACACAAGAGCAGATATAGATAGTACATAAATGAATGTGCATTACTTGTTCCAATAAAACTTCATTTACAAACACAGCCACCAGGTTGAATTTGGCCTCTATGGAGCATTGTTTGTCAACTATTGCTCTACAAAATGGAGTCCTGAAAAACAAATGATCCTCAATAATTCTATCTCACTTTCATCCACTAAAAATATAGATTCGAATCATTGCTTTCATGTTTGATACAATAATCACCATTTTACAGGTCAGTTACTTGTGTCAAAGAAGACAAACATTTCCTGACCAAACTAACATATAACTGCAACCTGATATGCTTAGCCTGTAGCCTAAAGCGTAATAAGTCTAAAGGAGAATTTACTTCTGTATTTAATCAGCGAAAAATGCTCACTATCTCTATATTATTCTGACCATCAATGTTTTTGCCCCAAAGCCTGGCCATACAAATACCTGGAATGGCTACATTGGAGATTTGAAAAGATATGAGGGATCAGTTCTTTCCATTTCCCTAAATAACGCTCTGTGATCCACTTCAACTCTCTGATGGCACCTTTAGGCTGCTAACTGGCTTTCCCTACTTCTCTCTTTCCTTCTCCTCTTCCTTCACTTAATATCTTTGTTAAGATACAGTTCACATATCATAAAATCTACTAAAGTGTACAGTCCAATGGCTTTTAGTGTATATTCAGAGTTGTACAACTATCACCACAAGTGACTTTAGAACATTTTTATCTCCCCAAAATATCATTTGCATTTAACCCCATACCCATTAGTAGTTATTTCCAATCTTCCCTCACAATCTCAAAGAAACAACTAGTCTACTTTCTGTCTCTATCAATTTTTCTGTTATGGACATTTCATATAAGTGGGATAAGATGCTAGATGGTCTTTTGTGACTATCTTCACTCATTTAATATGTTGTTTTCAAGGTTTATTCATCTTTAGCATGCATCAGTACCTCATTTCTTTTCACTGGGGACTAATATATTGTATGCATATACCGCATTTGAAAAAATCCATTCATTGATGATGAACATTCAGGTTGCTTTCACTTTTGGCTGTTATGAATATTGCTATTACACATATGAACACTTATATACAAATGTTTTCATATTTCTTAGATAAATACCTAGGAGTGGAATGTCAACATGTGGCAGCCACATGATCTATGTGTAACATTTTGAGAACCTGCCAGTTGTTTTCCAAAGTGGCTGTACCATTTTACATTCCCATCAGCAGTGTATGAGGGTTCCACTTCCTCCACATCCTTGCCAATAGTTGCTATTGTTTGCCTTTTTATTATAACCTTCATAGTGGATATGAAGTGGTATCTAATTGTGGTTTTGATTCATATTTCCTTGATTAATGATGTTGAGCATCCTTTCATGTGTTATTGATTGTATATTCTTTGGAGAAATGTCTATTCAAGTCTTTTCCCATTTTTAATTGGTTTGTCTTTTTATTATTGAGTTATAAATGTTCTTTATGTATGTTTTAGATCTAAGTCCCTTATCAGATATATGATGTACAAATAGTTGTTTCTCATTCTGTGGGTTGTGTTTTCATTTTCTTACAAGCAGAAAAGCTTTTAATTTTGATGAAGTCTGTTTTTTCTTTTATTGCCATGCTTTTAAAGTCATAGCTAAGAAACCATTGCTTCACCTAAGTTTATGAAGATATATACCTATTATTTCTTCTAAGATATTTATAGTTTTAGTTATTATAGTTGGGTCTACAATCCATTTTTGTTCATTTTTTTTTTTCATGAAGTGCAAATTCATTTGTTTGTGTGTGGATATCCAGTTGTCCCAGCACCATTTGTTGAAAATACTATTTACTCCTGATTGAATGTTGAGGTGGGCAGATCACGAGGTCAGGAGTTCGAGATCAGCCTGGCCAATATGGTGAAACCCCATCTCTACTAAAATTATATAAACAACTAGCTTGGCGTGGTGGTGCATGCCTGTAATCCCAGCTACTTGGGAGGCTGAGGCAGGAGAATCACTTGAACACAGGAGGTGGAGCTTGCAGTGAGCCGAGACTGCGCCACTGCATTCCATCCTGTGCAATAGAAGGAGAGTGCGTCTCAAAAAAAAAATTATTAACCATAAATGTCGGGGTTTATTTCTGACTCTTTATTCCATTTCATTGACCTATATGCCTCTCCTTATGCCAGTACCAGAGTGTCTTTATTACTGTACCTGTGTAGTAAGTTTTGAAATCAGGAAATATGAGTCTTTTAACTGTTTACCCCACACCAAGGTTACTTTGGTTATTCTGGTTCTTTTGAATTTCCATATGTCTTTTAGTGTAGGCTTGTCATTATCTGCAAAAATGGCAATTGGGATTTTGAAAGGGATTGCATTGAATCTGTAGATGAATTTGAAGACTATTGCCATCCTAACAATATTAAATCTTCTGGCTTGTTAACATGGGATGTCCATCTTGCTACTTGCTTCCCCCTCTGCATTATTTTCTCTCCTTGATCCTGCTCTTGTCTCAAGGCTTCATAGCGTAAATCTCCTGCTTTTTGTGTGTAAAAATCCTTCTGTTATATAAAGATGCTTATTATATTTCCAGCTAACTCTTCTCTTCTGGTTAAACAACGAGAAGAATTGATATATTTTCCAGATATTTCATTTTCCTGCTCAACACATTGGAATATATGGAGAGGACCTCAGTGCCTCTCTTAAAATGTGTTGCATAGAACTGAACACAGTTTTCCAAGTGTGGTATCATTGCAAGCTGCAATGGGATTATCACCTCTTGCATTCAGGGCATGTGTAATGAACTGTGGTTAAGACTCCAAGCTTTGTAGTCAAATGGACTTGAGTTAAAATTCCTAGCCAGCCATTTACTTGCTCTGAGAGAAATTTACTTGACATGCCTTAATTTCCTCATCCATAAAATAAATATAATAAACCTTGGAGCATCACTCAATAATAGATGTTATGAGGGCAAGGACTGTATCTGTTTTGCTTTGCTTACCATTGGTTACCCAGTTCTTAGTACAGTGCCTGGATCATAGTAGATACTCACTGAATATATTTTGAATGGATGAGAGGGTGGATACCTGTCCCAGATAACTAAGACTGAAAGCACTTACCACAATGTCCAGCACTTAGTAAGCATTTAGTCACTTTCTAAAAGGCTTTTTTAGCAACTATGTCATATTTTTTTTTTCCTTTTAAACCTCCTTTCAACTAAAACTGCATGATTCTTTGCAAATGAACTTTTAAATTGTATTTTCCCAATTCCTGCGTTTTAGCTTCATTACATTTGGTGTTGTGAACCTTGGTATTATGAATTTCATCTCTTCCTTGTGTTTTGTTACATCTTCATCTTTAGGTCTCCCAAATGTAGTAATGGCAACCATTCCCCAGCCCTCCTACTCTTCCCATCCGCTTCATAGGATTAAGGAATTTAATGGCCATGCTAGTCACACCTTTAAAATATCTCTTACATTTCTGCCACAGTTTGGAAATCTGAGTTCCTAGCACAAGCAGAAGGCTCTTGGGATGGACTAGATCTGCAGCTTTGGAATTTTGTAACTGAGTATTGGTGGCTTTTTCTTTATTCTAGAAATACTGAGAGGGGATGCATCCTGAGTAATTTCAATAGGCAAATTTTAGCACCTTTTATTCTGAGAAAGGGGTAAAAGCTAATGAAAACCATTCAATAACTAAAAATTTTAGCTAATGTGGAAAGAGTGACATTGTTTTATTTTTATGTCTTTAGTAACTTGAGTAGCTGCATAGAATCCTCTTTTATTATTAGTCAGGCTTCTGAAATCCGAGAACCAATGGCTTGTTGTTTCTAGTGTAAAAACCCACTGATTTGATATGAGTTCTATTTCTTTACATTCTTTTTTCTTCCATTTATTTGTTTTTAAAAGTCTCATTCTGTAATCAAGATATCCTGTTTCTATACCCTTTCTATACAACTGAGAATGTTAATCAAGGTCTCAGATCATATTGTAGCTGAAGTGTGTTGCTTGGCAACAGACGGAAGGATACATGTTTTCAGATTTTAAAAATAATTCAAGGTTTTATGCTTTTTTATTAAATGATTTTATTAGTTGTGGAAAAATAGCCTGGAGGGGAAGAGAAATGGACCATGGCAGCAATATCTTTCTTATGTTTGTCTTTTAACAAGTGTTCCAAGCGGGAATTGGTTTTTGTCCTTTCGGGCTACGTAGATGGCATGTCTGGATCTCAGGTTTATTCTCTGAAGACTTGTCCAGTCTACCTGTGTGTGTGGAGCAATATTCTTTTACTTTTCACTGTTCTCTTCTGAAATATTATAGCCCACAAACCCTGTTTCTCCAGGAAGCCTTCCTGGAATTATTCATAGCCATTGTTTGACACATGGAACCACCCCCATTTTTTTTTTTGGTGTATTTTAATAGCTGTCTGTTTATGGTGATTATCTGTTGGTCCAGTCTCTCTTTCCTGCCAGAGTTCACAGCCTCTGAGGCCAGTTTCACAAGGCCCTATGGGTTTGTTAATGGTCTGATTGCCCTTGTCCAGTGATGCTCACCTAGATTTCAAGAGTTATGAAAGATTCTGTAATTTGGAAACCAGTGCTCTCTGCATAGTACTTATCACTCTGTTGTGAGCCTATACTGTGACTTATAAGACAGATCAGTCCTGTTTCACAATCGCAGAAATGACTGAGTTGTTGAAAGATTGAAATACTTTTTCCAAGGCCATAGCACAGAGTAGAGCTGAAGACTAACATTCCCTCATTGGGCATCAGAGAATAACTCTTAACTGAGAACTTCCTTTGTGAAGTCAGCCAGTCCAGCATTATTTTCTGGCCATGTCACCTACAAGCTCTGTGATATGGGCAAGTCTCTTAACTTCACTGTGCCCTAATTTCCTTATCTGTAAATTGACGAGTTGATGGGTGCAGCACACCAACATGGCACATGTATACATATGTAACAAACCTGCACGTTGTGCACGTGTCCCCTAAAACTTAAAGTATAATAATAATAATAATAATAAAATTGAGGATAATAATAGTACCCATCTTACAAGGTTGTTATCAGGATTAAATGAGACAATACTAGTTGGCACATAGCAAGTGTACAATAAATATTTACTTTTATTATTGCTAGTATTAGTATTTTCATGCAATAAAAGTCTACACGTTGTCTTTCTTCCTCCTCTTTCTCCCCTTTATTTTTTATTTTTTTATTTATTTTTTTTGAGACAGAGTTTCGCTCTGTCCCCCAGGCTGGAGTGCAGTGGCACGATCTTGGCTCACTGCAAGCTCTGCCTCCCAGGTTCACATCATTCTCCTGCCTCAGCCTCCCGAGTAGCTGGGACTACAGGGGCCCACCCCCATGCCTGGCTAATTTTTTTGTGTTTTTAGTAGAGACACGGTTTCACTGTGTTAGCCAGGATGCTCTCAATCTCCTGACCTAGTGATCCGCCCGCCTCGGCCTCCCAAAGTGCTGGGATTACAGGCATGAGTCACCACACCAGGCCCTTTCTCCCGTTTATTTCCTCTATACCTGACCATATTAAATTTCAAAGTCAAGTTGAGATATGTTTTTAACTACCTTCTAAACTTCCATTTATTGGACAATAATACATTTAAATAACAAGCCTTCTCATTAAGGTTTTCCAAATACACAGTTGAAATACAGGAACTGGATACCTGTGATTGCAAAGTCTTCTGAAGATCCTTTGAACTTCTGCTGGCTTTTGAGTCTCTTCTTTATGAAAAACCAAGCCACCAATAGGATTTTTCTACCACAGTCTATGATTGCTGTGACATGGGTACTTTTACCAGCAAAGTTTAGGACCTAGTCCCTTTGGCAATTTTGTTTTCCTTGGATGGGTATATCCAAAGCTTCATTTGTCATTTTATTTCCAGTGTTTTTCCCCTTTACCATATTAGCTTATGAGGAGCTTAATTATACGTGATTAAGACGTAGACTTATGTCTGTAAATTTGTACTATTGTGCATTTTATTTTTTCCTTTGATTGGCTGAGTTTTTTGGACATGTGTGATGTTTTCTTTAGTTTTTATAAAGGACTTTAAAGAAGTATTTTTAAGGCGAGACTAGTAACATTGTTGCTTGTAATTATGGAAAAAGCTGTGGGTCAGTGATTGCCCACCATTTTAGACCTTAGTTCTTCAAGCTTTTCTAAGACTTTGGTACTGGTAGCAAGCCTGGCCTATAGGAAGAAGAGAGAAAAAGATAACTGAAAACGAAAGGAGAGAAAGAAAAACAGAAAAAGGAGAGGCATGCTTGGTGGTATCGTGGACCTCTGGTTTCTGCTGTAGGTGGCCATAATTTTTTTTTGTTTGGTCTATTTGTCTTTAAAGATAATAGAACCATATTGAAGCATAGTCAAAACAGCCGGATCTATATGTCTAGATGTTTTTTTCTGAATGAATCATGAAAAATGATCAATTTTTCAAAACAATATAGAGTACAAATTAGTCAGAAAGAGCCTACCCCGTGTTTTGTCTGAGGCAAAGATGAATCAGCTCCAACAAATCGGTTTTCACCAGGGAATTAATATGACTTTCACCTTGAGCTAATTTTGCTTTAGCATAAGCAGGATATAGATGAATTTTGCCTGTAACATTTCACTGGGAAAATTTGTTTCTTTATGCAGTTGCCAGAGAATCTTAGTGAGGTTGATGCAAATATTAATGATGTCAGTAAAATTATGCTTGAGTAAGTATTGCTGGGCCAATTTTGGGCAGGGGGCAACTCATTGTCAGATTCAGCAGTGAAAGGTATTTGGCAACATCAAGCCCAGCATATTCAGTAGTCTTTGTATCTCATGTTTTACTTGCGTTTTCTGTGTTTTGAACATTTTCTTGAGGCTGGATGAAACTTGCACAATTACTTACACTAATTGAACTAAACCCTTCTTTGCTTATGATATTGGTAACTGATGACTGATAATTTAGGAACATACACTTACTCTAGGGACAGATACCTTGGGCAGATGATGTAATTCCTGAACACAGGCAGTAAAAGTACAAGCAGTTATATTTTTGTGTTCCCTACTCTCTTAATTAGTCATTGAAAACATCGTAAAAGAGATAATGACTCATTCCCTTTTATAGGCAATCCCAGGAGTTCATATTTATTTTCCTGCTATTAGAAATATTGCTGCTAAACTACAGAGGCCAGGTTATTTTCCAGTGGTTTGAAGCTCTATGTTGGAAATGTGCTTTTAAAAATGTAAATTGAATGCTCTTCCTCACGTCTGCCCATGGCTGATCCTCCTTGTCACTGAGGTCTCAGCTCACATGTTACCTCCTCTGAGAGTCCTCTTGTGATCATCCATTTAAAAAAATTCTCTGTGTTCTGACCCTTGTTTGATTATTCTTTTTCAAAATAACAAAATGTCTCATTTGAAAATTTATTTCGTTTTTTAACTTTGACTTGTTTATCATCTGAGCCCCTGTGAGTGCAGGTACGGTGTCTGTCTTTCGTCTCTTGACCTTGGCTCTGGCACCGGCCCTCTGGAAGGGTCTAGTAGGTGAATGCTGGAGGAAATTAGAAGAATGAATTATTTCAGGTTCAGAGTCTACTTTTGTCTTATTCTTTTGCTACTGAGGGTCTGCTTGGGTGCTTAAATGAGCTGCAAAGTATGATCCACATATGCTGTGCTTGTATGTTTCTTACATCTTAGTATTGCTTAGTCTGGAATATTTCCCTTATACTAAAAGGCATAAGATTTAGGAGCAAGCTGGAAGCATAAAAAATTAGTTCCTCGAATACTACTTTGTCTTTATGAAATTCTGACTCTGTAGGATCTGATGATATGATATTCGGCTGCTCATTCAACTAGCATGACATTCTCTCATGGAAGAATTTGGAAGAATAAAATCATATTAATTGCTTTCATGGTAAAACAGCTTATGCTAATCATAGTGTCCCTAGCCTGAGACGGAAAGAAAAGCAAGTTGGTAGCAGGATAAGGTGCTGCGGCCTTTTATAGAAAGTCTCTCAGGAGCCTGGCTCTTGCACAGCCTCTTCAGTCTAACAGTGTCCCTTATAGAAATCAGTGAAACAGCTGGAGTTAAGCAGACTCAACTCACCGTAATTAAGTCTATGGGTTCTGAATCCAGGTAATTGCGTTTGGTGGAAAAGAGACACATTCTTAAAGGAAGGAACTTCTTAGGCAATACAGGAGGCCTTATAAAATATTGGAATTGTCTATAGACTCATGACTCTTGGCTTCAATCTAAGAATGAGTCAGTTGGGTAAAAGAACTTAGCCTTGGCAGTATTTTTTTTTTTAACTGTAGACCAAGGTTTTTTAATGGGGTGCCTAAAACCTTAGAGAGTTCATGGCTTTAGACGGGTCTCTCTATAATGTTATCAACCCTAATATTTGATGCTGCATGTGTTAGTGTACATTATTATTGTAGGAAAAAGATCCTGAACTTTATCAGGGATGTTTGTAGTTACTGTTTTCACTTCTCACTACCTGTTCTTGTCTCATCCTACTCCAGTAGCTCTTCAGTTCCCCCTACTTTACTGAGACAGCTCCATGATGATCCAGAGGGTACAACTCTCCTATTCAACCACCCACAGCATTGGACAGGGATGGCCATTCTGTCCCTGTAACACTTCATCTCTTGGTGATCATGATGTCATGCTTCATTTGCCTACTTCTCTGGTTGTTTGGTGTTACTCCTCTGCTTGACTTCTCAATGTTGGAAGGTCCCAGGGCTACCTTATTTGCATCTTTCTTTTCTTCCTGCATTTTACATAATTTCTTCTGGTCCCATGGCTTTAAATTCTAACTTAATACAGATGACTTCCAAATCTGTACCTATAGCCATGACTTTTGCATAAGACTTTGAGTGAACACCTGATACCTATTCAGCATCACTACTAGGATACCTAATTGGCATCTGAAATGTAACATGCCCAAAACCAGACTCTGGATTTCTTCCCCTTAGCTATTTCCCCCCTGAGACTGCTGATATTAGAAAATGGTACCGCTCAATTGTTCAAACCAAATATCTCCTAGTTGCCTTTGATTCCTTGCATTTTGATATGGTTTGGCTCTGTGTCCCCACACAAATCTCACCTTGAATTGTAATAATTCCCAAGTATCAAGGGCAGGACCAGGTGGAGGTAATTAAATCACAGGGGCAGTTTCCTCTGTGCTGTTCTTGTGATAGTGAGCCTCACCAGATCTGATGGTTTTATAAGCCTCTGGCATTTCCCCTGCTGGCCCTCATTCTCTCTCCTTCCACCCTGTGAAGAGGTGCCTTCCACTATGATTGTAAGTTTCCTGAGGCCTCTAGCCACACAGAACTGTGAGTCAATTAAACCTCTTTTTATAAATTACCCAGTCTCTGGTATTTTTTCATATCAGCATGAGAATGATCTAATACACATCCCCTCACCACTCCACATCCAGGTCATTCCCATATTTCTCCATCTTTATTATAACTACCCTGGTCCAAGACATCACCATTGTTCTTGCCTGCACAATTTCATTTAGTTTCTAGTCTCCCAGCTGCCCCTCTTTTGTCTTTATATAACGGGTCACATTGGATCACTCACTACCCTGATTAAAACTTAATGGGGTGACATAATAATACCACAATTTGCTTACCTTCCTCTAGAGGGTTCTGCCTTGCCTGCAGTGCTCCAGCCCACATTGTCCCCATTTCTTTTTCCCAAACCCACTGAGCCTTCTCCCTGTAAGGCCTGTCTGCGTTAGGTAGTGCCTCTGCCTGGGAACCTCTTTGTTCACCTCTGCAGGACTGTCTCTTATTGTCATTCAGATCTAAGCTTAACTCTCACTTCTTCAGAAAGCACCAGCCTCTCCAGCTCCTGGTAGACCTGGGCTACTGATTGGTTGGTGCACATTGATAGTACTTTCCCGGATAGGCAAGGAAATTGAGACTGACAGGGTTAAGTCAAATTACATAACAGGGGACTGAGGGGCCAGGACTGGAACACTGTCTTTCTTACTCCAGAGCTTGTTCCATAATGATGAGACTACATACCTTCCTTGTCTCATCCTTTGAAGAATAGCAGAGGGAATACATGCTAAACATTTGTGTTGAAGAATCATGGCATGCTCAAATTAGACAGTAAATATTAGGCTGGCTTTGCAGGGCCCAAAGGTCTCCATTGTAACTACCCAACTCCATTATTATAGTGAAAATAAACTGTAGCCAATATGTAAATGAATGGGTATGACTGTCTTCCAATAAAATTTATGTATACTGAAATTGGAATTTTACATATTTTACATCATAAAATACTAAAAAAAAATTAACCATTCTTAGCCTGTGGGCTGTACAAAAACAAGCAACAGGTTGGATTTAGCCCAAGGGCTGTTGTTTGGTGACTCCCGCTTTAAAAGATTTTGTAGTAGTACTCTCATGTTATATTAGTAAATCTGAGAATGGCCTCTGTAACCAATCCCTGAATTGCAGCTTCTGAAAGCTCCTTGAGGAAAGGGCCTTGTATTTCTCTTCCCTTTCTTTCACTGATACTTACTTGAATTGATTCCATTTTGTTGAGTCCTGTTTTGCAGTCTGGGTGGATAAAAGATGTTCCCTAATTTCTGTCAGAAAGGGGAAAAGTTGGCTGATGCATAATCAAATTGGAAATGCAAGGGCTGGGTTGTTTCTCAAGCATAATTTTCAAACTTTTTGAAGGATAAAATTTTTCTAAAAGCTCGGTTATGAGGACACCTGAAAAGTACCCTCTACCCTAAAAGGCTAGCTAGAACATCTTTTATTTCTTGGTATTATTCCTCAGTATTTAAAATAGAGGATATCTGTCCATGTAGTTAACATCCAGTGCTGCATCACTGCTTTCATTAGGGAGTGAAACCATGAGCCCATAGACTTTCACTTTCTTCTCCTCATGATCTCTGGCTGCTTCTCTTTTGACAGGCATCTTGATCATGCCATGTATCATGGGTGCAGTGCTAACTTTGTTTTTGTCTTTTCACTGGGCTTTTGGAGAGCAGGGTCTCTTTGGAGGGCAGGATCTGCTCAGCAGCTCTTAGCATGGTGCCTTGTCCTGAGCAGAAACTCAGTGAATAGCCCTTGAATTGAACTGGCTCCTCTCGAGCTTGCCTAGCTTTTCATTTCTCAGCAGCTGCTCTTGTCACTTCAAAATGTCTTGGCTGCAATTATCTTTATGATTAAAAAAAATTAAACCACCACATATTTTCATTGTCTCTTGTATTTCATTCTTATTCCCATATCGATTCATCTTGCAACTCCTCAGTCTTTTTCTCAAATGTACCTATTTCACCTCAGTCACTAATTATTTATCCTACCTTTTTTTTTCTTCTCTGGATTTCATTTCCCTTTCAAATGTGCATGTTCTCCAGAGCCCCCTTAGATCTTCGCTAAAGATATTCAGAATCGATTTAGTTGTCCTTACTCCTTGATTATGTATTCATCTTCCTTTACCTGAGTGTTTACACATTCTTTTCTTGTCCTGCCTGTTTGCTGATTTTAGGGAAGACACTATGTTTTAATTATTTGTTGAATAATAATTACCACATTATGAAAGGTTGAATAGCTTTTATCATCTTTTCTGATGGAGATAGCTTCTTAGTAGATGTTCCATGTAGCTATAAGCCTGCGTATAAATGAGTTCATCTCAGGTTGTGAAAAACAGTTTACTAAAATCAGAATCTAATCAAAACAGATGTAAGCTTTTAGGGTCATTAATTTCCATTAAATTTCCATGGAGACCTATGTAAAAGCTAAAAATACCATCAGTGAATTACATGAAATGCCTTCTTCAGTGATGTGCAATGTGGTAAGAGAAAACTATGAAGCTAAATACTTATCCCTAATCTGCAAGCTTGTCTAAATGAAAAAGTGGATAATCTCATTAGTTGGAATTGTTAACAAAGGCATAGGTGGTTTTCTCCCATCCAAGTACTAAGCAGGCCTGACCCTGCTTAGCTTCCAAGATCAGAGGAGATCTGGTGCATTCAGGGTGGTGTGACCGCAGACAGCATAGGTAGTTTTATATACACTTCCTGTAGAACCAACCAGAGCCGTGATTAAATAGCAACCGTTAGATGTACTTTGAAAAATAATTGAATACTGTAGGAGGCTTACCTTGATACTGGTTTTTGAGCATGAATGAAAAAGGTAAATTAGGGAAAAGACTAAAAAAAAAAATCAATGAGAGAAGCAGAATGTATAAGACACTGAAAATAGAGACTAAATTTTCTTTTCAAACTTGGTGTCCATCCGTAAGACATTCCTGCAGCAGATGTGTATTGTGCACCTAATGCTGAGCACAGGCATCAGTGTCATAATATTCAGTCTCCTGAAAATGGGCCACCTAGCAGAGGAAAAAGACATGCACAAAATTCAATGTAAGTCCCATACAAATGGTACAAATGAGATCTTAAATAATTAAGAGAGGATGTTTAAAGTTTGAAAGGAATGTGTAAAATGTGGGTGGAGAGTTAATAAAAAATAAAAATAAATTCTCATAAAAGATCAAGAAGTGTGAGGTCTTTTCTGGCTAAGGAAAGCTGGACAAGACAGATTCTCTTCTCTTTCAGGCTAAGAGAATTCCTGGTAGAGGATATGTGTTTGAGATCAGCTTCAAAAAGGGGGTACATTCCTGCTGGAGGGAAAGCCACCAACTAGCAAGGGATCAAAGGAAAAGAAATACAAAGTATGAATAAAAAAGAGTGAGATGTTCAGTTTGGTTGGGGTTCAACGAGTGATGCTAGAAAAAAGGCTGAAAATACAGATGTGACCAAATATAGTGTTTGAATAATATTAAGAGTAATAATACAATAACAGAATTGTAACAGCTTACTTCCAGTGTCATTGTAAGCATTGGGAAAAATGAAGGAAAGGCCCCTATGCAGTACCTGGTACCTAGTGAGCACTCTAGTGTCATACTATAACTGGTATGAGGAAGGCAGTAGGAAGCTGCTCCCTGTGTTTGAGCAGAGAAGCAACACAATCATGGCCATTGAAAAAGGTTAGGGAATGTGCCTGACAGATCAGAATGTTGAGAGAGTTGAGGCAGCCGGGAGAATGGGACAGATGACAAGGCATGATCTGTGTCTGACTTCTATAATCCTTTTCTGACTTGGCCTTCTTCATAAGGTGGAATTTAGGTACAGCTAATAATGAAAGAGGAGATGAGAGGATTTGCTGCACAGGGAAGAGGAAGAGCAACTAATGAAGGGTAGAGGAGGCGTGAGACCTCACACTTCTTGACCTTTTATGAGAATCCATTTTTATTTTTTATTAACTCTCCACCCACATATTTCACATTTCCTTTCAAAATTTAAAAGTGTCCTGCAGAGTATCAAGGGGTGATAACTCAGGACAGACAAGATTAAATAAGCATTAGACTTACCTAGTGGAGGCATGACGAGAATCCAGATCTCCTGCATGGTCCTTTTTTCTTTGTGAATGGCTTCTTCATCATTTTGGCCTCACATTTGCACAAATTTCTCAGGTCTCTTATGTCCCCATTATCCTTATTCCTGTTCTTATGCCTGAATACCCAAATGATGCTGAGTTACCAAAAAGGTATTAGATTGTCTTTCAGGGAAGTAACAAGGTAGGGCCCCTTCCCTGTAAGAATGATGATTCTGTTGTATTATTTTCTGTCTCGTCCAGCTTTTCTATGAATTTCTTTTTTACGAGGCTCATCAAAATGTATTTCAGTTGGTTAACTAATCTGTGAAAAATGCTGATTTGATGCGAAAGGGCATTTCTTAATGATGCTTATTTAGGCATTTTTCTTATGTTGGGATTCTCTCTGAGGATAGACTCAGAATCTGATGGCTTCACCAAGACGGCTAACTGCAAAGCTTGCTCAGTGTGAAGAGTCACTCACTCAGATATAGCTCATTCACTTCCACCAAAGTCAGATATCCTCTTTAGATTACTGGCGTGTCTTAGAGAGCAGAGGTAATCTACTAGTAATTCACCAAGATTATCCTTATTACAATTATAATTACATAACAGGCAGGCCCAGCTCATTTGGTTGGGAAAGTTGTGTACAGGAGGCAGAAAGCAGGTGTCAGTATCTGTCTTGATGTTGCTTTCACATAACATCATAGAGATTCAGAAGATTTATACATGAATACAGAAGAAAAAAAATTTGTTAACAATCTTGCTAAGTAATAACAATAATCGCCAGTGTATGGCAAGCCCTTTGTTAAGCAGCTTACGTGAATGTCTTATTTAAACCCCATAACAACCCGTTAAAAGAAGTACTTTATCGTCCCTATTTTAAAGTCAAGGAAACTGAACTTGAGAGGTTAAGAAATTTAGTCTAAATCCACTGAGCAGTATGCAGTAGAGCTAGGATTCAAACTCAGATCTCACCATCTTTTTGCTGGAGCTCTTAACTGTGATGCTGTACTAACCCTAACCATTAATTTTTTTTTTTTTTTTAAGAGAGAGAGAACAAAGTTTGCTATGATTGAATGCTGAATATAGTGTCATTTCTTTTGTCAATGAAGAGAAAGATATTTATGGGATGCCTATTCGGAATGGTCTAATAGGGATTGGTGGCTTGGTGTAGTGCCATGTGCTGTGTTATGCATGAAATGTTTCTCTTATTGTATCCTCATGGTAACTTTGAAAGGTAGACAGTATCTTCACATTACAGAGTTGAAAGCTCAGGGTTGAAGCTTTCCCAGTGACTTTCCCAAATTCATACACAGTTAGTTCATGAAAACTCTAGACTTGAATCCCTGGTCCGCCTGACTGTATTATTCATCTCTGCTTTTTCCACTATGCATACTGCCAGACGGTAGCAGGATAGTATAAAAGTGTGCAGTGGCTCACACCTGTAATCCCAGCACTTTGGGAGGCCGAGGTGGGCGGATCACCTGAGGTCAGGAGCTTGAGACCAGCCTGGCCAACATGGCAAAACCCCGTCTCTACTAAAAATACAAAAAATTAGCTAGGCATGGTGGTGGGCGCCTGTAATCCCAGCTATTCAGGAGCCTGAGGCAGGAGAATCACTTGAACCCGGCAGGCAGAGGTTGCAGTGATCCAAGATTGCAGCACTGCCCTCCAGCCTAGGTGACAGAGTAACATTCTGTCTAAAAAAAAAAAAAAAAAGTGGCACTCAGCGTTCATTTTTTTAAATTAAAAAACAACATATTTATGTTTAATATTCTATTAAAAAGGTTTATTATCTATGACTTATTCCTGTCACAGCCTGTGTAGCCCATATTTTCATTTGTTGGACATTGTACAGATCAAACATTTAGAATATAAAAACCATCTTGAAAGTTATTTGGAAGCTTTGTCTTTATGAGGATGCTAGGTTAATTGGAGTGACTAAATTGTAAAATTTAAATTTGTTCCCATGGTCACTGAGATTCTTTCTTGCCAAGGAATTGATCATTTTTCTACTATAAGACCACTATATAAGAGTAAAAAACTCATACTGCTTTTGAAACATGGGCCCAGTCTACATAAAACCAGTCTTATGTATGTATGTGTTTATTTATTTTTACAGAGCATTGAGCCATTTGATAGGTGTCATGTATAACCTTAGTTATATGGGTCTGCGATGGACTTTGCTGAAGATTATTTAACTCCTTTATATCTCTTTAAAATTGTATGTTATCCTTATGAGATGGAGCATCATACTGATATGCTCACTACTTATCCAAGAATATAAAGGATTGTTATAATTAAGAATTTCTTTGGCAGCTGAAAATAAATGCAAAGAAGCTTGAAAAGAGAAGACAGGTTTCCTCTCCCAAGTGCACTGAAATTTAAAATGTTGAAGAGAGAGGAGTATACTTTTTGAGGTTCCCTAAGCAGACATTTCAGTGTCATTTTAATCAGCCAGATGTGAGGGTCGTTATATGACTGCAGAGTTTGCACAGTCAGCTTGTTTGGGTCAGAAAAAGAAATAATTAAATGTCCTATGCTCAAGGTACATGTCATACTATTGTTTGTTTAAAAGTGGTGGGCAGGAAAGAGACACCTCTGGATGATGAAGCCCCAAGGAGAGATGGCATAAAGTGGTATGCTTATGAAACCTGGCGGACTAAAGCCTTGTGTTTGCTAACAAATTACTCTGTAGGGTTAATCTGGCCTGTTCCTATTCCCTCTTTAAAATAACATTGTAGCAAACTACATGTTGCTGGGAGGTAGCCAAGTGCATTTCAGTTTGAATCACTTAGGTTAAGATCTGGAGCCTTGTAAAACAGCTCTGTCCTACACAGAGGCACACTATTTACTTGGGAAATGAATTGGCAGTATTCATTTTATGATGATGATTCATTGAACAGTGTTTCTGAGGGTGAGTTTTGCTTTGCTAAGGGGGTTCATCAACGGTTATTGAGCTTGATTTTTCAGACCAAAGTAAAGTTTATTTCTGGGAATTAGAGTTTGAAAAAGGCATGTTCTGCCCTCATTCAGTGAGGATATTTTCCAGATCCTTCCAGTGGCAGTTACTGGAGAGATGATGTGATAATTTTGTTGGAGAGTTCCCTTGAAAGGCTTCTGAAATCATAGTTTTAGGGCTCATTATAACTCGAGATCTTTTTTCAACTTGTCATTTTATATATTTATATCTGTTTTATGGTAAGTTTATAATGGAATTGCTTGAGTTTTACCAAGATTTACATACTTTAAAGATCTGTGTACCTCCCAAGTTTGAATTTTTTTTCAAACTTGGGGTATAATTGGGATGTAATGCATATATCCTAAAATTCACCCTTTTACAATTAAGTGGTTTTAAGTATATTCACAGAGTTGTACAATGATCATCACTATTTAATTTCAGTACATTTTCATCATCCCAAAAAGAGACATCATACCTATTAGTAGTTGCTCCCCGTTTCCCCTTCCTTCAGTTCCCAGCAACCCACTTGCCTACTTTGAAGTCTTCGTTTGCATAGGGTATAACTTTGTAACTTCACTTCAGCCTCTGATTCAGCCTCCTGTGATCAATCAGATTGGCCGCTGGCTGAGTCTTCATTTACATAGGGTATAACCGAGTAACTAATGGGAAACCTCTAGAGGGTATTTAAACCCCAGAAAATTCTGTAACCAGCACTCTCGAGCCACCTGCTTGAGCCTGCTCTCACTCTGTGGAGTGTACTTTTGTTTCAGTAAATAAGTGCTTTCATTATTTCATTTTTCGCTTCATTCTTCATTCATTCATCATTCTTTGTGTGTTTTGTCCAATTCTTTGTTCAAAATGCCAAGAGCCTGGATGACTTGTAGTCAATACCCTCCACCAGTAACACTTTCTGTCTCTATGGATTTGCCTATTCTGGACATATCATACAAATGGACTCGTGCAATATTATGTGGGCCTTTTGTGCCTGCAACTCCTTCTTAGCATACTTAGCATGATGTTTTTAAGGTTCACTGATGTCGCTGTCAGTATTTTATTTTTAGGGCTAAATAATAGGCCAATGCATGGATAATATACCATTCATCAATTGATGAAAATTTTAGTTCTTTCCATTTTTTTTCTTTTGCTATTATGAGTAAGGCCACTATAAACATTGTGTATAAGTGTTTGTGTGAACTGTTGTTTTAAATTCTCCTGGGAGTGGAATTGCTGCATCATGCAGTGACTCTATATTTAACTTTTTGAAGAACTGACAAGCTTTTCCAAATTGGATGCACCATTTTACATTCCTACCAATAATATATGAGGGTTTCAATTTCTCCATATTATTGCCAGCATTTGCTATTGTCTGTCTGGATCATAGGTGGTACCTCATTGTGGTTTTGATTTGAATTTCTCTAATAACTAAGAAACATTTTATTATGTCTTATTGACCATTTGCATATGTTGTTTGGAGAAATGTCTATTCAAACCCTTTGGCCATTTTTAATTTTTATTTTGTGGGAGATATATATATACATATGGCATATGAGATATTTTGATACAGACATACAATTTGTAATAATCACATGATCACATCAGGGTAGATGGAGTACCCATCACTTCAAGCATTTATCGTTTGTGTTACAAACAATCCAGTTATACTCTTTTAGGTTTTTTTAAAATGTACAATTAAATTATTATTGACTGTAGTTGCCGCGTTGTGCTATCAAATACCAGATCTTAGTCATTCTTTCTATTTTCTTGTGCCCATTAACCATCCCCAATTCCCCCTCCCCACCACATCCCCCATTATCTTTCTGGGCCTCTGATACCCATTGTTCTATTCTGTGTCTCCATGATTTCAATTGTTTTGATTTTTAGCTCCCACAAATAAGTGAGAATGTGCAGTTTGTCTTTCTGTGCCTGGCTTATTTTACTTAGCATAGTGACCTCCAATTCCATCTGTGTTCTTGCAAATGACAAGATCTCATTCTTTATGATGGCTGAATAGTACTCCATGGTATATACCACATTTTCTTCTTCCATTTATCTGTTGGTGGACACTTAGGTTGTTTCAAAATCTTGGCTAGTGTGAATAGTACTGCATTAAACATGGGAGTGCAGATATCTCTTTGATATACTGATTTCCTTTTTTTGGGTATATGCCTAACAGTGGAATTGCTGGATCATAAGGTAGCTCTATTTTTAGTTATTTTGAGGAACCTCCAAATTGTTCTTCATAGTGTTTGAACTAATTTACATTCCCACCAATAGTATACAAGTGTTCCTTTTTCTCCACATACTTGCCAGCCTTTGTTATTGCCTGTCTTTTGGATAAAAGCCATTTTAAATAGAGTGAGATGGTCTCTCATTGCAGTTTTGATTTGCATTTCTCTGATGATTAGTGATGTTGAGCACCTTTTCATATGCCTATTTTCCAATTGTATGTTTTCTTTTGTGAAATGTCTATTCAGATCTTTTGTCAGTTTTTATCTGGATTATTACATTTTTTCCCTATAGAGTTGTTTGAGCTCCTTATATAGTCTTGTTTTTAATCCCTTGTTCAGATAGTGTATTAGGCCATTCTTGCATTGCTATAAATACCTGAGACTGGGTAATTTATAAAAAAGAGAGGTTTAATTGGCTCATGGTTCTGCAGGCTTTACAGGAAGCATTGTGCTTGCATCTGCTTGGTTTCCTCAGAGGCCTCAGGAAGCTTACAATCATGGCAGAAGGCAAAGGGGGAGTAGGCACATCACATGGTGAGAATGGAGCAAGAAAGAGAGAAAGTTGATGGGGGAGATGCTCCACACTTTTACACAACCAGATCTCATGTGAAATCAGAATGAGATTTCACTTTTCACTAAGGGAATGGCCTAAGCAATTCATGAGGGATCTGCCCCATGAGCCAAACACCTCCCACCAAGTCCCCACCTCCAACACTGGTAATTACAATTCAACATAAAATTTGAGTGGGGACAAATATCCAAACTATATCGGGTAGGTAGTTTGCAAATATTTTCTCCCATTCTACAGATTGTCTTTTCATTTTGTTGATTGTTTCACTCACTGTGCAGAAACTTTTTAACTTGAGGTGATCTGATTTGTCCATTTTTGCTTTGGGTACCTCTGCTTGTGGGGTATTTGTCAAGAAATTTTTGCCAGTCCAGTGGCCTGGAGAATTCCTTCAATGTCTTCTGTTAGTAATTTATAGTTTGAGGTATTAGACTTAAGTCTTTATTTTGATTTGATTTTTGAAAATGGTGAAAGATTGAAGTCTAGTTTTATTCTTCTGCAAGTGGATATCCAGGTTTCCCAGCACAATTTATTGAAAAGACTGTCCTTTCTGTGTTGTTTTTTTTTCTCTTGATGTTTTTAGGATCTTTTCTTCATATGTGATCTTTGGGTATTTAGTTATTAAATGCCTTGAAGTAATCTTCTTTGGGTTAAATCTGCTTGGTATTCTATAACCTTCTTGTACTTGAATATTGATATCTTTGTCTATGTTTGAGAAGTTCTCTGTTATTAACCCTTTGAATAAACTTTCTACCCCTGTTTCTTTCTGTACCTCCTCTTTAAAGCCAATAACTCTTAGGTTTGCCCTTTTGAAGCTATTTTCCAGATGTTGTAGGAGTGCTTCATTTTTTTTCTTTTTTTCTTTTTTCTCTTCCGTGTGTTTTCAAATAGCCTGTCTTCCAGCTTGCTAGTTCTTTCCACTCCTTGATCAATTCTGCTATTAAGACACTCTGATGCGTTCTTCAGTATGTCAGTTGCATTTTTCAATTCCAGAATTTCTGCTTGATTCTTTTTATTTATTTCAATTTCTTTGTTAAATTTATCTGATAGAATTTTGAATTACCTTTCTGTGTTATCTTGAATTTTTTTGAGTTTTCTGAAAACAGCTATTTTGAATTCTGTGTCTGAAAGGTCACATATCTTTATCTCTCCAGGCTTGGCCCCTGGTTCCTTATTTAGTTTGTTCAGTGAGGTCATGTTTTCCTGCAGGATCTTGATGTTTGTAGATGTTCGACATCTGGGCATTGAAGAGAAGATATTTACTGTAGTCTTCACAGTCTGGACTTGTTTGTACCTATCCTTCTTAGGAAGGCTTTCCAGGTATTTGAAGGGACCTTGGTATTTTGATTTTGGTCACTGCAGCTGTGTCTGCATTAGGGGACACCCCAAGCCCAGTGATACCATAGTTCTTGCAGACTCATAGAGGTATTGCCTTGGTGGTCTTGGATAAGTTCTAGAATAATTCTCTGGATTACCAGGCAAGATCTTTGTTCTCCTGCCTTACTTTGTCTCCAACAAATAGAGTCTCTCTCTCTTTCTTTCTTTACTAAAGCCAGCACAGTACTGGGTCTTGCCTAAGGCCCACTATAACCACTACCTGTCTACTGCCTATGTTCACTCAAGACACTAGGGCTCTACAATCAGCAGGTGGTAAATCCAGCTACTCTTGTGTCTTTCCCTTTAGGGCAGAAAATTCCCTTGGGCTCTAGGCAGGTTCAGAGATGTCTGGGAGTCAGGGCCTGGAGTTGGAAACCATAGAAATCTACCTGGTGCTCTATTCTGCAGCTAAACTGGCCCTGAAACCACAAGACAAAGTTTCTGCCACTCTTCCCTCCCCTTGCGCCAGCAGAGGAATCACTGCCTATGCCTACCACCACTGCAGGCCCGTGGGAAGTACTGCCAGGGTACCACTGACAATTCACTTAAGGTACAAGTGCCTTTCAGTCAACTTGTGCTGAATGCTTCTAGGCCTGGGACTCTCCTTTCAGGGACTTAGGCTCCCTTCTGACCCAGCGTAGGTACAGAAGTGCCATCCAAAAGCCAAAGCCTGGAACCAGGGACCCTAAGAGACTGCAGGATCCTCTCCCCTACTGTGGATAAGCTGGTACCTAGGCTGTAAGACACAGTCTCCTCTGTTTTTCCCTTTCCTTTCTCAAGCAGAAGGAGGCTCTCTGCAGTCTGAATATGCTGTGAATATGCTGGGTCACATTGGAAGCCAGCACATCTGAGTCTCACCCAAGGCCCACAGTGTGTATTACTTGGTTACTGCTGCTAATTATTCAGGGCTCAAGGGCTTCTTTAGTCAGCAAGTGATGAATCCTGCCAGGATTGAGTCTTTCCTTTGAAGCAGTGGGTTCCCTTCTGGCCAAGGGTGTTTCTAGAAATGTTATCTGAAAGCTAGGGCCTGGAATGGGGGCCTCACAACTCTGCCGGATTCCCTGTTCTACTGTGGCTGAGCTGGTATCCAACTTTCAGAACAAAGTCCTGTTTACTCTTCCTTCTCCTCTCCTCAAGCAGAAGGAAGCGGTCTCTTTTGGAGCTGCAAGCTGTGCTGCCTGTGCTTGTAGAGGGGTGACAGAAGCACTCCCTTAGCCACCCTGACTGGTGTCTCACTAGGTCATGTGCCCCACAAGTCCACTGGCTGTGAGCCCAGCACAGCACTAGGACATGCCCAGGAGTTGCAGTCCTTGTGGTTTAGACAGCCTTTCAAGTTTATTTAGAATCCCACAGTACTTTAGCCTGCAGTGGTGAGGCTTGCTGAAACTCAAGTTCCACCAGCTGGGATGGGTGATTCCCTTCTTTCCAGGGCTGGTCTAAATGCTCCCTCTATGAGCACCAGCTGAATTCTGCCCAGTGTTGGCAGCACTGAATTCCAAAATCCTGCAGTTGCCTGCTCTACCTCCCACAAGCCCACAGATTCCCTCCTCATGCCACATGGCCTCTGCCAGGGGATGGAGGAGGGGGTGGCCTCAGCAATTCAAGACTATCTTTCCTATCTTCTTCAGTGCCTCTTTCAGTGATATTAAGTTAAAACCAGCTACTGTGATTGCTTCCCTGATTTTTGGTTCTTATGAAGTTGCTTTTTTGCATAGATAGTTGTCACATTTGGTGTTCTGCAAGGGGGACCACTGGTGGAGGCTTCTATTTGGCCATTTACTCTGCCTTTCTCTTCCTGCCCATTTTTAAATTGGGTTGTGCTGTGGTTTGAATATGCCCTTCCCAAAATTCAAGTGTTGCCAATGTGATGGTATTAGGAGGTGGGGTCTCTAAGAGGTGAGACCTCTTAATAGCCATGAGGCTATTAAGGCCCTTATAAAAGAGGCTTCATATAGCATTTGGGCAGCTTGCCCTTCTGCCATGTGTGGATGTATCAAGAAGGCCTTCACCAGACCAAATGCCATCTCCTTGATCTTGAACTTCCCAGTTTCCAGAACTGGGAGAAATAAATTTTTATTCTGTATAAATTACCGAGTCTCAGGTATTCTGTTATAGCAGCTGAAAACGTACTAAGACAAGTTATTTGGCTCGCTGCAACCTCCACCTCCTGGGTTCAAGTGATTCTCCTGCCTCAGCCTCCCAAGTAGCTGGGATTACAGGCATGTGCCACCATCCCTGGCTAATTTTTTGTATTTAGTGGAGACAGGGTTTCACCATGTTGGTCAGGCAGGTCTTGAACTCCTGACCTCAGGTGATCCACCTGCCTCAGCCTCCCAAAGTGCTGGGATTATAGGAGTGAGCCACCACGCCCGGCCCAAGTTATTTGTCTCTAATGTTTGAGTTATAGAAGTTCTTAATATAATCTAGATACAAGTTGCTTATCAAATATGACTTGCAAGTACATTTTATCATTCTGTGGATTGTCTTATTACATTCCTGATAATGTCCTTTGAAGCATAAAAACATTTTTTGGTGAAATCCAGTTTTTATTTGCTTATGCTTTTGGTGTCATATCTAAAAAAAAAACCCCACATAATCAAAAGTCATGAAGATTTATGCCTATGTTTTCTTCTAAAAGTTTTATAGTTTTACCTGTTACTTTTAAGATCTTTGGTCCATTTTGAGTTAACTTTTGTATATGGTATGAGGTAGAGTTCCAACTTGATTCTTTTTTTGTGGATATCCAGTTGTTCTGGCACCATTTGTTGAAAAGACTGTCCTTTCTCCATTGAATTGCCTTGACACTGTTTTTGAAAATCATATGACCATAAATGAGAGGTTTTATTTCTGACTCAATTATATTTAGTTGACCTGTATGTTTATAATTAGCTTAGGTTTGAACATCTTATTTTCCAATGCACAGATTTCTTTTATTGATCTTTTCTTTAAAATAAAATAAAGAGCTAAAATTTCACTTGTTGGATAGGTTTCTACCCTGTTTCAGAGGTTGATGGTTTCAGGACTTTTTACTTCTGGCTTCATGGTTTGAAAATATATTTATTTTGAGAAAGGACAGTTCATTCCAATCATCCTTACAATCCAAGTATGTGTGAAGTTCTTGAAGGAGTTGTGATTATTATAATTTTCAACATTTTTCTATGAAAATTCATAAGATTTTCACTCAATGATATTTTTATTATGAAGATTCAGATGTTTTGCACTCTAAATCATGTCCCCTCAAAATGTGGTTATGCTATAGTGCAGGTTCTGCCCAGGAACCAAGACTGTCCTGGATATGTGTAAAGAAAGTGATTGCCCTACGTTAGTAGTGTAATTTGAAGGTAACCAGAACACAGTGGTCACTAGGGCTCTCTTGATATTGGGTTGCAATGAAAATATGTTGCTTGAGAAGAGTAATAGTAACCCTCTCATATCCAGTGATAGTGAATGAAGAGAAATTTAAAGTTTATTTTAATACTTATCTAGATTGCAGACATGGGTCTTTTTTTTTATTCCTGGGGGAAAGAAGAAACACACTTGAAAGATATATTTTCCTTCTGCAATTTTTCCCCTGTATACATCATGCAACTGGCACTTTTCATAGGAGGTTGTTCTGCAATCTTAAAGTAACTGGAGTGTTTTCCTCTAGCTCATTGAGACCATTTAGGCTTTTAATGCAATAGGAGCTCACAGAGCAAAATGGGGTCCTTGAAGCCACCTTGTTTAAAGTTGAAGTGTTTCATTTGAGTGTTTCCAAACTATGTCTTATTTTGAAGGCAACTGATAAAAGTGGCTCCTTTGTGCTTTGATAAAAATGTGAAATGGAAAAGACTAGGCCATGAAAAAACATAAACCTGTAAAAAGATATCATAAGGGATATGAGGGACACAGAAGATAGATGATATATTTTTCCTTCTAATACAATTTTATAAAATACTGCCTTGTTTAATTCTCTCCTTTAGATCACAGGACAAAGAAAAGAATACATTGATTCAAATAAACAAGTGGAAAATTTGAGGATATTGGAATTGGGGCCAATCTTTTGCTGGTACTATAAGCTATTTAGAGAGGCCCAAGCCATTCAGAGAGAAAAGATAGAGTGCTATCAAAATGCTCCAGTGTACAATGGGGAGCAGGGAGACTTGTCAGGGGCCCCATGCTTTACCTGCTCTGCTCAGAGTCACAGAACTTTATCTTTCTCTCTCACTGGATCATTTCAGAAAGTGACAGGGGATATAAGTGATATTACCCGGATGGCTATTTCTAGATGTCTCAATTTCTGGAAGTTAGGATATGTCATTGTGATAAATGCTTCTGCTCTCTGAATATTCCATAGAAACATTGGCGCTAGAGAAAGAATATTCTGCCAGCCATCAGGAAGGATGATAGATTTAGGATGGAAGATGTATTCTGGGGTTGGCTGGCTCTGGAACGGTCTCCCTTGGTTGGGTCTCCAGCCTTGCTTACTTCTGTTATGGGGAAGCCCTGGCATCGTAACCAGGGGCCAAGTGGAGCGGTGTACTCAGATGCTCCTTGTACCAGTATGGCCTGCCCTCACAGAGACAGGGAAGCAGACAGGCCCTTGGTGTCTACCCACCTCCCTTCCTGTGCTGTCTTCTCTGCCTTGTGGCTGGCCTATCTCCGGAGGCCTCAGTTTCCACTCAAAGTCCCTGGCATCCTAGGGCTCCCACTGTGGCAATTGACTCAGTCCTGCCTGGGGTGCTTCTGTTTTAACAAGTGGCTTCCGACAAGGCAGAGGCTCAACACAAACGTAGCAATTTCAGGCAATAGTGGAAGTCAGAGTGAGGAGTTAGGGCATGGTAATTGTAAATAACAGTGGAGACAATAGTAAGTTCATTTTTATCAAGCACTTTACGTGGCAGGGCTGAGCTGAGTGCCACCTACATGATTTCAGTGTCAGGACACTGGTCTGAACTGGGTTTCATTAGAATCCTCATGGTGAGGAAGCCTGAAGAGGGAAGGTCACTGGCCAAGGTCATATGGATATTGATTAGAAAAAATGAGAATTCATGTCAGATAGTATGATGCCAAAATCCATACCCTTAGCTACCATAGTTGTCCTAAAGAGCATATCAGGGAAGTGCCTGTATTGGCAAGAACAGATGGGGTTCTAGAAAAGGTTAGGGCGGGACTGTGACCTTCAGTCAAGGAATGAATGCAGCCCAAGATGACAATGGAGGGAGGAAGTCCAGGAATAAATAGCAGGACCTTCTCTCTTCTTCTGTCTAATATCCTGCAGATGCTTGCCAGTGACTGAGCCCAGTGGGAAGCTAGCGGTCTGGACAATCCATTGCTGTAACTCATATAGATCAGAGCTGCTGGAACAAGGGGAGGAAGTGGCTGTCACTATAGGAGCAGGGCCGCCAGACATGAGCTCTGCCTTAGGCAGAGGGATGTACCAATGCCAGACCACAGACTGCATTTGGGAAAGAGGAGGAAACTCCCTTTACTTTCTGTCTTTCTTTGCTCCCATCCCTTGCCAGGGACACTTATTGGCCATGCCCAGTGAGATGCTAGAAGGCAGGGAAGCTGGTTTGATGCAGCCTCCTGGAGTACAGAGCAGGAGGGTAGAGTGAATCTGAAGAAGCACATGAAAACAATCCCATACAGGGCCTATATGTGAATCTGTCCCTGAAGAACAGCCTCAGAAGACACACTGTGGAAGCTTTGAGGTCACTGGGTCATTGGTCAGCAGCTTTATTTAGATCAGCTGCCTTTGCGTATGCAGCATCTTTCATTGACACAGAAACTTGACCTTGTTACATATCAGTTTTCTCTGAGCCTTCACGAAGTAGCTTTTATCAATTTTCTTTGCCTTCTAAGTAAAAGCCAGCAAATTTGCAGAGGGGCTGGTCTCCCCACATCTGGTTATCTGTATATTTTGCAAATTCTTGACCTTGAGTGGTCCTGGCATGTAGTTATTCCTCTGTGTCTACACCTGGGCCCTGGGGCATTTGTGTCCTTCAGATGCCCCTTCCTCTGATAAACTTTCTGAAGGTTCAGCATTTTCTGTGTCCCATTAAAATTTAATTTGCTGTAACATTGCCAGGCCCTGCCATAGCTATATTTAAATGGCTTCATTGCCTCATTCTTTGCATTGCCTCTGCTTTTGAGGATCTTGAAATGGTAAATGTCTTCAGTTGTGCCAGCAGCCATGAAGGGCAGGCAGGGGCTTTGTAGATGATATCTGTGTACTTATAGGTTTTGCTCCTCTAAAACGTGTAAGCAAGGACTGTGAGGTTATTGTGAGAGTGAAGGGCATGGGAGGAGCATTTGGGTACAGCAGGAAGCATTTGAAAACAAATGTTAATTCATTTAAGAGTTTGGTGCCTGTTTAATTTTTGGTAAGCCCACTTAAAATATAGTAAGATTTTAAGTTGGAGTGCTTTTCCAAGCATGAGCAATAAAAATGTGCCCTGGACCCTATGCTGTAATTGGCACAGAGACTGTAGTGGAGTTTTACCCTTTGTACCCAAGCCTGTGTCTCTGCAACCTTTGGAAAATATTCTTAGTTTGAAGTTAGAAAACAAAGTAAACTGTCTGCTTGAACATTGTTGAAAAAGTTATTGTACTAGCCTATCAAGGATAAGATGATACAAACCAGGTCAGGGGAAAGAAGTTAGGAAATGCCTAGTGACATCTGTATGGTAGTCGGCTTACCTAGGGTAGAAGCTCAGTGAGAGAGAGAGTCGGGAGAATAGGAGGAGACAAGGGCAGGACATTTTGGGTTTCCTGAGAAGCAGTGGTTGGCAATTTCTCTCCTGAGTTTCCAGAAATGACATATTATAGGAAGGGTTGCAATGTGATTCAAATTGCTAATGTGTGCTTCTTGAAAAAATATCAAACCACTCCCCCAAATTGAGGTATTTGGTTAATAAACAATCAAGTCTCTGTTCATTGAGTTATCATTTGTCATTGCTAGAGTTGATCTATTGAACTAGAGCAAATTGGGGAATATTAGAAGTACATTTGAAAGACTTTGGATACAGTTGTCTCTTACTGTAAATGTCATCTTTTTTTTCTTTCTGTCATATTCCCAGTACCCCTCTCTGACCTCTCTTCTTTGCTATTTTGTCTTTCATTCGAGTC